>NC_000014.9:31429894-31732925 GCF_000001405.40 Homo sapiens
ATGAAAATATGTTCAACTTTGTTAGTCATTAAGGGAACAAATGCATAGCAAAACCACTGTGATACCACTTCACACCCACTATGATGACTATAATTTTTTAAAACTGGAAAATAGGTGTTGGTGAGGAAGTACAGAAACTGGAACTCTCATATACTACTAGCAAAAGTATAAAATGATACAGTTGTTTTGGAAAACATTTTGACAGTTTCTCAAAGAGTTAAACATAGAGTTACTATATGACCTACCAATTCTACGTCTAGGTATATACCCAAGATAATTAAAAACATATATCCACACAAAAACTTGACCTTGAATGTTCATAGCAGAATTACTCCAAAAAGTGGAAACGATGCAAATGTCTGCAGGCATACCTCGTTTTATTGCATTTCACCTTATTGTGCTTCACTTTTTTTCTTTCCTTTTTTTTTTTTTTTTTTTTTTTACAAATTGAAGGCTGTGGCAACTCTGTGTCAAGCAAGTCTAGTGGCACCACTTTCCCAACAGTATATGCTCACTTTGTGTCTCTGTGTCACATTTTGGTCATTCTTACAATATTTCAGACATTTCCATTATTATCAGTTATGGTGATCTGTTATCACTAATCTTTGATGTTACTATCGTAATTGTTTTGGAGCATCACAAACTGTGCCCACAGAAGATGGCAAACTCAATAAATGTTGTGTGTGTTCTGACTGCTCCACCAACCAGCCATTCCCCACATCTCTCTCCCTTTCCTTGTGCTTCACTGTTCCCTGAGACACACAATATTGAAATTAGGCCAATTAATAACCTTGCAATGGACTGTAAGTGTTCAAGTGAAAGGATGAGTCACATATCTCTCACTCTAAACCAAAAACTAGAAATAAATTAAGTTTAGTGAGGAAGACATATCAAAAGCCAACACAGGCTGAAAGCCAGGCCTCCTGGGCCAAACAGCCAAGTTATTAAATGTAAAGGAAAAGTTATTGAAGGAAAATAAAAGTGCTATTCCAGTGAACACATAAACTATAAGAAATCCCAGCACTTTGGGAGGCCAAGGCGGGTGGATACCGAGGTCAAGAGATTGAGACCATCCCGGCCAACATGGTGAAACCCCGTCTCTACTAAAAATACAGAAATTAGCTGAGTGTGGTTGCGTGTGCCTGTAGTCCCAGCTACTCGGGAGGCTGTGGCAGGAGAATCACTTGAAATCAGGAGGCGGAGGTTGCAGTGAGCTGAGATCGCACCACTGCACTCCAGCCTGTTGACACAGTGAGACTCCGTCTAAAAAAAAAAAAAAATGCAAAAGAGGCCGGGTGCAGTGGCTCATGCCTATAATCCTAACACTTTGGGATACGGTGGTAGGCAGATTGCTTGAGCCTAGGAGTTTGAGACCAGCCTGGGTAACATGACAAGACCCTGTCTCTACAAAAAATACAAAAGACAAAACAAAACAAAACAAAAATTTGGTGTAGTGTTGCATGCCTGCAGTCCCAGCTATTCAGGAGGCTGAGGTGGGAGCATCACCACTTCAGCCTAGGAAATCGAGGATACAGTGAGCTGTGATCATACCACTGTACTCCTGCCTGGGTGACAAAGTGAGACCCTGTCTCAAAGGAAAAAAAAAAAAGGAAGGAAAGCAAAACAATGTTATTGCTGATATGGAGAAAGTTTTAGTGGTCTGGATAAAAGAGCAAACCAGCCACAACATTCCCTTAATCCAAAACAAGGCCCTAATTCTCTCCAATTCCATGAAGTTTGAGAGAGATAAGAAGCTGCAGAAGAAAAGTAGGAAGATAGCAGAGGTTGGCTTTTGAAGTTTAAGGAAAGAAACCATCACCAAAACATGAAAGTGCAAGGTGAAGCAGCAAGCGCTGATGGAAGCTGCAGCAAGTTATCCAGAAGACCTAGCTAAGGTTATTGATGAAGGTGGCTACACGAAACAACAGACTTTCAATGTGGACACAACAGCCTTCTATTGGAAGAAGATGCCATCTAGGATATTCATAGCTAGAGAGGAGAACTCAATGCCTCCCTTTAAAGCTTCAGAGGACAAGCTGACTCTCTTGTTAATGGCTAATGTGGCCAGTGACTTTAAGTTAAAGACAATGCTCATTGACCATTCTAAAAATTCTAGGGCCCTTAAGAATTATGCTCAATCTACTCTGCCTGTGCTTTATAAATGGAACAAAACAAAACCTACAAAACAGCATGTCTGTTTACAGCATGGTTTACTGAATATTTTAAGCCCACTGTTGAGATCTACTGCTCAAAGTGAAAGATTCCTTTCAAAGTATTACTGCTTATTGACAATGCACCTCATCACCCAACAGCTCTGATGGAGATGTACAAGGAGATGGATGTTGTTTTCCTACCTGCCAACACAATATCCATTCTGCAGGCCATGGATCAAGGAGTCATTATGACTTTCAAGTTGTCTTATTTAAGAAATACATATTATAAGACTACAGCTATCATAGATAGTAATTCCTCTGATGGATCTTGGCAAAGTCAATGGAAAATCTTCTGGAAAGGATTCACTATTCTAGATGCCATTAAGAACATTCGTGATTCATGGGAGGAGGTCAAAATGTCAATATTAACAGAAGTTTGGAAGAGGTTGATTCCAGCTCTCATGGATGACGTGGAGGGATTCAAGACTTCAGTGGAGGAAGTAACTGCACATGTGGTGAAAATAGCAAAAGAAGAGAATTAGACGTGGAACATAAAGATGGAATTGAGTTGCTGCAATATCATGATAAACTGGAACAAATACAAATAAGGAGTTGCTTCTTTTTTTTTTTTTTTTTTTTTTTAACAGAGTCTCCCTCTGTTGCCTAGGCTGGAGTGCAGTGGCACAATCTCGGCTCACTGCAACCTCCACCTCCCGGGTTCAAGCGATTCTCCTGCCTCAGCCTCCAGAGTAGCTGGGACTACAGGCGTGCACCACCACGCCTGGCTAATTTTTGTATTTTTAGTAGAGACGGGGTTTCACCATATTGGCCAGGCTGGTCTCGAACTCCTGACCTCATCATCCACCTGCCTTAGCCTCCCAAAATGCTGGGATTACAGGCATGAGCCACCGCACCCGGCCAGGAATTGCTTCTTATGGATGAACAAAGAAAATAGTTTCCTGAGATGGTATCTACTCTGTGAAGATGCTGAAAACATTGTTGAAATGACAACAAAGGATCTGGAATATTACATAAACTTGTTGATAAAGCAGTGGCAGGGTTTGAGATCATTGATTCCAGTTTTGAAAGAAGTTCTACTGTGGGTAAAATGCCATCAAACAGCATCACATGCTGCAGAGAAATCTTTCATGAAAGGAAGAATCAATCGATATGGCATACTCCATTTTTGTCTTATTTTAAGAAATTGCCACAGCCACTCCAACCTTCAGTAACTACTACCTTGATCTGTCAGCAGCCATCAACATCAAGGCAACAAGACCCTCCACCAGCAAAAGAATTACAACTTGCTGAAGGCTCAGATGATCATTACCATTTTTTAACAATATTTTAAAATTTAGGTGTGTACATTGTTTTTAGACATAATCTATTGCATACTTAATAGACTACAGTATAGTGCAAACATAACCTTTATGTACACTAGGGAACCAAAAATTTACGTGACTCCTTTTATTTTGATGGTCTGGAACTGAGTCCACAGTATCTCCAAGGTATGCCTATATTGACTGATGAATAAACAAAATGTGGTATAGCCATACAATGGAATATTGTTCAGTTACAAAAAAGAATAACATTCTGATACATGCTACAACATAGATGAACCTTGAAAATATTATGCTAAGTGAAAGAAGTCAGACACAAAAAGACAAGTATTATATGATTCCATTTATATAAAATGTCCAGGATAGTCAAATCAACAGAGACCAAAAGTAGATTAATGGTTGACAGAGGCTGAAGGTAGGGAGGAAATGGGGAGTGACTTTAATGGGTACAGGGTTTTTTTTAGATAAAGAAAATGTTCTGGAATTAGTGGTGATGCACAACCTTGTACAACCTTTTTGCAATATAGTGCAATAAGACAATATTGTACAATCTTGTTTATATACTAAAAGCCATTAAATTACACACTTTAAAGGGGGTGCATTTTATGACATGGGAAGTGTACATTAAAAATAAATAACTATTCCCTAGCAAGCTGACTAAAAATAATAAAAATAAAAAATATATTAATACATAAATAAGTAAGCTAGGACAATGGGATGAACTAAAACTGAATGTATGAATATCCAAGATCTGGCACTTAATGTACTTCCGGTTCCTAAAGATAAATAACTGGAGAATGCTGGGGTTGAAGAAGACGCCCAAATGTTTTCCCCACAACAAAATGTTTAAACCTGAAATCAGAAACTTTAAAGGAGAGGCTATACTAATGTTACATATAGCTTCCAGATCATCTCAATTTTGCTTCATCTCCCTAAACAATATGAAGACAAAATTTAGTGGTTTCATTTGATTTGTGTCACAATCTTTATCTTTCTTAAACAACATTTCAGCTGTAATTAGTGTTTTGGTTGTATTAACATCCCTTCTATCTCTCAATTTCTTTGCTTTGTCTCTCCCAAACAATATTTAGCTGAAAATTAGCATTATCATTCCATTCATATTCCTTCTGTTTCTCATCTCCCTGAAAATTTTGGTTACTTCTCAATGCCCTATCTCCTTCATAAGTCCCTCTAGTCACTTTTTTCTTTTCTTTTTCCCATAATCAGCTTGTTCTTGCTCCTAGTAATTCCATGTTATTTTTCTAAAATACCTTTCTGTTGTTAATAAACTTTCCTATACTCCTAGCCTTTCCTTAACAATCCTTTGATTGTTAAGGAAATCATAATCTGATGTTCTGCTGGTTCTATATTAGGGTTTTCAGGCCCTTACTCTCGTCTACTCCCCCACTGAAGTTCACATCCTCTTGAAACATCACTTTCTCCCCATCCTCAGCTCTACCATTTGCTGACCTTCATACCACACTCTCATAGTGATTAAAGATTTGGGCACAGAATTATGGGTATTTCTGTCTGTTCTGAGTCTTATCATCCCAGATTACCTTTACTGTAAGGTAACCAGTATTTATATTTCTAATATCCAATGACATAGTCATACAACATATTAGCTTTAATTTATTTATTTGAGAAAGAGTCTTGTTCTGTTGCCCAGGCTGGAGTGCAGTGGCGTGATCATGGTTTACTGCTGCCTTGATCTCCTGAGCCCAAGTCATCCTCCTGCCTCAGCTTCCCAAGTAGCTGGGACCACGGGCACATGCCACCGCACCCAGTTAATTTATTTTCATTTTTTTGTAAAGATGGGGTCTTCCTGTGTTGCCCAGGCTGTTCTTGAACTCCTGGGTTCAAGTGACCCTCCCTCCTTGGCCTCCCAAAGTGCTGAAATTACAGGCATGAGCCATCATGCCTGGCCCAACTTCTTAAAAGCACTAGTCTTCTTGAATTCTCTTTGTCTAGTCTGTTAGCTCCTTGCTGATTTTATCCTTCCTTGCCAGTTTGGATTTATGAGATCAGTTGTTTCAGCTACATTCTTACTAGCACTCATAATTCCTTCCACTCCATGACCTTAATACATTGCATCTCTTCTGCCAATCTCTGAATGTGAATCAACTCAACCATCTGCTTTTTCCAATCTGCTCTTGGACTGCCAAGAAAATTGCATAACTGTGCTTTCTACTTTATAGCATTAATTATGATTTAACCACAGCTAGTTGGTTTGATTACCCATTTCCTATAGTAGCTATGTCAAATATTCACTACTGTCCTCAAGCCACTACTTCATGCCATCATCCTCTCTCCAAGATAATCAAGTCCTATGTTTTACCGCAAAAGTAGATGGCACAATGTCTGAACTCCATCAGAGCTCTCACCGGAAACTCAGCCATCTTTCCTCCTACCTGAGAGGATACTCAAAGTTTTCTAATAACATCCCTCTATTTTTGCTTTTGATATGAGATTTTGCTCCATAAGTTATTGTGTCTCTTCTTTCTTCAATTTCACTATCTACTTCCTCTTGCTCTAAAAATATGCTAACATTTTTTGTATCTTAAAAAAAAATCCCCTTAATACTGCTGTCCTACAAAACTACTGTCTTCCATCTCCTTCCCTTCATCTATAACTTCCTGAAAGAATTTTCTACACTTTTCTATTTTTATATAAAAGTCCCATTCATTTCTCGAGATATTTGGCTTACATAATTCCAAGGGACCTGCACTGAATAATGTTCATAGTGACCTCCTAATTGTAAATCCTATTTTTTTTTTAAATAGTACTTTCTTACTCTAGTGGATTGTTCTAGGATTGGACATTGTTCACCACAAACCACTTGGATAGAAATTCTCCCTTCTCTTGGATTCTCTTCTAGTTTTGTTTTGTTTTGTTTCTAGGTTTCTTTCTAGGTTTTTCTTTACGTCATTCTCTTCTAGTTTTTCTCCTACCTCTTTTTCCACCCCTCTTCAGCCTCTCAATATTATCTTTCTTTTGTTGTTTGTTTTTATGTTTAAAATTTTTTTGTAGAGACAGGGTCTTGCTGTGTTGTCCAGGCTGGTCTCAAACTCCTGGCCTCAAATGATCTTCCTGCCTCACCCTCCCAAAGTGCTGGAATTACAGGCATGAACCACCATACCTGGCTGATGTTATCTCTTAATCTACCTCTTTGTTAAACATTTAGTTTCTTATTGTTTCTTAGTTGATATCTTTTCTACACACTCTTTCTGGGTAATGTCATCCATTTTGGTGACTTTTTTTTTTTTTTAAGGGTACAGTTCAGTAGTGGTAAGTATATGGACATTGTGAAACAGATCTCCAGAATTTTTCTTTTTTTTTTTTTTTTTTTATTATACTTTAAGTTTTAGGGTAAGAATTTTTCTTAGTACAGAACAAAATGAAAAGTCTCCCATGTCTACTTCTTTCTACACAGACACGGCAACCATCCGATTTCTCAATCTTTTCCCCACCTCTCCCCCCCCTCCACTCCACAAAACCGCCACTGTCATCATGGCCCGCTCTCAATGAGCTGTTGGGTACACCTCCCAGACGGGGTGGTGGCCGGGCAGAGGGGCTCCTCACTTCCCAGTAGGGACGGCCGGGCAGAGGCGCCCCTCGCCTCCCGGACGGGGCGGCTGGCCGGGCGGGGGGCTGACCCCCCACCTCCCTCCCGGACGGGGCGGCTGCCCGGGCGGCGGGCTGACCCCCCCACCTCCCTCCCGGATGGGGCGGCTGGCCGGGCAGAGGGGCTCCTCACTTCCCAGTAGGGGCAGCTGGGCAGAGGCGCCCCTCACCTCCCAGACAGGGCGGCTGGCCGGACGGGGGACTGACCCCCCGACCTCCCTCCCAGACGGGGCGGCTGGCCGGGCGGGGGGCTGAACCCCCCACCTTCCTCCCGGATGGGGCGGCTGGCCTGGCGGGGGCTGACCCCCACCTCCCTCCCGGACGGGGTGGCTGCCGGGCGGAGACGCTCCTCACTTCCCAGACAGGGTGGCTGCCGGGCGGAGGGGCTCCTCACTTCTCAGACGGGGCGGCTGCTGGGCAGAGGGGCTCCTTACTTCTCAGACGGGGCGGTTGCCAGGCAGAGGGTCTCCTCACTTCTCAGACGGGGCGGCTGGGCAGAGTTGCTCCTCACCTCCCAGATGGGGTTGCGGCTGGGCAGAGGTGCTCCCCACATCTCAGACGATGGGCGGCCGGGCAGAGACGCTCCTCACTTCCTAGATGGGATGGCGGCCGGGAAGAGGCGCTCCTCACTTCCTAGATGGGATGGCGGCGGGGCAGAGACGCTCCTCACTTTCCAGACTGGGCAGCCAGGCAGAGGGGCTGCTCACGTCCCAGACGATGGGCAGCCAGGCAGAGACACTCCTCACTTCCCAGACGGGGTGGCGGCCGGGCAGAGGCTGCACTCTCGGCACTTTGGGAGGCCAAGGCAGGCGGCTGGGAGGTGGAGGTTGTAGCGAGCCGAGATCACGCCACTGCACTCCAGCCTGGGCACCATTGAGCACTGAGTGAACCAGACTCCGTCTGCAATCCCGGCACCTCGGGAGGCCGAGGCTGGCAGATCACTCGCGGTTAGGAGCTGGAGACCAGCCCGGCCAACACAGCGAAACCCCGTTTCCACCAAAAAAATACGAAAACCAGTCAGGCGTGGTGGCGCACGCCTGCAATCGCAGGCACTCGGCAGGCTGAGGCAGGAGAATCAGGCAGGGAGGTTGCAGTGAGCCGAGATGGCAGCAGTACAGTCCAGCTTCGGCTTGGCATCAGAGGGAGACCGTGGAAAGAGAGGGAGAGGGAGACCGTGGGGAGAGGGAGACCGTAGGGAGAGGGAGAGGGAGAGGGGGAGGGGGAGGGGGCCAGAACTTTTCATCTTGCAAAACTGAAAACCCTATACCCCTTAAACAACAACAACAAAAACCCGTTTTCCCCTCCCTCCAGGCCCTGGTAACTATCATTCTACTTTCTATTTCTATAAATTTGACTACTTTAGATATCTCCTATAAGTGAAATTATACAGTGTTTGTCTTTTTGTGACTGGCTTATTTCACTTAGCATAATGTCCTCAAGTCTCATCCATGTTGTAATATGCAACAGGGTTTCCTTTTCAAGTCTGAATAATATTCCATTGTATGTGTATACCACATTTTGTTTATTCACTCTTTGATGGGCACTTGTGTTGCTTCTATGTCTTAGCTATTGTGAATAGTGCTGCAATGAACATGGGTATGCAAATATCTGCTTTCAATTCTTTTGTTTATATACCCAGAAGTGAAATTGCTGGATCATATAGTAGTTCTATTAGTATTTTGAGGAAGCACCATAGTTAACTTTGGTGACTTTAACTACCATATGTGCAGCTAACTTCCAAATCTATATCCCTTGCCTTAATCTGTCTCCTGAAATATACTGATATGAGGCCCAAAAGGAGGGAAATATGTTTTATCTTTGTATCTCTTGTTTTTGTATCTACTTGTATACTTGGTATACAAGTAGACTCTAAATAAATTCTTGTTGAAGAAACTATGCCTTTTTAATTCTGAGTGTGAGGGAGCTAAAGTCCAAATTTTTTTCCATTGATTATTGTGTAAATCACTGTTGTAAGCTTCTTAATGATGGTCACTGCGCAGTATACTTACCTGTTTGGTTATAATGCCTACCAGTGCTTTACACATACAAGGTAGCAAGTATCTCACTCATTAAATCTAGTAATAATTGCAAATATTTATCAAACTGAGTAGCAGTGGTTCAGTATTGAAATGCTTGCAAAATTTCTCTTTCCTGTTTCTAAATTAAAACATAAGGGGAAAATATGGGAATTAATATGGTATCATGATAATCCTATACATATTTTAGGATAAACACAAATCTGTGGGCCATATAGTGATGAACACTTTCTGGTCATAAGACCTCAGTAAAATAGAACATGCCGATAAAATTTTCAGAAAAGTCTAGGAAATAGCAAATTTATATCACCACTGGGGGGAAAGGGATTTTTTAAAAAAAAACCTTGTTGAAGCATATGGGCACTCACTATTATTTATGAGATGATAGCAAGTGTACTGAGTAACATTTTAAACAATATTCTGAAAACATCTTGAAACAAAAATTCAGCGCAGATTTATAAAGCAAAAAAAAGCAATCTAACACCAACGTGATTGAGGACACAAAATTTAATCATTGCTTAAAGATTATCAGATATTTCTCTTTCACTATTGAACGGAGATTTAATACTTGCAGTAACTTCTGCCAACTCAGAACCCTGAGAAAATAAGTCACTTTCTTTACAGAAATAAGAAGAAAAAAAAGGATATTACCAACAATGGAAGAGGAATGCAGAGTGGCAACAGCTCCAAGTGGACCTGGCAGACTATGAACACTAGAATCACCAAGGAAACATGGAGCTATGAAATGGCAAAAGGCTGTGTGAAAACCCTGACGCTTTTTGGTTCAGCCTTTAAAAACCAAATGAAAACTCAAGAGATACAAGAATGTGGTTATTTTGATGAACAACTCACAAACTAGTTGAATTAAAAGAAACTGGTTCAAATGAACACAAACCTAAACATTTTTTCAGTTCGTCTAATTAAAGTCTAACCAATTCCTTCTAATTTAAAAGATCCAGTTTTGGATATATCCAAGACTAAAACACAATCTTATCAAAGTCTATTTAATATGGTGTAAATCTCACGGGAACTGTGACTATCTTCTCTCCCAGTCTAAACCTTGTGGCTTTTCTGATTGCTTTTTATAATGATTGATGTTCATATCTCTCGCTTATTTTATAAGAAATAAAGAAAACAAAGATCATAAACTCACACACAGAAAAATAAAAGACACAGTTTTTTGTTTGTTTTGTTGAGACAAGGTCTCACTGTATTGCCCAGGCTGGTCTTGAACTCCTGGGCTCAAGTGATCCTCCTGCCTTGGCCTCCCAAAGTGCTGGGATTACCACACCTGGCCAGCAATACATTTTTAAATGAAGATTCACTACCCTAGCCAAAAGTGTCTTCTCCTTCTGCAGCTATTTTATTAATAAAACTCACTGATAGCATTGTCCAGACATCAGAGACCACATACTACCTAGTGCATTTTTGTGGCTAATGTGTCCCCTACTAGATGGTAAATTCCTTGGGGCTAGTGATCATATCTTAAACATTTCACACAGCCCCTAGCTACACTGCTGACCTGCAGATTATAAAGACCACAACATTTAAGTGGAAAGCAAGTATCCATTATGCAGTATTAAGCAAATGTTAGATTTTCAACATATGGGTTTTAAAAGGCAAATATGTATATAATGAAAAGAAGTAAAAGCCCTGTGGCTGGGTGGGGTGGCTCACGCTTGTAATCCCAAAACTTTCGAGGCTGAGGTGGGTGGATCACTTGAGGTCCGGAGTTCGAGACCAGCCTGGTCAACATGGTGAAACCCCATGTCTCAGGATGGGGAACATCACACACCGGGGCCTGTCGTGGGGTGTGGGGAGGGGAAGGGATAGCATTAGAAGATATACCTAATGTAAATGACAAGTTAACGGGTGCAGCACACCAACATGGCACATGTATACATATGTAACAAACCTGCACGTTGTGCACATGTACCCTAGAACTTAAAGTATAGCAATAAAAAAAAAAAAAAAAGAAACCCCGTGTCTACAAAAAAATACAAAATTAGGCCAGGCGCAGTGGCTCATACCTGTAATCCCAGCACTTTGGGAGGCCAAGGTGGGCAGATCACGAGGTCAGGAGTTTGAGACCAGCCTGTCCAAAATGGTGAAACCCCATCTCTACTAAAAAAATAAAAAATTAGCCAGGCGTGGTGGCCAGTGCCTGCAATCCCAGCTACTCAGGAGGCTAAGGCAGGAGAATCACTTGAACGTGGGAGGCGGAGGTTGCAGTGAGCCAAGATCACACCATTGCACTCCAGCCTAGGCAACAGAGCAAGACTCTGTCTCAAAAAAACAAAAAGCAAAAAAAACCAAATTAGCCAGGCATGGTGGTAGTCACCTGTAATCCCAGCTACTTGGGAGGCTTAGGCAGGAGAATCGCTTGAAGCCCAGAGGCAGAGGTTGCAGTAAGCCAAGATCGCGCCAAGATCGCACCAAGATCACTCCAGCCTGGGCGACAGTGAAATGTGTCTCAAAAGAAAAAAAAAAAAAAGAAATAAAAGCCCCGAGGACTTTCAGAATGTAATCAGAAGAAAAAATAATGCAGGCATTGAGCAAACTAAACTTAAAAGATGGTCATGTTTGCTCATAGACATACCTTGGGGCTGCTAAGGAAATCAGAAGAATGCCAGGAATAGAAAGTGTGCCTTAGCCTATCTACATTAGTACAAGGTTGAAGTAAACAGTCTCTCAAAGTTGGAGCCAAGGGTTACATTTTCGCTAGTATGATCAGACATTTTCTAAAAAAACTCCATACCTTCCCTTAAAACAAAAAAAAAGCCCACAATTACTTTCCCAACCTCAAATGTTTATGGCAATAATAGCTAATGGTTCTCAGATACTGTTATACAGGGTGTGGTGCATTCTCCACATAAATTCTTCTTTTCACATTCAGATAAAAGGCTGATGTAATAGGTCAAATTTTATTAAGCTTCTTAAGAGAAAAATGCTGACTAACCCAGTGTGAAGAATTCATTCACATGGAAAAGTCCAGTAAAAAGAAGTAGGGTCATATTTATCTTAAAGTTGGCTATTTGTGATGTATCCCACATAACTGCTTTATTTTGTGATTAAATATAGAAGGGTTTTAATAAATCTTGTTTCATCAAAATTCATATTTGTAAACAAAATAAAGATATTTTTGCATCATAGAAAGTTTGCTTTATGAAAAGACTCAAATATAGGTTTGTTTGTTTGTTTTTTTTTCTTATTTTGAGACAGAGTATTGCTCTGTCGCCCAGGCTGGAGTGCGGTAGTGCCATCTCGGCTCACTGCAACCTCTGCCTCCCAGGTTCAAGTGACTGTCCTGCCTCAGCCTCCCGAGTAGCTGGGATTATAGACACCTGCCACCAAGCCCGGCTAATTTTTGTATTTTTAGTAGAGACAGGGCTTAGACAGTATAATGGTAGGCAGATATAATACAGTGTAAACACACTGTACTATGTACACTAACACACTATACTATGTCTTCCTACCATTATACTGTCTCTGCCCAATATTACTTATTCTCTTGCAGTCGACATATTAATATAAAAAATTAAAGCCAAAGTACTTAATCTTATAAAATACATCACAAGCATCAGGAGTGGCACAATCATAACGCCAAAGGTGGTAGAGGCAGAAGAAATTACTATGGGGTCAGAAGAGACTGAGTAATGATGGATTTAGAGTACAGAAAAGGGCAAGTTAGGTAAGGCCATGATCTAAGAAAAATATAAATAGGGCTATACTGGAAAAATACAAATAGAGGTATACTGGGAGTAGCGGGAGAAAAGGTGAGACAGTTGAGCTGGAGCCAGATTATAAACCGTGATACCAGCCTTAGAAGCCTGGGCTTCATTCTGGTTAACAGTGGTTCTGGGATTCCAGTGTACACAAGAATCATCTTGGGGAGAGACTGGTGACTAGACAGATTTTAACTCCTGAGATTCTAATTTAGTATGTTTGGGATGGTCCCAGAAAACTGCATCTTAACAGGTGATTCCAGTACAAAGACACACTTTGAGACACTCCACCATAGGACAAATGATTAAGAAACTCTACTATTAACTATTGCAAATATGCCAATTCCCCATATGCTGTGAAAATATTCAATTGCATCCAATTTTTCTTTGTTATTTGGCACTGACTTTGTCACTGTTTACATCTTGAGTGAATTTGTTTAACAATGCGCTTTTCGGGGTAATATCCACGATCTACAAAGAACTTAAACAAATTTACAAGAAAAAATCAAACAACCCCATCAAAAAGTAGGTGAAAAAAGTAGGATATGAACAGACATTTCTCAAAAGAAGACATTTATGCAGCCAACAGACACATGAAAAAATGCTCATCATCACTGGCCATCAGAGAAATGCAAATCAAAACCACAATGAGATACCATCTCACACCAGTTAGAATGGCAATCATTAAAAAGTCAGGAAACAACAGGTGCTGGAGAGGATGTGGAGAAATAGGAACACTTTTACACTGTTGGTGGGACTGTAAACTAGTTCAACCATTGTGGAAGACAGTGTGGCAATTCCTCAAGGATCTAGAACTAGAAATACCATTTGACCCAGCCATCCCATTACTGGGTATATACCCAAAGGATTATAAATCATGTTGCTATAAAGACACATGCACACGTATGTTTATTGCAGCACTATTCACAATAGCAAAGACTTGGAACCAACCCAAATGTCCAACAATGATAGACTGGATTAAGAAAATGTGGCACATATACACCATGGAATACTATGCAGCCATAAAAAAGGATGAGTTCGTGTCCTTTGTAGGGACATGGATGAAGCTGGAAACCATCATTCTCAGCAAACTATTGCAAGGACAGAAAACCAAACACCGCATGTTCTCACTCATAGGTGGGAACTGAACAATGAGAACACTTGGACACAGGGTGGGGAACATCACACACCAGGGGCTGTCGTGGGGTCGGGGGAGGGGTGAGGGATAGCATTAGGAGATATACCTAATGTAAATGACGAGTTAATGGGTGCAGCACACCAATATGGCACATGTATACATATGTAACAAACCTGCATCTTGTGCACATGTACCCTAGAACTTAAAGTGTAATAAAAAAATTACAAACAAACAAAAAAAACCAATGCGCTTTTCTGGTTCTCTGACTCTCTGAAATCTCTATCGTCTCCTCTGGCCTCTCATACTTTGCCGTTTCTTTACATGTTATTTCTTAAGATTCTGATTTTAGTCCTCTACAGATCTCCTTGAGTGATTTCATTCACTCCTAAGGCGTATAGAGAATGCTGATGCCAACCTCAGAAGATTAGACTTTGTCCTGTCGATAAAGAGGAGTTATAGAAGTTTCTAAGAAGTAGAATATCATAGAGAAAGACATGTTCTGGGAATATAACCTTGGAGATGGTCTGCAGAAAAGGAATGGGGATAGGAGAAACAGGAGGTAGGGAGAATAGTTATGAAACTATCAAAATAACTGTTTAAAGTCATCACCAAGGGATGACTTCAAAACGAAAATGTTACTTTTCTAGTAGTTCTTCCCTTTAAGAAACTAGTCTTATTTCAATAAATTAATAGGCAAGACCCTTCTAAGGACATTGGAATTTCATTATCTTTTTTTTTTGCTATACATTTAACTATAATATAACAAATTAGGTCCTCTGCAATGTTAATCACAGATAGTAAAAATCTGACATGACATTGTTCTATTATAACATCAATGTGAGTTCTTTTCTAAAACAAGTGGCATGAAGGATTTTATAGTATTGATATTGATATCTGATAAATTTAGTTCTTTCATTATGGAGTCAAGAAATCATCACTAGTACAGATACTATTCAGAAATAAATGGTATACCTTCTTTTATGACTTGAACTCATGAAAGAATGGTAAAAGTATGTTTGATTTTACTTTATATGAAAGTACTCAAGCTATTACAACCATATCCATTGTGTCTTATACACAATGGAAAATATAGTATTTTCTATAATTGAATCCAGAGGTTTCTAAATTGGCAGATAAAATAGTACCTGTATTTAGATATTCTATTTGAAACATGCTTTAATCTTAGGAAAACAGAGGCAGAAAGCACCTAAATTAGGTGCAATCCTGTCTGCTCCTAATTTAGAAAATAAACCAATTTATTGGCTATTCTTTCTCAAGTGATCCACATTGAGAGATGCTAGGTCTTTATCAAGATCAATTTCAAAATTTTTTTTTTTTTTGAGACGGAGTCTTGCTCTCTCGCCCAGGCTGGAGTGCAGTGGCGCGATCTCAGCTCACTGCAACCTCTGCCTCCTGGGTTCAAGTGATTCTCCTGCCTCAGTCTCCCAGGTAGCTGGGACTACAGGCGCCCGCCACCACACCTGGCTAATTTTTTGTATTTTTAGTAGAGATGGGGTTTCACCATGTTAGCCAGGATGGTCTCGATCTCCTGACCTCGTGATCCACCCGCCTCGGCCTCCCGAAGTGCTGGGATTACAGGCGTGAGCCACCGCGCCCAGGCCAATTTCAATTTTTAACAACTGTCACTACAAGAAAGTCAAGAAAATAGAAATTAGTCCTCCCTCTTGTGTGACCTTGGGGAAATTCCTTAAGCATTGTCTTACTTTCCACAGCGCTATCCTCATCATACATATACTGTGAAGATAAAATATCTGTTGAAGATTCTTTGAGCACCTTGGGCCAGAAGAGCTACAGAAAGCCAAGGTATAGTTATTTTCATATCCACGACTTCATTTGCCTTTTCCCTTGTTGTAGCCTCTCTGGAAATTAAGCAAAGATGCCTATCACCTTCTGCTTAATAACCCTTCATGTACTTGAAATTGTTATTCTCCCCAGGTACCTCAAGCACATTTTTTAAAGAGGATTGCCTAAACTCTAAAACAGCAATCAAGGGCTATGAGTCAGCATTTCACCTAGACATAAAATCAAAATGGTTTAAAATAGGTAACATTATCTTTTTGAAATATGTACATACCTCTTTGGAGAAACTTTGAGACAACTGGAGTTTGCAAGTTTATGAATAGTTTATTACATTTCAGTAAGTGTATTGTGAATCAATAAAGCAAAAGTTAAGGACAATGAGCTCATTACCAAGCCAGTTATTGATTCTCTGGTTCCAAAATAGAACAGTACAGGAAGGGTATAGAGAAAATAGGATTTTTCATGATAAAAATTTTAAGCATCTTAGGAACACAGACCTAAAGAAACTATAAGACACAACGGAAATTTCAGCAGCTACTTAGGATGTTTATTTATTTACCTTTTTTTGCCAATTAGAATTAGTTATTTGGTTTTTACTCTTAAAAAAAAAAAGTATTTTCAACTCAAGTCAGAGGAGTTTGCCAAAACTGAATATTACCTCTTACTGACTTAATTATTCTTTCAATTTCTTGTATATCTTCCTCTCTTGCCTTTGAAAAGTTTACCTTACTAGCTGTCTATCTTATATCACTGTCGTAGCTCAGACTGCCCTAACAAAATACCATAGGACTGGGTGGTTTAAACACCAGAAATTTATTTCCTCACAGTTCTGGTGATTAGAAGTTCAAACTCAAGGTGTCAGCATGGTCTGTTTCTGGAGACTACTTTCTTTCTGGCTTATATGTTCCAGGATGGGATGGTTGGAGGAGCCCCATCTCCAGATACCATCACATTAATAAGGGCTTCAACATATAAATTTTGGGGACGGGAACATCTAGTCCAAAACATTCACTAACAGAAAAATTGACACTGGCTCCATATCATCAAGCAGATAATATGGAAATGAACAAGTCAATTTGTTTTCAAACTATTCTTATGGGAAGCTTCCCTTTTTCTCCCTTTTACAGCAATCTAATTCAATGGAAAAGGAACTTCTTAAACAATTTATGAACTAACACTAATTTCATGAACCAGTTCTTTAAAAAGCGAAGACAAAAAGTGAGACACATGATTTTGGTAAAAACTGAAAAATAGACCATTAACCCATTTATATAGTATGTTTAATAAAAACAACTTTTAAACCCTTATACTTTGTTCTTATATCAAGTAAAGATTCTTAAAGTAATGTAAAACATTTGAATGTCCCTGGAAAGTAATATAACACACAATAACCCTTCTATATTACATATATATCTATATGTATATGTATATGTTAGAGACTGGGTCTTGCTATTCTGCCCAGGCTGGTCGCAAACTCCTGGGCTCAAGTGATCCTCCCACCTCGGCCTCCCAAAGTGCTGGGATTATAGGCATGAGCCACCACATTTGGCCCTATATTACATTTTCATGCATATTATTAAAAGAAATGGTGACTTACATATGGAAATACAGAAAACTGAAATAGTAAACAAAATTAACAAAGTTATAATTGGGTTGTGCTGAAGTTTACCTAATTTTAATACAAATAGTTATTTTTATTACATGCTACACAAATTTGATGGTATAAGAAATGTGTTTTTCTTGTTTGCATGAATTTCTTCATTGCAAAATACTTAAAATGTACATAATTTTTAAAAAACAACTAAGAGGCCGGGCACGGTGGCTCATGCCTGTAGTCCCAGCACTTTGGGAGGCCGAGGTGGGCGGATCACGAGGTCAGGAGATCGAGACCATCCTGGCCAGCACGGTGAAACCCCATCTCTACTAAAAATACAAAAAAATTAGCTGGGCATGGTGGCATGCGCCTGTAATCCCAGCTACTTGGGAGGCTGAGGCAGGAGAATCGCTTGAATCCAGGAGGTGGAGGTTGCAGTGAGCCGAGATTGCGCCACTGCACTCCAGTCTGGCGACAGAGCAAGACTCCATCTCAAAAAAAAAACAAAAACAAAAAAACAATTAAGAACATTTCCTTAATGACTATGAAGTGAATAGACAGCATATTTCAAATTTTCAAGTAGAAGGGTAGAGGAATGTAGGACAAAAGGTGACTGAGATCCAGAGTTTAGGTGACTTGGCAAAGTCATCCAATTAGCAGGTGCAGAGTTATATATGAAACCCAAGATTTTCCTGTCTAAAAATGCTGAAGATTAGTATATTCAAGATTAAGGGGAAGAAAATCTAATTATACTTTAGATCATTTCATACCAGAAAACAGCTATAGAAACTAGTTTTTCATTTTCAAAACTCAATTAAGTGTGTGAATGGTCCGTTGGTGTCCAGCTTTAACACCTGCCTGTTCCCATAAGTGCCATGTTCCACTACAACCCTAGCTTCAGCACACTTGCTATTAGCAGCTACTTCTTTTTCACATAGAGTCACAAATTGAGAGTAAAGTTCAAACCCTTCTTCTTTTCCAGAGTTAGAGTGATATTGCATGTTTCTTCCTTTTAGTCTTCCTCCAAGGGTAGCTTGAGGGATAATAAGAATGTTGCCAGGTAGATCCAATATAGAGACATGCTTGCCATTTTCTGTCTCACTTAATTTCACATTTAACAGTGTATTAACTGGGTGAGGAAGAAAGGCAAAACATTTTAAAGTGAAAAACAAACATGAAGAAAACCATCAAGTTTTTAGTCAGCAAATCTCATGTTTAAAATTCAGTTTGTCAGCTCATGCCTCTAACCCAAAGTCTCTATTTAGATTTAAAATACTGCTTCACTAAGCTAAATAATCTAAGCATGAAAAATAAGGCAATTTTCATGCAGAAAATGGCATGATATTTTAAATCTGAATTGGCAGTTAAGATAACCTAACAATAAGTTCATCCAGAAAGGTCTAAAGAATTAACTGTACACTGGAACCTCAAATATTGTTCCCCTGGGGGAATACATGAGAAGATTTTACCTTCCTGTTCTTTTTATTTAGTAAGTAAATCCCACTGGAAAAATATGAGGATAACTCCTCCTCACACCAAATTCTGCTTGCTTGCTTGCTTGCTTTATTTATTTATGTATTTATTTAGAGACAGAGTCTCACTCTGTCGCCCAGGCTGGAGTGCAATGGCGTGATCTCTGCTCACTGCAACCTCTGCCTCCTGGGTTCAAGCGATTCTCCTGCCTCAGCCTCCCAAGTAGCTGGGACTACAGGTGCGTGCCACCACACCCGGCTAATTTTTTGTATTTTTAGTAGAGATGGGGTTTCACCATGCTAGCCAGGGTGGTCTCGATCTCCTGACCTCGTGATCCACTCGCCTTGGCCTCCCAAAGCGTTGGGATTACAGGCGTGAGCCACCACGCCCAGCTAAATTCTTCTTTATAATGGAATATCAAATAACAATTTTAGCGCAGTTATTATTTTAAACTTAGTTGCCAAGAGTTTTAAGCAGAGACAAAGGTTCCTGTTTCAATCCCAATATAAACCAGCTAATTTTGTTGTTTAATAACCTTAAAGGCAATATGAACATGGACTAATCATTGTATAAATATTACTCATGAGAGAAGGGTAAAGGTGAAAGCAAGAATCATCAGAAATTCATTGTTACAACTGAAAAAGTAAATAAAAAGATATAAAGCTATGGCATTATCTTCATACACATATACGAAAACGTGATATTATTTTTGTAGCATTCGTGAGATTTCCTATAGCTAATAAGAAGTGTCGAAACCACCATAAATATCCATATATAGCTAAAAGCCTAAACTTAGAAAGCCTTTATACCTCAACATTAACCATTTTTGAAACAATAAGCAAAAGAAGTGTCTAATATAAATAGACCTAGGGTCTCCCTACCTCTATAAAGGTATACATGACTTCTGTTTGCAAAGAATAGTCCTGAGAGGGCAAATGGTAGAAGGAACTACATAAACTTCAAGACACCTGCCCTCAAATTAGGCATTAAAAGGCATGCTTTCTGTTGGGGTAGCTAACGGTTTTAATTATTAGAGGGTCTGTAGTAAGTATTCATATGGTTACCCCTCTCTACAAATCATGGAATTAATCTGGTAAAAACCTGCCAAGGCGAACACCCAAATGAATTCCTAAGCTAGGCATTAAGCATCATCAATTTTCACTTAACTAACATTTATTTTTAAATACCTCTAGTTTTCTCTATTACAAATAGGACTTTGCTGTTTAGCCAGCAGTCTTTATTGACTGCTTGTAAGGAAACTTTCCAGGGCACTTCATTCCACTCGAAATCACTATCTAGCTATCTAGGCCTCCAGCTAGTGACAGAGTAAATAGGCAATTTTGGAATAACAGGCCTGAGAGGTAATGCTACAATTTATTATGTTTCCACATACCTCCCTCTACTGGCTATAATTGAGATTTCAGTTAATGCTGTTGGCATACAAATATCAGTATGTAGATAAATACAATGTAGAAACAGTAAGTAGAATTAAAACGAGACAATGAATTAATGGCATGCTGGAAACTCAAATATCCTAAAACAGGTTATCAATCAAGTATCTCTAATGATGTATAGGAGATGTTAAGCTTTGACAGGTTTCTTGCCCTCTCTGTCCAATTATACTGAAGGTGAATTGAGGAAGATTCTACACATCTCTATGTTAACCATGCTATTTCAGATTTTGCAGATTTAACTGGTTATTATATTCTCAAGTGATATATGCTTTGATTGGAAATATCTGAATCTATGTAATAAATATGAGGTGAGGCTTAAGAGAATCCCACCACATTGACTTACTTAGCCTGCTGGAATAGAGGGAAGTACAAGCTAATACTATTAATAATAGATGGACTTACTTTGCTTACAACTCAAACGAGTAGAATATGATTCTTAGAGTCATATATTTCTTTACTGAAAATCATGATATAAAAAATCATGTGTTAGATAGTGTCAGACCATCCACAAGAGTCAGGGTGGACCTCCTCAGTGTTTTAAATTCACTACAATCTTATGCATGTATTTAAAGTGAACTCACAAAGACAGATATGGAAGCACACAGGATTTAATCACTATAAAATAACATGTGGTTTGGATATGATAGGCATATTTCATCCTATTATGATGAAGAACCATTTGAGAATTCATAAGACAACTTTATGAAGTCAATCTTAAGTCAGAATGACAAATACTTTCTTCCTGTTTTTGAAGATTTCTACATTTTTTATGGACCAAAAAAGATTTAATCCAAGGCAAAATATTAATTTAGGAAAGTGGACAGAATGTGTAACACTCCAGCATTAGGATCTGACAATTATTCTCTGTAATAGGAGTCCTCATTACATTATGTTCTTTTTTTTTTTTTTTTTTGAGATGGAGTCTCCCTCTGTCGCCCAGGCTGGAGTGCAGTGGCGTGATCTCGGCTCACTGCAAACTCCACCTCCTGGGCTCATGCCATTCTCCTGCCTCAGCCTCCCGAGTAGCTGGGACTACAGGCGCCCACCACCACACCCGGCTAATTTTTTTGTATTTTTAGTAGAGACGGGGTTTCACCATGTTAGCCAGGATGGTCTTGATCTCCTGACCTCGTGATCTGCCCACCTAGGCCTCTCAAAGTGCTGGGATTACAGGCGTGAGCCACCGCGCCTGGCCTCTCTCTCTCTCTCTTTTTTTTTCTTTCTTCTTCAGACCAGAACATTATGCTCTTAACCCATCAGAGGTTCCTTATTATCTTCTGGATTCAAATTTCAAACTATTGCAGTTACTGGCTTTCCATTCTCACCTAGCATAGTCTCTTAAGTCTGGTTTTCATCTTTTGACAAAGTTGTCAGACATGTTTGATATGTCAGTATAAAATTCCCTCTAGGAGTTTTAGCTTTTTGTCTAAGCTCTTCCTCATTGGCCTATTTGCCCTTGAAGCTCTTCTAGGTTTTCTGTAAGCTTCAACTGCCCATTTGTATAATTAATATTTCTTATTAATCCAACTTATTAATGGATGCTGTCCTTTACTAATGAGGAGAATACAACCTGTTCCCAACCTTAAGGATAGCTTTTCTTTCAAGTTTGTATGTATGTTTGTTTGTGGATATAATCTTTATATCCAAATACTGTCCTGAGAGGGTATGATTTGATTTGGTATATCTGAACCTATGTAATTATCACATGAATTGCTATAGCTATGTGAGATAGTGTATATATACATATCACTATACAGTGCTATAGCCCGTCCAGGAAACCAGAAAGCTGCAGGTAGGTAAATTACTATTCAGAGATCCCTAACATTGACTCTGTTTTCCATGTCCTTGGAGGAGGTGTGGCTGTGATGACACTGAATTCAGCTCAAGACCCAGGAGAACCTTACATCTATTCTTATTTCCACAAGGAAGTGCACACATGGCTAATGCAAATTCTTCCATAATAATGATATAAACTTGAGTTGTCCAGGTTTGATGAGACCCACATCTTGTATATACAGTGTCATCTACTGCCTCTGTTAGGGGCTCTAGGGGATAAAGGAAACTATATTAAGAAATGCAGCATCTGTTTCTCCCTGTGTGACCACCCTACTTCCAAGAAGTTTCTGTATCCTTGGCTGAAGTGCACTGTGTGTATGTGTATGTGTGTACACTCTTCTACATCAATCTGTAAGTCACTGAAATGCTGCAGATGTTTTAAAAAAATTCCACCATACTTGCTTACTTTAAACTTTGAAACAGGCAAATAGCTAAGGCCAATAACACTAGATAGAATTAAGTAATTAATAATTTAACAGCACAATTTAACATTGTGCTTCTTAGGATGGGCAGGGATTGGTTAATGGATACAAAATTATAGCTAGATAGGAGGAATGAGTTCTGGTGTTCTGGAGCACTGTAGGATGAATATGGCTAACTATAATTTATTGTATACTGTCAAAAGTCTAGAAGAAAGGATTTTAAATGTTCACAACACAAATAATAAATTTTTGAGATAATGCATATCTGGTTTGATTGTTATACATTGTATACAGTATTAAAATATCACTATGTATCCCATGAATATGTAAAATTATTATTTATTATTTTAAAAATAAAAGGGGAGGAAAGAGATTGTGCTTTTTGTCCCTTCGGGTTCATTTGTCTATTACTATTCTTTCTCACTCTCTTTTTTTTTTTTTTTTTGAGACAGGGTCTCACTCTGTTGCCCAGGCTGGAGTGCAGTGGCACCATCTCGGCTCACTGCAGCCTCGACCTCCTGGCCTCAAGTAATCTTCCAGCCTCAGCCTCCTAAGTAGCTAGGACCATAGGCACAGGTCACCGTACCCAGCTACTTTTGTTTATTTTTTGTAGAGAAGAGGTCTTACTATGTTGCCCAGGCTGGCTTCTAACTCCTGGGTTCAAGTAATCCACTTGCCTTGGCCTCCCAACGTGTTGGGATTACAGGTGTGAGCACCATGCTTGGCCTCTCACTCTTAAAAAAGAAACAAAGTCAAACACATACCCATTTTGGGAAGAAGTTCTTTATCAGCTCCCTTGAAAAAGCACACGTAGATCACCAGTCCTCTTTGGACCTATGAGAAATCACCACAGTAAACTCAGATTACAACAATATCTGTAAAGATACAGGGCTAAATGGGTACAGTTTCACAACTATTAATATTATAGACATAGAGGTTAAAAGCACAGAAAATGAACTTTACAAAAGATTTCTCATGTGAGAAAACAAAATATTTTTCAATTTTCAATCATCTCAGTTATTTCTTTCAAATTTAAGTTTAAAATATACCCAAGAGCAGTGAAGACAAGTTATACCTTCAAACATTTATTTCTAATCAAAATCATTAAGAGGATCAACCAGCCTTTTCTCAAGTAAGGGTGACAGACTTAGAAACATTTCGTTTGCTGGGCCCCATTTATTCAATGCCAAGTGAATTCACATTATACCAGATACAGCTGATGGATAAACAACATGTGACTGATATCTTTTGACATCATCTCTCTTTATTTCCCCTAATCCATTTACTTACAAATAATGAAAATAAGGGTCTGATTCTATTTCTATAAGCTCCAGGAAACTGTCCAATTATTTGTTGTTGTTGTTGTTATTGTTGTTAATGCTTTATATAAACATGATTAGGACTTGAAAACTGCATTTGTGATAGTAAATTCTACATTAAAAGGTTGGTTGTTATCAGGAATATAGGCTTATTTATTTTACATAATGGCTTGGATATTTCTTAGATCTTGTAGGACAGAGACTATACAGAAAAGAGACATTTGAATAGTGACTTTGATTCTGCTTCTGAGTGAATCATTAGATTTTTTTGATTCTGTAAATTAATCTTGACTCCAGGAGCTATTAGGAAGATTAAATGAGTTAACATTTGTAAAGTACTTAAACACAGTGCCTGGTTCATAGTAAGTGCTATATTAGTGTTTATTAAATGAGTATGTAAAAATAAATTTAAGGGCAGAGGCACAATTTATTTCACATTTTAACTTCCAAAGCACTTTACAGGCTGTTTTGTACACGATAGGGATTCAGTTTATCTGTTGATTGCATTAACATTCAACTATATGTTCCAGGCTCTATGCGTTATCCAAAGAATTTTCTAGATAAATGTAAATGCAGCTCTGCACTCACACGTGATTTACCTGGAAAAGAAGTGAGTTTTAAAAAGTACAATCGTGCTACTGAAACAATAGGCAAGGGCCTCCAATGCATACCCACGAGAAGCTGGCAAGTTATTATAGGTATTTGCACTACTGTCACAGGCCTCTCCACTAGTATTGTTTTCATCATGAATCGAAATCTTAAGCATATTTATATTTGGACACATGCAATGTCAGAAATAAATACCTAATCATTTGCAGAACGATACCTGTTCTTTCCACTAACATTATCTCCTCATTAAGGTCTTTGCCTTTCATTTATTCCATAATAGATGTTAAGCTGTGACTTCAAGTCAAAAATCACTTTCCTTATAACTTCTTTGGTATAAAACATTTCAAATATATAGAAAAATACAGATAATTCTCACTGTAGCTTTAAAAAGTTCACTTACCAGGAACAAAAACATTAGTCTGTGACAGCAAAGTTCTAAATGAATGAAACTAAGAACAAGCAAAGAAAGTAACCTTCAAATCTTGACAATTAAAATGCTGTTTCTAAAAAAACAAGAACTTTTAATAATAGAACAGGGTAGAGAATATGTAAGAAGAAAGAATTTACATTTTCTCACCATCTAAATTACTTGTCAGCTCTTTAAACTAATTTAGTTATGTGTGTAGGAGTGAAAGGGAAAGCCTTTAAAATAGTTTTTAAGTTTATAAACACAAACTGATAGTTTGGATGCCAGCAATAAAATACATGTGATTTTGCATAAGGAGATGTAGCCTGAACAACATAAAAAAGATAAATAAGCATGGAAGGAAACTAAATGACTGATAGTTTGCAATTATAGTGTCTGGATGCAACTATAAAAATGGATAATTCGGCCGGGCACGGTGGCTCAAGCCTGCAATACCAGCACTTTGGGAGGCCGAGGTGGGCGGACCACAAGGTCAGGAGATCGAGACCATCCTGGCTAGCACGGTGAAACTCCGTCTCTAGTAAAAATACAACAAATTAGCCAGGCGTGGTGGTGGGCGCCTGTGGTCCCAGCTGCTTGGGAGGCTGAGGCAGGAGAATGGCGTGAACCCGGGAGGCGGAGGTTGCAGTGAGCCGAGATTGCGCCATTGCACTCCAGCCTGGGTGACAGAGTGAGACTCTGTCTCAAAAAAAAAAAAAAAAAAAGGATAATTATTTTATTTATTATTTATTTTTGAGATGAGGTTTCACTCTGTGGCTCAGGCTGGAGTGCAGTGGCGTGATCTTGGCTCACTACAACCTCTGCCTCCCGGATTCAAGAGATTCTCCTGCCTCAGCCTCCCGAGTAGCTGGGATTACAGGTGCCCGCCACCAAGCCCGGCTAATTTTTGTATTTTTAGTAGAGACGGGATTTCAACATGTTGGCCAGGCTGGTCTCAAACTCCTGACCTCAAGTGATCCGCCGGCCTTGGCCTCCCAAAGTGCTGGGATTACCGCGCCTGGCAGGTTAATTCTTTAGATAGGATGGCAAAATAAAATAATAAAATTTCAAATAAGGAAATCAAGACCTCACAAAAAATCATGACAAAAATAAGAAATAAGAAAAGTGAATTTCTGGGAAAGGAGAGAGATAAGAATACAGGAATTTCTATGCTTATATTTCCAAATTAGCACAGGGCAACAGATTCTGATTTTAGAATAATCACCCACACATCATATAGTTCACGGGTACTATTTACAATAAGTAGGCGGGGTGCGGTGGCTCAGGCTTGTAATCCCAGCAGTTTGGGAGGCTGAGGCAGGTGGATCACCTGAGGTCAGGAGTTCCAGACAAGCCTGGCCAAAATGGCGAAACCCCGTCTCTGCTAAAAATACAAGTTAGCGTGGTAGCTTGCGCCTGTTGTCCCAGCTACTCGGGAGGCTGAGGAAGGAAAATTGCTTGAACCCGGGAGGCGGAGGTTGCAGTGAGCCGAGATCGTGCCACTGCACTCCAGCCTGGGCGACAGATCGAGAATTCATCTCAAAAAATAAAATAAAATATAAATAAATAAAATATAAAAAATAAAATAAATGTAAAATAATAACTAAAATTGTTTTAAGTAATGCTAGATCTGGGACCGAATTCAGCAGAAAAGGCGAGCGAATGAGATTTTGCTACACTGAAGTTTCTGAGTATCTACAAAAGTCTTAATTATGAACTAATTTTTTTCTTACATTTCAACGTACTCCAAAAATACGTCAGAGGCCTTAAAGAAAATTTTATTTGTTTTTGTATGCAGTGGGGGCAGGCGGTCTTAAAAAGTAAAGTATGTATGAAAGTAGAAGGAACTCATAGTGACATAAATGTTTTAAATTCTTTGGAGAAATGTGTTTGATAAGGCAACATTGTTATAAAAGTAGAGGTCTTTGTTTCTCAGTTGGAAATTGGTCAAAACTTTTAAAAGGCTTCTTGAAATAGAATTGTTTCTTAGGAAATCTCATTTCTATGCTAAGACCAAGTCAACATAGGGGGGAATTCGACGCGATCTGAGGCGTAAGTCAAAGCAGATCATGAACTCTTGCAGCAAACCTGACCTACAAGCTTGCCCCCGACCAGCATAGACCACGAGCTGCAAGGGGTCTGAGACAGTAAGGCCTGAAGTTCACCGAACTCAGTTTCAAATACCTGTGGTCCCCCCAAGAAGGGAGACACGCTCTTCCTCTCGGGTGCTACAACTGGCGCTGGGGAACGGTGATGCTGGACCGAAAAGACAAGCGCAGCCAGGCAGGCCACCGCGGCCAGCTTCAAGCTGACCCGGTATCCCCGCGGCCGGACCGCCGGTCTCAGAGGGAGACACAGAGCGGACGAGTCACCGAGACAACGCGGAAAAAACCGCCCCGCACGCCGGAGGATAACGAGAGCTGCCGGGCTGACGTTACCTCCACCCACTGGGCCGCGACGTCCCCATCGGCTGGGCGAATTTGCAGCCGGGCGTGCAGGCACTGCTGTAGGAGCGCCCGGGCCTGAGGAATCCGGCTACCCTCAGCCATGGCTTAAGCCAGCGCCGCGGCCGGACAGTTACTAGGCCATGTGTCGCTGGCCCCTCCCTCGACGCGCTGGCGGGGCAGACGAGGCGGGGCACGACGAAGGGCCTGCGCCGATTGCCCAGTGGCCCCGCCCTTAGGAGGGCGGGGCCTCGGACTGACTCTCGAATGTCCCGGATGTGCGGTCTTGGAGGCCGGCGTAGCGCTAAGCTTCTCGGCAGCACCTGCCCAACTCTGTAGAAGGCGCTCAGTGTATACTTTTATTAAACGATTGAAAAGACTCGTTAAATCTCTTTCCTACAAACCTTTTAAGAAACATTTTTCACCTCAGAAAGCTTAGGTTCCAACTGTTGAAAAATTTTAAATCTGCTTGATTTAAATTCATGTTATGCCCATATGAAAGTAAGTAAACAAATAATCGAATCATAAAGCAAGCGGAGATGGAACTAAAAGCTATATATACATCCTTCAAAATTTTCCTTATTCCAATCAATAAAAACAATGCTGCCTCCTCTATCGGGAATGCCATAAATTATTCTGATTCCACAGTTGTGAAAAGGTATTGGTATGCTATACGAATACACATTCTTTAGAAGATATCCTTGTTAAAAATGTTCTTATCCAAGAAAGTATGATTGTTAATAACTTAGCCCGCTACTAATACAAAAATAAAACAGCTTATTCTGATGCATATGACGTAAATTCTGTGATGCATTTTCTGGAAGTACATATTAGAATGTAAATAAAACTAAACAAGGGCTTGATTTTCTTTCCCATGTAACGTATTCCTTAAACATGCATCAGATTAGCATTTATTTGTCTATGGGCTTGGATGGTTTAGATGAGGAATAATAGTGTTACCCTGATTGCATTACCCAGGTCATTGATTTGGGCTCAGTTGACACAATGTGCCTATACATTCGGATCTGTTGTTTAAAAAGATGACATCACTGACAGTGTTGCTATCCATACAAAGTAGTGTGACTGAAGAAAATAGTCCATGCATAATCAACAGTCCTTTGTACACAAAATCGAAGCTGCTTGTTTGCTGGTTATCTTGCAGCCAGGTTTACACTTTTAGTAAAAACAGAAAGCAAAATCTCACATGATCTCTGATTGTTGCATTGCAGGGATTCCAACAGTTGTTGACATTTGTCTGCAAAGCACAGACAAGTTGAATTGCTTCATGTCTGCACCTTTATGTCATTATAACTACTGAGTCTCTTTTCTCTCCGGCTCTCAGATTCAGATTTTACAGGCCTGAAAGAAACTTTGACATACAAACCATTAGCTATGTCCCAGAATAAGAAAAGACTTTGGTGTCCATTTGTATGTGGCTGCAGGAAATAGGGAGGTCTATAGAGAATAGGTTATGTGGTTCGCAGAGATCTTTCTACAGAGAGGGTTTCTTTAACAAATTGGGAAACCCTTCCTGTGAGTAGAATAGATGGAGTATGGATGGTAATGGTTAGCTTCTCAAAAATCACTAATTACTTTAAACCCTCCTATTGAGTGAGGATCTCGTGGACATTGCTGTAGGTACTGTAATAGGCTGTGGCTCACTTATTTTTTACTTCTATTTGCAGAAGGCTATAGAGAGTGGCCACCAAAGACAGCATTTCCTTTCTGTATTTTATTTTTTGAACACTTAGTTTCATTCTGCAAATAATTTAAGAAGGAAGGACATGCATGCAATAAAATAGTAAAATGTGAATTAAAGCATTAGAAATAAAGAAACTAGAATTATGTCAGTAAGCCACAATGGGGGAAATTGAAAACAGGTAAGACAGTGGTTCTCAACTGGAGTGCTGAGATGATATAGTATGCAGCAAAATTTTCACAAATGTATAACTTTAATTTTTGTTATAAAACAATTATGTTCATTGTATGTAGTATTGAGGTGCTGTAGGTTGTACAATTTGTTTCAAGTTGGAACTAAAGGCAAAGCATAGCATTAAGTTGGCTTTACAAGAAGATGGTGGTTCACTGGAATGTGAGAGAGCTTTGCCTTGTCATTGTATGAGAAATCATTGAGCAGAGATAATTCTCAAACACCTACAATGCTGAAAGTGTACCATATGGATAGGGGATTAATTGTGGATGGGTTCTATGTCCTCTGAGATGGTACAATAACTAATTTAGTGTTATTTTACCTTCTTTAATTCATTTAAGTTGGCTGCCCTAAATTCTGGCATTCAAAGTATTTCACAAACATGAAAAGTTTGAGAACCATTTCTAAAAGATTCCTTAGAGTTGATGCTAAGCTTCCTGGTTGTAAATAGGAGAGGATAGGGAAGGGCAGTATAATCTATTTCATAGTTCTAGGGATAAGCAGAGCTTTTCCTCAGATTTAGCTCTCAGCTGAGCCTCTTACCTGAGACTTTATATAGGATATGTTAATAAATACAAGTGCAGGCCTGGCGAGGTGGCTGATGCCTGTAATCCCAGCACTTTGGGAGGCTGAGGTGGGTGGATCACGAGGTCAGGAGATGGAGACCATCCTGGCTAACACGGTGAAACCATTTTTAGTCTCTACTAAAAAATACAAAAAATTAGCCAGGCGTGGTGGCGGGCACCTGTAGTACCAGCTACTCGGGAGGCTGAGGCAGGAAAATGGCATGAACCCAGGAGGCAGAACTTGCAGTGAGCCGAGACTGCGCCACTGCACTCCAGCCTGGGCAACAGAGCGAGACTCCGTCTCAAAAAAAAACCAAAACAAAACAAAACAAAAAAAAACCAAAAAAAAACAAGTGCAACTGGAAGAGGTAGGTATCTTATCTTAGGGAAGACAGTATCTAGCCCTCTAGTTTAAAGCCCAGATATTTTTTTTTCTAGTTTAAAGCCCAGAGATTTATTTTTTTTTGAAAAAAAAAATAATAACCAGGTTCTGAGAAATTGGTTAACATTAACTAAAATGCACATTAGATTGGGGTAGAACCAGAATACTAATTTAGTCATTTACAACAAGAAATATTGCCATGACATGGAGTAGAAATTCTCACATAGGGCATGGTCAGCATGTTTCCCCCTGTGGTGAAGCATAGGAAGCTAGATCATATTCAGAAGTCTCTTTATTAATTAACTATGAGAAATACTCAAAATCGGTATGACCAGCATATTATTTTTATGTAGAGAGAGTAACACAGAAATCAGGATGTTGCTTGGTAAATGAGAACTCGAACAAAGAGGGTGAGAAAATTTTTTTGTGGAAGACACCTAACTATGACCCCAAGTACTAAGCACAGGAGACAGTGAGAAATATACTAAACTATGTCCCTACAGCAAATGTAGTATCAGATTTTCTAGGGCAATTTCTTTAATTGTTCCTTGATAAAATCAGAATCCCTTGATATAACCCCACAATAAAAGCAAGCCTTCAGATGTAATATGGTCTAAATATACTAATGTGACGGTCCTACTCTACTAGAGATTAATGCATGAACTTTGTGTACTTCACTTAATCCTAATCAATTTTCTCAACTGGGCTTTTGAGAAGTGTTGAACCATGGGATCGTTCAAGGTTTAGTCCATGGCAAGGGCTTGTGGAGTAGGGTATTTTATATTATTGACCAAGACACTGTGATTTAGAGATCAAAAGAGCAAACAGGGAGGTTACACTGTATATTGAAAAGGGAAAGGCCAAATTAGGACGTGCATTTGGATGAATAGCTATGCTGGTTATATATGAAGGTGGATTTAAGGATTTCTGAAAAAGTAGTTTTGTCTACTATAACACATAAATGAAAAAATTAGGTTCCTAAAGTTCTATACAGTGGCAGATATAATTTTGGCTTGGAAAAATTGTCTAAGCAGTTGTCTTGACAGAAAACAGATGGCACACTTTCAAAAGGTGAAGAGAAGCTGAGCATGGTGGTGGCTCATGCCTGTAATCCCAGCACTTTGGGAGGCTGAGGCTGGAGAATCATTTCAGCCCAAGAGTTTGACACCAGCCTGGGCAAGATGGTGGGACCCCCATCTCTACTGAAAAAAGAAAGAAGGTCGGGCACGGTGACTCACATCTGTAATCCCAGAACTTTGGGAAGCCGAGGCAGATAGATCACTTCAGCTCAGGAGTTCGAGACCAGCCTGGCCAACATGGTGAAACCCCATCTCTACTAAAATACAAAAAGTAGCCGGGCGTGGTGGCTTGTGCCTATAATCCCAGCTATTGGGGAAGCTGAGGTGGGAGAATCGCCTGTACCCAGGAGGTGAGGGTTGCAGTGAGCTGAGATTGAACCACTGCGCTTCAGCCTGGGTGACACAGCAAGACTCCATCTAAAAAAGAAAAGAAAAAAGAGAAGAAAAGAGAGAGAAAGAGAGGAAGGAAGGAAGGAGAGAGGAAGGAAGGAAGGAGAGAAAAAGAAAGAAAGAAAGAAAGTAAGTGACGAGAATAAGAGAGTTGAAAGAAGGTTGAATGAAGGGATCATTAACCAGGTATGTGAAAGGTTAAGGAAAACCATCAGGGGATAGTGAAGGACCCAGGGCTAGCAACAACAGGAAGCAGTTACCATTCTGAAGGGGTAAGAGGAAGGAATAGTTTTCTTCAAGAACCAGCAAGAACTGTGGGTCACACTTGACAGGACCTGTGACCTTCCATAGAGAAATGCAGCCTCTGCCAAACTGCAGCCTGTTTTCCCTCTCCTCCTAGCTTTGATTGTCTGCCATTTCTCTCATTGGCTACACCCAGCTGGAAGTTAGAGTAAGGGTTGATTCAGTACATAAAAAAAGCCTCCTGGGACACAGAATAGGATATAGAAGGATGGAGAGTGGATCTGAAAGGACACACTGAGAAGATCCAGGGCAGCAACTACTTCCAGCTTCTATGGACAGAGAGAAATATCAATACTTACCTTCTACAGGATAATTTAGTGGCAAAATATACCCCTCATCTGTATATCCAGTTTTCTAATTACAAGGGGCTATTTTATGAAGCAATTATATTTTGGGTGATAGCTGTAAAGAATAATTATTTTATTTTGTTTTGTTTTGTTTTTCAGAAAAAGTTCCAAATCAATAGGTATTTTATTACATAATTAAATATCACAAATAAGGCTAGGTGCGGTGGCTCACCCCTGCAATCCCAGCACATTGGAAGGCTGAGGAAGGAGGATTGCTTGAGTCCAGGAGTTTGAGACAAGCCTGGGCAACATAGCAAAACCCTGTCTCTACAAAAAATACAAAAAAATTAGCCAGGCATGTTGGTGCGTGCCTGTAGTCCCAGCTACTTGGGAGGCTGAGGTGGGAGGGTTGCTGGAGCCCAGGAAGTTGAGTCTGCAGTGAGCTGTGATTGTTCCACTGCACTCCAGCCTGCATGACAGGGCAAGACTGTCTAAAAAAAAAAAAAATCACAAATAGATTTTAGGATTCATTGGGCATCTTGTTTCAGAAGCTGGAAAACTCTTAGATCTTATTCATCAGCCGGCTGAACAGTTCCTTTTTCAGAGACATAGATGCCATCCAAAAATTTTCTGATGTCTTTGATTTTAACTGTTGTGGCTTGCTGAATCAAGGCAACTGAATTTGAAACAAGCTCAATGTCATTTCCTTCAAGGATTAATTCATCTTTCTGGGCTTGAGATACTGAACAAACAACATTTATCCTCATTCGAACCCTGCGGATGTATTTTTTACCCAAGAAATTGTGGATTTCAACAAGAGACCTGTTCTCCCAGAATACGATATTGATGAGGAAGTGAGCTTACAGAGACTTCATCTTGTAATGGAAGCCCACAGTAGCACCCTTGATCATGTTCTGTACATGACTACAAATAGTGTGAAGGGTAGCCAGTTCCTTTCTCTTTCCCCACAAGTTGTCAACCTGGAGCCTCTTCCTTTTCTTTCCAAGGAGACTGAGTTCTACATTGGTGTGATTGAAGTCCTTCTGCAGGGTTCTTTTGGGGCCCTTCACAGTAACTGTGTTTCTTCAGAGTGATATCAACATTTTCTGGAATGTTGACTGTCTGATTGCTGAGAATGGTCTTCATTCTGACAGTATACGCCGCAAAGAGAGAATGTCTCATCATCACATTCTTGTAGCCCATAAGGGGATTGTGTATTCAAGAACAATTATTTTAGCTTAAGAATATGGGACAACAATTATCTATTGAGGTGAACACATAATGCTAATAAAACTACATTTGTAAAAGTGAGGCCAGGCATGGTGGCTCACGCCTGTAATCCCAGCACTTTGGGAGGCTGAGGTGGATGGATCACTTGAGGCCAGGAGTTTGAGACCAGCTGGCCAACATGGTGAAACCCCATCTCTACTAAAAATGCGAAAGTTAGCTGGGTATGGTAGCACAGCCTGTAATCCCAGCTACTCAGGAGGCTGAGGCAGGAGAATTGCTTGAACCTGGGAGGCGGAGGCTGCAGTGAGCTGAGATTGCACCACTGCACTCCAGCCTGGGTGACAAAGCAAGACTCAGTCTCAAAGAAAAAAAAAAAGTGAAATTAAGCTTCTGTCTGTTATCGCATCACACAAAAATGTTACAGAATATTTAAGATAATCTGATTGGGCCTGTGCAAATTTCACTTTAGGGGTGTCCAGTATAATCACCGAGAGACAGTCAGTCTTCCACTAGGGCATCTGAAACTGAGGTGTGAGAGGCCCATGTGAATTCTGACTTCAAGACACTTGCCACATACATTAAGACTCTGAGGGAAGGCCAGGCGAGGTGGCTCGTGCTTGTAATCCCAGCACTTTGGGAGGCCAAGGCGGGTGGACCACTTGAACCCAGGAATTCAAGACCAGCCTGGGCAACATGGTGAAACCCCATCTCTACAAAAAATGCAAAAATTAACCAGGCATAGCAGCTCACACCTGTAATCCCAGCACTTTGGGAGGCCAAGGCAGGCAGATCACTTGAGCTCAGAAGTTTGAGACCAGCCTGGGCAACACAGCAAAACCCTGTCTCTACTAAAAATACAACAATTTACTGGGTGTGGTGGCACATGCCTGTAGTCCCGGCTACTCGGGAGGCTGAGGTGAGAGAATCTCTTGAGCCTGGGAGGCGAAGGGTGCAGGGAGCTGAGATGACACCACTGCACTCCAACCTGGGCAACCGAGGGAGACCCTGTCTTAAAAAAAAAAAAAAAAAAATATATATATATATATATATATATATATATGAATACATATTTATATACATTATTTGTATATATATGTGTGTGTGTGTATATATATATACATGGTTGTGGTTTGAAGCATTTGCCCTTGTACTTTTGATTTCAGGCTCTTATTTAAATCTGTTTGTTTCCTCTTCCCTCAGAGTCTTTTTTTTTTGAGACACGTTCTCGCTCTGTGGCCCAGGCGAGAGTGCAGTGGCGTGATCTCGGCTCACTGCAACTTTTGTCTCCCAGGCTCAAGAGATTCTCCCAACTCAGCCTCCTGAGTAGCTGGGACTACAGTCATGCGCTACTATGCCTGGCAAATTTGTGTATTTTTTGTAGAGATGAGATTTCACCATGTTGCCCAGGCTGGTCTCAAGCTCCTGAGCTCAAGTGATCTGGCTGCCTCGGCCTCCCAAAGTGCTGGGATTACAGGCGTGAGCCACCGCCACTGGTCTACAATCATATATTTTATCATAGAGCTGTTTCTTACCATAGGCAGAGACTGAGTCCAGGAGTATCGGTCCTGTGGAAGTCCCTCCACATGAAAATATAAGACCTAGAAAAATAATAGTTTCCACCTAATAGCTGACTCTATATTTAAGATGAATAGTTTGTATAACCAGGAAGGAGATGGATTTTAGATTGAAACTTAATATTGATTGTTACTTTATTCAATTTGCTTTTTTAATTCTTATTTTATTACTGCAACATTTGCTATTGTGTTGCCTAGGTAACATAAACAAGTGCTTTTAACTCTAAGGCAGTGATGTATATCTTTGGCAGTCTGTAGGGTTTCCCAGGGGAGGCTGATAAATTATCTTGATCTTTGGGTTATTTTTCAGTTTACAGTGTTGTAATAACTTAGCAATGCATTCTATGATCTTTTGAATATTTGTGTATGTCTGTTAGCCTTTTTGCCAAGTCAGGCCAGTCTGTTTTAAGGGCTTTTTGTAATTTGGGCCCTGTATCCTTTTTAGAAAGAAATTGTGAAAGATTTTGAATTGGGCAAAAGAGATTTGTGGATATTATTGTAATGGAATGCTGGAGCCTCTGGGAATTACCTGGTCCTATAGGGCTATCTTATAGGGCTTACTTATCTTTGACCAGGCTGTCTTACAACTCTGCAAAGATAGAAGTAAACTTCTATCTTCAAATCATTCCTATCTATAAAAATGTAAAATTGTCTTTAGTGGAATGAAACTGATTATTACCTTGTGGATATTGCCTAGTTTTGCCAGTTTTGCATCCATTTGAAGTTCATTTCAGTATTCTTAACCTGATTATAAATGTGTAGTTCTCTCTCTTGCTCTCTCTCTTTTTTTTTTTTTTTTTTTTTTTTTTTTGAGACAGAGTCTCGCTCTGTCACCCAGTCTGGAGTGCAGTGGCACTATCTTGGCTCACTGCAACTTCCACCTCTAGGTTTTAGTGATTCTTGTGCCTCAGCTTCCCAAGTAGCTGGGATTACAGGTGTACACTACCATGCCCAGCTAATTTTTTTATTTTTAATAGAGATGGGGTTTTGCCATATTGGCCAGCCTGGTCTTGAACTCCTGGCTTCAAGTGATCCGCCTGCCTTGGCCTCCCAAAGGGCTGGGATTACAGGCGTAAGCCCCTGTGCCCTGCCCTCTCTCGCTCTCTCTTTTTTTAAGCTTTTTACTTTTGAATAGGGTTAGGTTTAGATTTACGGAAAAGTTGAAAGATAATAGAGAGTTCTCATATACTCCTTGCCTAGTTTCCCCTACTGTTAACACCTCAAATTACTACGGTACATTTGTGACAACCCAGGAGCCAGTATTCCATACTTTATTTAATTCCATGCTTTATTCAGATTTCACTGGTTTTTCCCTAAAGTCCTTTTTCTGGATCCCATCCAGGATGCCACGTTTTTAGTGGTGGCAAATCCATACAAGTCTGCAGCAACCTCAGTTCTTACCTCCTCAGAAGAACAAATTTGACTGAGGGGCATAGTGAGAGACTGAGGCAAGTTTTAGAGCAGGAGCGAAAGTTTATTAAAAAGTTTTAGGGCAGGAATGAAAGGAAGTAAAGTACACTTGGAAGAGGGCCAAGTGGGCAACTTGAGAGAGTCAAGTGCACGGTTTGACCTTTGACTTAGGGTTTTATATGTTGGCATACTTACTGGGTCTTGTGTCTCTTCTCCCCTGATTCTTTCCTTGGGGTGTGCTGTACACATGTGCAGTGGCCTACTAGCTCTTGGAAGGGGCTGCATGCACAGTGTGTTTACTGGAGTTGTACACGTGCTCACCCGAGGTGTTCTTCCCTTACCAGTCAAATGTTCCTAGAAGGTCATGTACCAGTTAAACTCTGCCACTGTGCCTCTTTAGTGCACATGCCTGAACCCAGTTGCCCAACTCCTGAGATCTTTTTTTTTTTTTGAGATTGAGTTTCGCTCTTGTCTCCTGGGTTCAAGCGATTCTCCCGCAGCCTCCTGAGTAGCTGGGACTACAGGCACGTGCTACCATGCCTGGCTAATTTTTGTATCTTTAGTAGAGACACGGTTTCACCATGTTGGCCAGGCTGGTCTCCAACTCCTGACCTCGAAGTGATCCTCCCGCTTTGGCTTCCCAAAGTGCTTGGATTACCGGAGTGAGCCACTGTATCCAGCCTTGAGATTTTATCAGGCAGCTGCTGATAACCAGTTTCAGGTTTTCTGTATCTATTGGGAGACTGCCTTTCCCTGGCACCGGCTGCAGCCAATTATTATTATTATTAACTTATTATTGTTACAGTGCAACAACTGACACATCACCTGATGGTGGACTGACATTCCTGGTTGGGGAGGTCCCTCCTCTGCCCTGTTCATTTCTGACTGGCTACCTACTGTAACAACATTACATTTAGTCATCATGTTTCTTTAGGCTGTGACAGTTTCTTAGACTTTCCTTGTTTTTAATGACTTTGACAATTTTGAGGAGCACTGGTCAGGTGTATTGTAAAATAACCCTCTATTGGAATTGGATTTTTTTCAATATACATACATACTGTATATATATATATATATATATATATATATATATATATAACCTCTATAATTATACGCAGAGATTATAGATCTTTGGAGGCAGATCACAGAGGTGAAGTGCCATTTTTAACACATTATATGAAGAGTACATGCTGTCAACTGTCTTATTGCTGATGATGTTGACCTTGATCACCTGGCTAAGGCAGTGTTTGTGAGGTTTCTCCTCTATAAATTTATACCTCCTCTCATACTTTACTCTTTTGAAGCAGATCAGTAAACGCAGCTCATACTCAAGGGGTGAGGAGTTAAAATCCATCTCTTTATGTAGGGAGTATCTATATCGATTACTAGGAATTCTTAATTACAAAAGATTCGAGCTGGAGTGCAGTGGCACAATTTTAGCTCACTGCAACCTCTACTCCTGGGCTAAAGCGATCCTCCCACCTCAGCCTCCCTAGTAGCTAGAACTACAGGTGTGTGCCACTGCATCTGGCTAATAGTTTAAAAATATTTTATAGAGATAAGGTTTGCTATGTTACCCAGGCTCATCTTGAATTCCTGGCCTCAAGCAATCCTCCCACCTCAGCCTCCCAAAGCACTAAGATTACAGATGTGAGCCACTGTGCCCAGTGTTTGAGTTCTTCTTTGAACTGATTGTTCTCTATTTCTGGTTCTCTCCTTATTGAGTTGAATATTAATGAAAAAAAATTGATACATGTTGATTTTACATTTGTATGAGAGTTCTGATTTTAATCTCTTTTAAAATTTATTTTTTCATATCTTTCTACCAATAAATGTTATGGGAATAATTTTTTACATAGTTCTTTGAAATCCATAGATAAATGCTATAAACAAATGCATTCCACTTTGGGAGGCTGAGGTGGGCGGATCTTTTTTTTTTTTTTTTTGAGATGGAGTCTCGCTCTGTCGCCCAGGCTGGAGTGCAGTGGCGCGATCTCGGCTCACTGCAAGCTCTGCCTCCTGGGTTCACACCATTCTCGTGCCTCAGCCTCCCGAGTAGCTGGGACTACAGGTGCCCGCCACCACGCCCGGCTAATTTTTTGTATTTTTAGTAGAGACGGGGTTTCACTGTGTTAGCCAGGATGGTCTCGATCTCCTGACCTCGTGATCCGCCTGCCTCAGCCTCCCAAAGTGCTGGGATTACAAGCGTGAGCCACCGCACCAGGCCCGGTGGGTGGATCTTTTGAGCCCACAGATTAGAGACCAGCCTTGGTACTTCAGCTTGGGTGACAGAGTCAGACCCTGTCTCAAAACAAAAAAACAAACACAAACACATCCTTTTGAAAAGAAATAAATATTATTATAGTCAAAGAAAAAAATGTGAATTATTTTATCACATTGACTGTATCAGTCAGGATCCCATCAGCAAGTAAATAACACTCTAAACAGGATAACCTGCGAAAGAAAGGTTTATTTACAGAGACTATTGATGAAGGTGTGGGTGGAGTAGAACCGCAGAGGTTAATGTAGTAACCAAGGACATAGTAGCAGCTGAGATTTTACCATCCCTTGGGCCTAAAGGGAGAAGTGGGGCTTGGGGGAATCTGGAATCCAGAGGTAGAGATTTGCGTAGATACTTGAGAAAAGGAGTCAACCCTCTGCCAAGAAGTACAGCCAACTCCAACTCCAGGTGACCGTTCAGGAAGGAAGCTAGGAGAATGATATGGTTTGGCTCTGTGTCCCCACCCAAATCTCATCTCAAATTGTAATCCCTACATGTTGGACGGAGGGACCTAGTGACAGACGATTGGATCATGGGCGCTGATTCCCCAATGCTGTTCTCATGATAGTGAGTGAATTCTTATGAGATCTGATGGTTTTAAAAGTGGCAGTTTCCCCTGTGCACTCTCTCTCTCTCCTGCCACCTTGTGAAGAAGGTGCTTGCTTCCCCTTCGCCTTCCACCATGTTTTAAGTTTCCTGAGGCCACCCCAGCCATGCAGAACTGTGAGTCAATTAAACCTCTTTATAAATTACCCAGTCTCACGTAGTATATTTATCACAGTGTGAAAACGGACTAATACAGGGAATAAATATGTGGTGTGATGATATATATTGGTTTTCATCCAGGGCTCCTGGCTTATAACTCCCATAGCCTTTATTACAGTCCTTTGTTATGATGTTGGATGTGTTAGGTCTCAGGGGCAGGACTCTGACCTTCTCCGGCCCTCCTTTCACCTGCCCCAAGGCAGGACTCCAGTTTTCTGATTGTGGGCCTTAAGATCCTCCCATGAGAAGGTCCCACCCTAGACCCTGGGGGAAGGGATGCTGACATCATGAAGCTTCCAAAAAAACCCGAGAGGACAGAGTTCAGTGAACTTCTGGAGACCTGAACATGTAGGTATAGCTAAACAATAATGAACACATGAAGGTTCCTGGTGGGTGGTGTGCAGGGCATGGAAGCTCTGCACCCCTTCCTTCATACCTCACTCTTCACTTCTCTTCTTCTGTATTGTTCGCAATAGCCTTTATAATAAACTGGTAAATGGAAGTGTTTCCCTGAGTTCTGTGAGCCACTCTAGCAAATTAATTGAACCCAAAGACAGGGTCATGGGAATCCCAACTTAAAGCTGGTCAGTCAGAAGTTCCAGAGGCTCAGACTTGTGACTGGTGTGTTGGGAGGGGCAGTCTTGGGGACTGAACTGTCAATCTGCAAGATCTGACACTATCTCTGGGTATAGAGCGTTGAAACTGAATTAGAGGACACCCAGCTAGTATCTGCTGTTTGGTGTGTGGGGAAAATATCCCCACACATTGGTCACAGATATCTGTGTTGATGATTATTGTGGTGTGAGGGTAGAGGTAAAACATGGTTAAAGTTTTCCCTTCACAATATACTTGACTATATTTTCCATCTTCTTTCCAATTTCTGCCAGGGCTCCCCATTGGCAAAATCAAACCAGAAAGCATGGAGACCCGTTGATATGATCCATAGAGGGCATCCTCTCAGAACAGAGAGCAATGTAGAAAATGCTCTGGTGTGGATCTGGGGGACAAGCAAGACATATCTAATACACTGATTTAAAAGGCCTCAAAGTCTACAATGGGGACTCTTATGTCATTTTTTTGTTGGAAGATGATAGCTAGGAATATGAAGAAAGAGATGACTACGGTTAATGTTTTTGATGGAAATCTTTAATTTCTCAAAGATTTTAGAGAAGAAATCTTTAATTTCTCAAATATTTTAGAAATTTTTTTTGAGAAAGAGTCTCACTCTTTTGCCCAGGCTGGAGTGCAATGGCACAATTACAATTCACTGCAGCCTCAACCTCCCAGGCTTAAGTGATCCTCCCACTTTAGCCTCACAAGTAGCTGGGACTATAGGTATGCATGACCATGTCCAGCTAATTTTTGTATTTTTTGTATGGATGGGGTTTTGTCATGTTGCCCAGGCTGGTCGTGAACTCCTGGGTTCAAGCAATCTGCCTTCCTTAGCCTCCCAAAGTGCTGGGATTACAGGTGTGAGCCACTGCCCCCAGCCAAGAAGTGAAATTTGACTTAGTGAATCAAGGTCCTTGACTTCCCCATTCCCTTCTTTATTTCAGCCATTGGGAATATGGCAAGACATCAGAAGAGAATGGCTGCTGGGATCCTATTCTTGGTGAGAATGCCCCTGACATGGCCCAACTTGGCATGGCAGGAAGGGATGGAGCCGCTGCCTTTAAGGGATCATGCAGACTGGAATAAGAGGCATATTAGTAGGGACCACTAAGAACCTAAGTCCTTAAGGCTGTCCTGCAATTCTCTGGACTGTGGAGGAAGGGATTTGGAATCAGATTTGATTTGATAAAGAAAAATAATGAACTATTTTTATGAAAACTAAATAATTGAAAGCTGTCAAAGATTATGACAGAGAAGTCTATCATGGCTGACTCCATCTTGTTTCTAGCTTCCCAGGCTGCTTGTCCTTGCTCATTCTTTGGTGTAGGCCAAGCTGACTATGGGAGGAATTTATAATTTAATTTTGAAGTAAGGATGATAATAATGTCTCCTTAAAATTAACTCCCTTCTTGCTCAGGGATCAAAACTGCCTTCGTAAAACTAATGAAAGGCCAAGAGGTTAGGATTATGGGAGGGGCCTGAATTCTGCTAAAATGTAGGTATAGCTAAACAATAATCATCCATTGTCCCCTAGTTTGCCCTTTTATAATCCCTTGCTGCTCAAGACTCATGTGGCCAGAGGTTGCAAGATTTTGTGACTTCCCCAATTGCTCCTATAGATAACATCATTATGGTAGAACCTGAGATTAGTCTTTTGACAGGTTTTTCAGACTTTTGCATTCTAGCAACTGACTGATTCCACTTGGCTGGGACTCATGACTCAACTGGTCCCATGGCTCCTACCCAGAAGTGGACTCAGCGCACGAGGACCATTTTCTACACCTCTATGATTTCATCCCCAACTAATCAGCATCACCCATTCCCTAACCTCATGCCCACCAAATTATCCTAGCGTCTGAGTTCTTGGGGAGACTGATTTGGTAATAACTCCAGTCCTACCACTTGGCTAGCTCTGCATTAATAAAACTCTTTATTTACTGCAATACTGAGTTCTCAGTGAATTGGTTTTGTCTGTGCAGTGGGCAGGGAGAAGCTGTTGAGCGATTACATTATTGTCTTTGAGTCTTATAACTAAGTGAAGTTAATACTGACTGCACAATAAAATAAATGAATAATAGAGATTTTAATAATTAATTGTTCATATACACCTATATCTTAAATTTCATTTACTTGAGATGAACAAGGGAGAGCAGTATTATTAGATGGCAGCTCCCTGATTGTTTGCTCCTTTTGGCAGGTGAAGCAAAACAACATGCTTGAGGGACAAGATCCCTCAAATCCCACAAATAACAGAAAAAATTCCAACTTCAGAATTAATTAATAACTGCATTCATGTATTTATTCAATTTTAATAAATAGTCATTCATCATTCCACCCTGAGCTAGGTGTTAGAGATAGATGAGAAATAAGACACTGTTCTTACAGTGAGTTTAGAGAAAAAACAAGGAAAATAAGGAATAACATTAGAAAAAACTCTTATTTCTCTCCCCACCACTGTATTTTTTCCCTCCCTTCTGCCTCTCAATCAAGAAAGGACAGGACTTAGAAGGAAGCCACCTCCTGGAAAGCCTGAACTAAACTAAAGTGGGGTGACTGGCCCTGACTGGAGGGAAGGCTTGTGGCCCAAACAATTTGACATAAACCAGATTTTCAGGCTCATAGAGGCTCCACCTCTAGGCAAATCTTTTCTTTTCTTCTTCTTCTTCTTTTTTTTTTTTTTGAAATAGATTTGCTCTGTTGCCCAGGATGGAGTACAGTGGTGCAATCTTGCTCACTGCAACATCCACCTCTTGGGCTCAAGTGATCCTCCCACTTCAGACCCACAAGTAGCTGGGACTACAGGCCTGCACCACCATACCTGGCTAATCTTTGTATTTTTTGTACAGATAGGGTTTCACCATGTTGCCCAGGCTGGTCTTCAACTCCAGAGCTCAAAGCCATCCCCCTGCCCCAGCCTCCCAAAGTGCTAGGATTAGAGGCATGAATCACTGTATTAGTCCATTTTCACACTGCTATAAAGAATACCTGAGACTGCGTAATTTATAAAGACAAGACATTTAATTGACTCACAGTTCCTCATGGCTGGGGAGGCCTTAGGAAACTTATAATCATGGCAGAAGACAAAAGGGAAGCAAGGCATGTCTTACATGGTGGCAGGAGACAGCCAGGGCCGGGGAAAGCCAAACATTTTAAAATCATCAGATCTTGTGAGAACTCATTCACTAGCATGAGAACAGCATGAGGAAACCGCCCCCATAATCCAATCACCTCCCACCAGGTCCCTCTCTCTACATGTGGGGATTACAATTCAAGATGAGATTTGGGTGGTGTATTAGTTTATTTTCATGGTGCTAATAAAGACATACCCAAAAGTGGAACAAAAGGAGGTTTAGTTGGACTTACAGTTCTACGCAGCTGGGAGCCAGAGGCCTCAGAATCATGGCAGGAGGTGAAAGGCACTTCTTACATGGTGGCGGCAAGAGTAAAATAAGGAAGAAGCAAAAGCGGAAACCCCTGATAAATCCGTCAGATCTTGTGAGACTTATTCACTATTACGAGAATAGCATGGGAAAGACCAGCTCCCATGATTCAATTACCTCCCTCTGGTTCCCTCCCACAACACGTGGGAATTCTGGGAGATAAAATTCAAGTTGAAATTTGGGTGGGGACACAGCCAAACCATATCAGGTGGGGACACAGACCCAAACCATATCAGCTACCACGCCCTACTAGCAAATCTTTTCTTTTTTTTTTTTTTTTTTTTTTTTTTTTTTTTGAGACGGAGTCTCGCTCTGTCGCCCAGGCTGGAGTGCAGTGGCGCGATCTCGGCTCACTGCAAGCTCCGCCTCCCGGGTTCACGCCATTCTCCTGCCTCAGCCTCCCGAGTAGCTGGGACTACAGGCGCCCGCCACCACGCCCGGCTAATTTTTTGTATTTTTAGTAGAGACGGGGTTTCACCGTGTTAGCCAGGATGGTCTCGATCTCCTGACCTCGTGATCCGCCCGCCTCGGCCTCCCAAAGTGCTGGGATTACAGGCGTGAGCCACCGCGCCCGGCCGCAAATCTTTTCTTAAATGCCAGCTGACTTGCTCTTCGGAATACCTTTCTGTCTCTTTTCTCTTTCATAGCACTTCTTTGTACACATATATACTGCCTTCAGAGTCTCCAAAATTTGCCTTGGGTTTGACTTCCGACTCCAATTGTTTCCTTCCTCTAGGCCACAATCAAGAGTCTGATATTCTAAGTACTGTGCTTAGCTGTACTCTCCTATAGGTGAAGCCGATTAAAGTAATTTCCATTAACTTGTGAATGAAACTTAACATTCTTAAAAGGTGTCTTTGCATTTTAATAGCAGCCCCTTAACACAAATTAATCTCTATTTGGTAAGATGTGTGAAAGTTACTTTTTGTGGGAAGAAAGAGGGTGAATTATTCCTTAATTCTCTGTTTAAAAGAGTTGCTACTCTCAGAGCCTCTGGAGTCTCATCTCCCAGTCACTCCCCAGCACAAGGCAATTTTGCTTTTCTTCCTGAAGCTAATCACTGAAAAATTCTTTAGGTTAAATTCACTGGACATATTTTAGTCATCTCTCTTAACCAATCTGTACACCCTACATCTTGAAATGTTGTGTTTCCTGACAGGAGACTTAGTTTTCCTTCTCTCTTTTCCATATGCTCCTTCTGAAGTTCCTGTCATGGGATCACCTCTGTGCTTGCCTCTAAACATCAGTGTTCCAGCCTCAGCCTTGAGTGCTCACTGTACACACTCACCTGAGGCTATGACTCTACTCCCATGGCTTTAGTTACTGTTCATTCGTTCATCTATTCAATACTTTTTTTTTTTTTGAGATCGAGTCTCAGTCTCTCACCCAGGCTGGAGTGCAGTGGCGCAATGTTGGCTCACTGCAACCTCCTCCTCCCAGGTTCAGGTGATTCTCCTGCCTCAGCTTCCCAAGTAGCCCGCCACTATGCCCGGCTAATTTTTTTATTTATTTTTTATTTTTAGTGGAGACGGGGTTTCACCGTGTTGGCCAGGCTGGTCTCGAACTCCTGATCTTAGGTGATAGTCCATTTTAATGTCTCTCAGGCATGAGAAATAAAAATAGAATTCTAAGTCTCCAACCTGACTGAACAGACCCCCTCTCGGCAAAGGGGACCCCAGAGAAACCTTGAAAACTCTCGGTCGTGATGGGATGGGAGGTCAGACATACCTTGCTGTACTCCCTCCCACGCTAACTGCCATTAGGCTTTCTTCCCTTAGGACTAAACAGAAACTAGTCCTTTCAAAAGACTCCACCCTTGATTTCAACCAAAGGCCTGAACACTGCCTCTCTTGCAGTTTCAACAAAACAACCAACCAGCATTTCTTCCTTATGAGAGATCACCGACCATGGAGTGGTTTGGCCAGTCTATGGAGAATGCACAGTGAGGGCTTTTGTGTCCTCTGCTTCACTTTTTGACATCAGGAGGCCTAAAACTCCACTTTCAGATAACGCTAATGCCGCCATTTTTGGAACATGGGTCCCATAAAGAAGCATGAAGCTCAATTACACATGCACATATTTATCCTCTCATAAATATTCAGGACTCCTTCTATAGCTTATTGAATACTGTATATTTAGCTACCCTTTTCAGCATAAATTCCTGTCTTATTCTTCTAACCTTTAAAGTGCCTGTTTCTGGCTTCTGGCTGGAGGTTATGCTTCAAAGCCTGTCACAATGATCACCCTGCAGGCTGCAATTTTTTATGAGAAATAAAGTTCTTCTTTCCAAATTTATGAGCCTTGTCATTCTTCAGTTGACAGGCACCTGAAACTTAGTATGTCTGTATTAGTCTGTTTTCACACTGCTATAAAAACATACCTGAGACTGGGTAATTTATAATGGAAAGAGATTTAATTAGCTCACTGTTGGAAGGCGAGACAGGCACTTTCTTCACAAGGCAGCAGGAGAGAGAAAAGCATGCAAGAGCAAGGAAAACTGCCTTATAAAACCATCAGACTTTGTGAGAACTCACTATCGTGAGACGAGCATGGGGGAAACCACCCCCATAATCGAATCATTTCCCTTCCTCAACACATGGGGATTACAATTCGAGATGAGATTTGGATGGGGACACAGAGCCAAACCATATCAATGTCCAAGACTGAACTTCTTTACCTGCTCCTTCCTTCCTCTTTTTCTTTCTTTCTTTCTTTTTCTTGCTTTCTTTCTTGCTTTTGTTCTTTCTTTCCTTTCTTCTTTCCTTTCCTTTTTTCTTTCCCTCCCTCCCTTCCTTTCTTCCTTCCTTCCTCCTTCCTTCCTTTCTCTTTCTTTCTTTCCTTTCTTCTTTCTTTTCCTTTTTTCTTTCCCTCCCTCCCTCCCTTCCTTCCTTCCTTCCTCTTTCTTCTTTCCTTCTTCCTTCCTTCTTCCTTATTTCTGTAAATGGAAACCACGAGCTGTCTCCGAATACAGAAATGTATGCATTTGTCATATTCTATCCATCATCTTTTGAATGGCTTTTATATTTGGGGAAATTCCTACATTTTGAGTAACCCCTTCTCACTCATGTAGAAATCAGAACTTAAATTCCCCAGCCTCATTTGCAGCTAGGATACAGGCATGCTGACTAGATATCCTTGTGCAAGACTAAATTTGGAAGTGAGCAATGTGAATAAGCAAGCTCTGCATGAGATTTCTGTCCTGTTGTCAGAGCTTTCAGGCACAGAGTGGTTCAAGACCTAATGCAGAAATGGTATCAGCGGCAGTAGCAGTTTTAGTAAAGCCAAATTGCTGATATTTTGGGCTCAACAGCAGCAGCAGCAACATTTGGTATCATTTACTGAAATACGGAACACCAGTGACAAATTCCTGATTTGGGTAGTTTTGTGGCATGTTTTGGGCATGGTTTCTGAGAGCTGCTCCTTGAATGTTTCTCCAACTATCCTAATAATTCTGTGAGTTACTTAATGTCTTTTAATAAATCAGTTTTTGCTTAAATCAGCCAGAATGAAATCTACTGTTTGCAACAAAGAACACTAATTGACAGAGGAATTGTCCTCAACTTCCCCTTCAACCAACAGAATTTACAGAACTCGACTTTTCTTGATCCTTACTTACACTTTTTTAGTAGGCCACATCATCTGTTACTTAGATTACTTTGGCACTGTCCTATTTGGCCACCCACCTCTAGTTTTGACCTCTCTACTGTAGTAGACAGAGCAATCTATCTTTCTAAAATGCAAATCTCAACCTATCACTCTTAGGTTTAAGGTCTTTCAGTGGCTTCCAAATGCCCTCAAGATAAAGTCTAGGATCAAGTCCAAATTCCTTCTTATAGGCTCTCAGGATCTAGTCCTGGTTGACTTTTCCAGCTCATGTTTCCAGCCTGCTTCTCACACTTAATGTTGCAATTATGTTTTTTGGCTTGTGCTGGACCAGCAGCAACAGGATCCCTTGGGATCCTGTTAGAAATGCAGAATCTGGGCCGGGTGCAGTGGCTCACGCCTGTAATCTCAGCACTTTGGGAGGCCGAGGCGGGCAGATCAGGAGGTCAGGAAATCGAGATCATCCTGGGTGAAAGCCCGTCTCTACTAAAAATACAAAAAATTAGCTGGGCGTGGTGGCGGGTGCCTGTAGTCCCACCTACTCGGGAGGCTGAGGCAGGAGAATGGCGTGAGCCCAGGAGGCGGAGCTTGCAGTGAGCCGAGATCACGCCACTGCACTCCAGTCTGGGTAACATAGCAAGACTCGGTCTCAGAAAAAGAAAAAAAAAAGACATGCAGAATCTGGCCTGGAGTGGTGGCTCACGCCTGTAATCCCAGCACTTTGGGAGGCTGAGGCAGGTGGGTCATGAGGTCTGGAATTCAAGACCAGCCTGGCCAAGATGGTGAAACCCCGTCTCTACTAAAAATACAAAAATTAGCCGGGTGTGGTGGCAGGCACCTGTAATCCCAGCTACCTGGGAGGCTGAGGCAGAAAATTGCTTGAACCTGGGAGGCGGAGCTTGCAGTGAGCCTAGATCACACCACTGCCCTCCAGCCTGGGCGACAGAGCAAGACTCTGTCTCAAAAAAAAAAAAAAGAGAAATGCAGAATCTGACTTACTGAAGTTAGATTTACTCCAGGTTTACTGAATCAAATCAACATTTAACAAGATTATTAGGTGATTCATTTGCATATTGAGGTTTGGGTAGTGCTGCTTTATAGCAATGTCTTCTCTTTCCCTCCAGGGCTCTTACACATTCTGCTTCCTCTCTTTGAAGGAACTATCCTCCTCTTCTTTATATGCCTAACACTGTTCTGCAGGACTCAGGCCCTTATCCAGGAAAACTTTTTTGACTGGTGAAGGCAGGAATTACCATTTTACTCCTTTTTCTTTCCTACTAAACTGGAGTTTTCTAACCTAATTGTACTTTAGACTTAATCTGAGAATAAAAAATATACTGGCCGGGTACGGTGGATCACACCGTAGTCCCAGCATTTTGGGAGGCCAATGTGGGTGGATTGCTTGAGGTCAGGAGTTCGAGACCAGCCTGGCCAACATGACAAAAGCCTGTCTCTACTAAAAATACAAAAATTAGCTGGGCGTGGCAGCACACGCCTGTAATCCCAGCTACTATGGAGGCTGAGGCACGAGAATTGCTTGAACCCAGGAGGCAGAGGTTGCAGTGAGCCAAGATCATGTCAATGCACCTCAGCCTGGGTGACAGTGAGACTGTTTCAAGAAACAAACAAACAAACAAACAAAGATACTGGTTCCTGCGTCCTGCTTCTAGAGATTTTAGTTTTAATTGGTTTGGATAAGGCCTTGAAACTGACATTTTAAAAAAGTATCCCAGATGATTACAATGTGGAGCCAAATTCAGAACCACTGCACTAGACTTCAAGCTTCTTTAGGACAGGGATTGTGTCAGATTCACTCTTGTTTCCCCAGTGCCTATCACAGTGCCAGGTACATATACTATACTGGTAAATGATTGTTTCCCCTAATTTCTCAGGGATATGGAATCAGATTTGTGTTGTACACAGCATTCTATCTTATACCCTAACCCCTCTCACACACGTTAGCATCTGAGCATCCTTCTCATCAAAACAAAGAGCTACTTCTTGAGGAAAGAACTTACACTGGCATTTAAAATGCATCTCTAATCATCCTTGTATTTTGTTCTTAAACCAGTTTGATACTGATATAGTGAAGCTGCTTTATATAATCGAGTGCTGACAGGCACATTGTTTTGAAACAGTGTCTCTTTGTACCAGTTCCACAGAGCAAAACCACCAACTCTTTGTTTATAAACCTTTTGAGTCCTGAGAATTCAAAATAGTGAGGAGGTTGATGAGATCAACGCAATTATAATGAGTAGATTTTTAAAAAATTAACCAGTTTTCTGTGAGGTTAAAAATGCATTTGGGAATAATTTTCTTAATTATACCCTATTTTCTTACATTTAAATTGACTTTAAAAAAACTCTTAATATCTTATATTTATACAGTGCTTTACATGTTGTAATTGTGCAAACTCAACTTTTATTAAATATCTTTTATTATCAATTGTGTATAATATTATAGAAATGAAATGCTATAGTTGATAGAATTCTTTCTGTCCCTGAGTTGTTTACAATTTATAGAAAGATGGAACAAAATACTTCAAAAAGCCCTGACCTAGGTCTCATGAAAAAGACAATTTAAAGCGTACATAGATAGCTGTAAGGAATGACAACATATGGCTTACAAATACCACAAAATCCACGCTTTCCAGGGCATGTTCCTTGTTTATTATTGTAGCAGGCCTGAGGAGGTAGACAAAAGGCACTCTCTGTAGCTGCTAGATTTCCAAAATCCAAATCTTGTTTCAAAGAATCCTATGTTGCATTCAATAATTTTCTTTCTTAAATCCTGCATCATAAAACTAAAACTTCAGTGGGCTTGTCAGGACCTGGGATAGTGTGGGGTGGAAAAAAGCACCATCCATTTCTCATTGCAGCTGTAGTCGGAGCCACAGCCTGGTCATCAATTCATATCTCCCTTTCCGAAAAAGAAAAAAAAAACTGTTCAAGCTTCAAAACCTTGAAATAGGGTCAGCAATTAAAGTTTTCATCTACCCAAAGCTTTTGTCATTCCAAGTAAGAGAGACCAAGCCCCCAATTGCCCAGGGGAGCCCTGATACCACGTCAATTAGCAGGATTTCTAGGACACCAAACTACTGTTACTTTCTCTATAAAAAGTTAGTCATGAAGATTAATTTTCTTCTTTCTGTATCTCCTTGTAATTCATATCATACGTTTTGGGGATTTCTGCGTAGGCTATATGCTTGCGGTTTGGAATGCTTTGTACAAAGCATGCTGGTGTATTCAGGGACTGAGTGTGGGATGTGACCCAAATATCTCCATGTTGTATCAGTTGAACTAACTAGATAGTTCAGTTGATTTAGAATTGACAGGACTACCTATTGATTGACATGTATTGATTGATTGATAGAATTAACTAAATACAAAGACAATAGGTGAGTGATATTATGTGGTTCTACATAACTTAGGTGCAGTCACTTAGTACACAAAGCTTGAAACATAACCTGAAAATCAGAGAACACAAATTAATATTGTTATTGCATTTATAAAATTAAGTCTATGACAACAGGCAGATTCTTGAACATTATTTTAGCCCCAAATTTTGGAGATAGCTTACTCTATAAATATTAGAAAAAGACAGTTAAGATGCCTTAATAATTAAAACACTAAAGTAGAAGTGTCTTTATGCTTTAACATGGATGTAACAAGATGAGTGCCTTGTGGCCGGGCGCGGTGGCTCATGCCTGTAATTCCAGTACTTTGGGAGGCCAAGGTGGGCGGATCACGAGGTCAGAAGATCAAGACCATCCTGGCTAACATGGTGAAACCCCGTCTCTACTAAAAATACAAAAAAATTAGCCAGGTATGGTGATGGGCGCCTGTAGTCCCAGCTACTCGAGAGGCTGAGGCAGGAGAATGGCGTGAACCCGGGAGACGGAGCTTGCAGTGAGCCGAGATCATGCCACTGCACTCCAGCCTGGGCAACAGAGCGAGACTCCGTCTCAAAAAAAAAAAAAAAAAAAAAAGAGATAAGTGCCTTGTCACTTCCATGTTAAGTTTTATTCATACCAGTTAAATAATTTAGATGTTACTAAATAATGAGGGAGCTCTGTCCAAATGTCTGTCAGAAGATTCTGTGACAGAAAATTCAAATCCTTGGATACTATTGATCAATTTGGCAACTGATATTCCTAGCTTCAAAAATCAAAAGTTTTAGCTGGACATGGTGGTGTGTGCCTGTAGTCCCAGGTACTCCAGAGGCTGAGGCAAGAAGATTGATTCAACCTACCAGAATGACTACACTATAATTAAAAAAAGGAAAATAACAAGTGTTGGCACAGATGTGGGGAAACTAAAACGTTTATACATTGCTGGTGGGAATGTAACATGGTGCAAATTGAAAAGCTTTATGATTTCTCAAAAAGTTAAACATAAAATTACCATTTGAACCGGTAATTCCACTCTTAGGTATATACCTACAATAATTGAAAACAAGGACTGACACAAATACTTATATACAAATGTTAATAGTAGCTTTATTCACAATAATAGTAGCTTTATTGACAATAGTCAAAAGGTGGAAACAACACAACAGATGGCTGGATTTAAAAATTATGTTATATACATACAATAAAATATAATTCAGCTGTAAAAAGAGAATGAAGTTCTGATACTGCAACAACACAGATGAACCTTGAAAACATTTTGCTGAGTGAAGTAAGTCAGACACAAAAGGGTAAATACTGTATAATTTCACATATATGAAACATCTAGAATAGGCAAATTCATAGAGACAGAAAGTAGACTGGAGATTATTAGGGACCAGGGGGAGGAGGAATAGGGAGTTACTACTTAATGGGCACAGAGTTTGTCCTTGGAATGATGAAAAATTTTGGAAATAGATGGTGGTGATGGTTGTACAATTTCGTGAATATAATTAATGCCACTGAAATGTTCACTAAAAATGGTGAAAATGGTAAATCTTATGTTACACATATTTTTCCACAATAAAAAATGAGTCGAAATAATCATAGGTCCAGCACAGTGGCTCATGCCTATAACCCCAACACTTTGGGAGGTTGAGGCAGGCGGATCACTTGGCACCAGGAGTTTGGGACCAGACGGGCCAATATGGGCAAAATCCCATCTCTACTAAAAATATAATTAGCTGGGCATGGCTGGGTGTGGTGGCTCACGCCTGTAATCCCAGCAGTTTTGGAGGCCGAGGTGGGCAGATCACGAGGTCAGGAGATCGAGACCATCCTGGCTAACATGGTGAAACCTTGTCTCTACTTAAAATACAAAAAATTAGCCAGGCGTGGTGGCAGGTGCCTGTAGTCTCAGCTACTCAGGTGCCCGAGGCAGGAGAATGGCTTGAATCCGGAAGGTGGAGCTTGCAGTAAGCCGAGATCGCACCACTGCACTCTAGCCTGGGTGACAGAGCGAAACTCCTTCTCATAAAAAAAATAAAATAAAAAATAAAAAAATTAGCTGGGCATGGTGGTGTACACCTGTAGTCCCAGCTACTTGGGAGGCTGAGGCATAAGAATCACTTGAACCTGGGAGGTGGAGTTTGCAGTGAACCTAGATTGCACACTGAACTCCAGCCTGGACGACAGAGTGAGACTCTGCCTCAAAGAAAAGAAAAGAAAAGAAAAGAATCACATTTGCAGCATGATCTTGCAAATTGCTTGTTTTCTTGCAGCCCTTTTATTGCTCAGAAATCTAACTATAGTACAGCCTAGTTATCTCTCTAATATAGGGACTATAGCATACAAAAGCAGAAGGTATATCCTATTGGTATAATTGACCAAGTGCGTGTTTGCTTAAGAATCTAGAATTTAAATTTAGGCTTCTGAGTTTAGGTTTGTGTCCTTTCTACAGAAGAATCTTCACTAAATGTTGACTCAAACAGAGCAAGAATGGACTTCTTGAAGACCTTTTTGAAATTCTCCCCAACAAATAAGTAGAGTGTGGGAGAAAAGATAGTATTGAAAGAAGTGGTTAGCACTGTAAGTATCAAAGTCAACTCTAAAAGTAGTGACTGGTTCGTAGTGAGAAGTAAGCCCTGGTGTATATGGTAGGGCATCCAACACACAAAGAAAGAGATAATGGCAGTCATCATAACTTTGAAGGGCTTGCTGGATTTAAACAGGCTCCTCTCTTTCACCTTGCTGGCTACTCTTTCATAACAAAAGATGATGATGAAGAAAGGCAGAAGAAAGCCCAGCAAGAAGCGGCTGATGAAACAGGCCACATGAATCCACTGCCTTGATGCTTGCATCTCCTTGCTTTCCCAGTTAGTAGACACAGCATAGTTATTTTGGCAAGTCACCTTTCCTTTACGGTCATGATGTGTCTCTCTGAAAATCAAATAGGGGATGCTGAGGGCAGCGGCTGAAATCCAGACTCCCAGGACAATGCTGGAAGCCCAGCGCGGGGTTCGGTGCTGCTGGGACCACACTGGGTGAAGAGTGAGAAGGTAACGATCAAGACCGATGGCCGAAAGGAAGAAAACAGAGGTGAACATCCCCAGAGACAAAGTGCCATTGAAGACCTTGCACAAGGCAGTTCCAAAGTTCCAGTGATTGTCTTGAAGTTGGGAGGTGGCCATAAATGGCAGAATCATTGTTGAAATAAAATAAGAGAGAATGAGATGAAAAAATAAGAGAGTATTGACAGTCTGTTTCATCTTGAATCTTAGCACCCATAGATAGAGGCCATTGGTGATGGTACCAATTATAGATGAAATGTACAAAGAAAGGGCAATAATCATTTTTGATGCAGGAGCTAGAAACTGAGTGCTGTTTCTTACTAAAGTAGAGGCATTGATCAGGTAATCAGTAGAGTTGATCAGATCCATAATGACCTGTGGAGTGAGAAACAGTGAAAATAACAACAAGAAAAAGCAAAAGAAAAGGTTAAATGTAAAAATTTAAAGAGTAATTTTTTACATAGTGATACTTCTAGTCCAAATGATAATATTTTAACAGCAGTAAGCAAAATATTTCTGCAAATCAAATATTTTTCTAAGGTCTATACTTTTATGTTTTAATGAGGAATTAAGATCAGATGAATCTGAGCATCAAAAATAGAAATATATGGATGAAATGAAATAAATGTGAAAAGAAGTAAATGTTGGGACATTTTGACAATTGTTCAATAATTAGGTAGTTAAAAATCTATTTTTTTTTTCTGAGATAGGATCTCACTCTGTCACCCAGGCTGGAGTGCAGTGGAGTGATTACAGCTCACTCAGCCTCAACCTCCTGGGCTCAAGGACTCCTCCTGCCTCAGCCTCCCAAGGAGTTGGGACTACAGGTGCACACTACCAGGCCGGATAATTTTTTTGTTTGTTTGTTTTGTAGAGATGGGGTCTCACTATGTTGCCCAGCCTGGTCTTGAACTTTTGGACTCAAGTGATTTTCCCGCTTGGCCTCGCAAAGTGTTGGGATGACAGGTGTGAGGCACTGCGTGTGGCCAAAAATCTTCTACTTGGACGTTAACCAGAAGTCTGACACTTTTTGATGGGCAAAACTTCTTGAATAAGGCAATGTAGAATGAGTCTTATTTGACTTGTGAGGGCAAAAGTAGCTAATGAAATGAATTTGAATAACAAAAATAATAGCAATGTTGCAAATTAGTAGTTATGGGTTTTATAATTAGATTTCTCTCATGAGCTAATTATATATAGTAAATACTATTGTCTAGTATTCTAATACTCAGCACATAACAGTAATAACTAATATTCATATGGGAGCTGTAAGCCACTGCAAGATTGTGAAGTACCTTCAGAATCATCAACAAAAGAGGGAAGTGTATTGTAAGATGTAGTAATTTTTTTTTTTTTTGAGTCAGAGTCTTGCTTTGTCACGCAGGCTGGAGTGCAGTAGCATGATCTTGGCTTACTGCAAACTCTGCTTCCTGGGTTCAAGCTATTCTCCTGTCTCAGCCTCCTGAGTAGCTGGGATTACAGACACTTGCCACCACGCCCGGTGAATTTTTGTATTTTTGGTAGAGAGAGGGTTTTGCCATGTTGGCCAGGCTGGTCTCAAACTCCTGACTTCAGGTAATCCATCCACCTTGGCCTCCTAAAGTGCTGGGATTACAGGCGTGAGCCACTGCGCCTGGCCAAATGTAGTAATATTAATAGTTCATTCTTGAGGAGGGGACAAAAAGGAGAAAAGTCACCAAACTCATATTTATCCAATATTTGTGGTATGCCAGGAACTTTCTATAAAAATCATTTCTGGCCGGGCGCGGTGGCTCATGCCTGTAATTCCAGCACTTTGGGAGGCCGAGGTGGGCGGATCACAAGGTCAGGAGATCGAGACCATCCTGGCCAACATGGTGAAACCCCGTCTCTACCAAAAATACAAAAATTAGCTGGGTGTGGTGGTGTGTGCTTGTAGTCCCAGCTACTCGGGAGGCTGAGGCAGGACAATCGCTTGAACCTGGGAGGCAGAGGTTGCAGTGAGCCGAACCGAGATGGTGCCCCTGCATTCCAGCCTGGTGACAGAGCGAGACTCTGTCTCAAAAAAAAAAAAAAAAAATTCTGTTTTTCCTTGCAAAGCCTGTGAAGCAAATCTTTGAACAGAGGGGAAAGTGAGGCTTCGTAGGGTTACATGTCTTATCCATCAATATTTCCCACCATGCCTCCATTGTACCAGGTGGGAAACTCTACTACTGTTTTATATTACTTCTTTGAAACTCAGTAATTCATATGTAGTGTTTTTAATAATGCTCAGATGATTTAGATAATCAGAGTGTTTGATTATCTAAAATATCCAATTTCTTGGATAATGGATCCCATGGTATCAAAAATATAAACCTGAGAATATTTTGGAAAATAGCTGTTATAACAGAGTCATATCAGCAAATTGGTTTTAGATAAATTGGATAAAGCAATGGAAATTACTAATGATGCTTTTTTCCTCACTAAACAAAAACATTCTAAGAATATATACAGAGAAGTAAGATAATTGCTATTTATTTTATTTTTGTTTATTTTTTAGAGACAGGGTCTCTCTCTGTCACCCAGGCTGGAGTGCAGTGGCACGATCCTAGCTCACTGCAGCGTGGAACTCCTGGGCTTCATCAATCCTCCCGCCTCAGCCTCCAGATAGCTGGGATCACAGGTGTGCAGCACCACATTTGGCTAATTTTAAAATTCTTTGTAGAGAAAAGGGTCTTGCTGTGATACCCAGGCTGGTCTTGAACTCCTGGCCTAAAGTGATCCTCCCACCTCAGCCTCCCAAAGTGCTAGGATTAGAGGCATGAGCTGCCGTGCCCAGCCATAATTGCTATTCAAAAATCACAACTTCCTAAGTTAATTCTGCCTTCTAAGGGAGTTGCAAAATTTTTCTCTAAAGTAGAAAAATGATTCTTCATGAAAATACCTTAGTAGTCTTCTTTGGGAATAAAAAGTGGAGTCTGAAGCATATGAAATGGACAGGCAATGGCAAATAAAAGAATGAGAACTTGAGAGAGAGGTTTTGTGAAGGCCCTGGGACCTTAAGAAGAGGGTGGAAGACGAGGATGATTTTAAGACAGGCAGCACAGAAAAAAACTCAGCAGGATGTTAGGAGCCCTACAGAGGAGAAAGGGTCAATGAAGTATTCTGAGAAGCAGAAATGACACAGGGGATTTAAAAATAGGAATGTCTAATAATTATAATCTATTTGCTATGCTTTGATATGGTATAGTGTCCCTTTTCCCCATTAACCCTCAGCTGTCTTGTGTTGGTGGTGGTTCTGGGGAATCAAAGTCTCTGTGGTGTTTTTATCCATGGAGTATGTGTAGAGGTGTGTCTGTGATCAGTGTATGTGTATCTCAGTGTATTTGTGTGATCTCTGTGTATGTATGTGTCTGTGGTCTTTGTATGTTTTTCTGTGGAATGTGTGTATGTGTAGTGTTTGTGTGTTTGTGTTGTATGCGTGTGGTCTCTTTATGTGTGTGCATATGAGAAACTAGATACCCGAATTATGGGAAAGATTTTTTTTTAATTGTGCATCTGAGCTCTAGAAGGACATCTGAAAGTAATGTAGAACATGGGCAAAATCATAGTAAAACTTTTCTGATCAATGTTGGTAGTGATTCTGAATATCATATAAAGTTTCCTAGGAATTCTGATTTATTGCACATAACCAGGAGATTTCTTCATCCTTAAACACCTTTAAAATGATGTTAAAGTACTTGAGAATAAATAAATGGGGCAGATCTCAGACTCTGGCATCCCACAGACCTGGGTTTGTATCCTACCTCTACCACTTACCAGCTCTGCAAGTTCAGATAACTTGTTGAGACTTTTTCTCCTGCTAAGCCCCTCAGTTTTTTTTTTTTTTTTTTTTTTTTTCAGATGGAGTCTTGCTCTGTCCCCCAGGCTGGAGTGCAATGGCGTGATCCTGGCTCACTGCAACCTCCGCCTCCTGGGTTCAAGTGATTCTCCTGCCTCAGCCTCCTCAGTAGCTGGGACTACAGGCACCTGCCACCATGCCTGGTTAAATTTTGTATTTTTAGTAGAGATGGGGTTTCACCATATTGGCCAGGCTGGTCTTGAACTCCTGACCTTGTGATCTGCCCGCCTCAGCCTCCCAAAGTGCTGGGATTACAGGCATGAGCCACCGTGCCCAGCCACAGGCGGCTTTCAGGAAGACCCCACCTCCACTTGGGAACACTGAGCTGCTGGCGCAGGGGAAGGCCACAGGAGCATCGGGAAGCTAATGTGCAATAAGCCTAGAGGGTCAATTCGGATGATAGCTCTAGGATAAACCTACTAGTCCAGAGAATCTTACCTCAGACCTGTATCTTCATGCCAGATTGGTCTTGAGCAGGCCAAAGTGACTCTACACCATCAATTTCTCACTAGGAACAGAGTGAACAAAATCAGTGACACTTTGCCTTCATTTCATATGTCTTTCTTCTTGCTGATGCTACTCCCCAAGCTTGAACTTGCTATTATTTAAATACTCAGTGAGGTCTTTTCCTCTTTTTGGTTCCTTTTTTTCTGTGGAATTTACTGCTATAGAGGTATAGAGAAATGAGTACTTCTTCAAATTATTTCTCCATTTTGAGGGGCATTAAAAAAAATCTGTAAGTGACCAAGTGCAGTGGCTCACACCTGTAGTCCCAGTGCTTTCTGAGGCCGAGGCAGGAGGACAACTTGAAGCCAGGAGTTAGAGACCAAAATAAAAAAAAAAAATAGCCGGGCCTGGTGGTGCACACCTGGCACACCTGTAGCACTAGCTACTCAGGAGGAGAGGCTGAGGCAGGAGGATCACTTGAGCCCGGGAGTTCGAGGCTGCAGTGTGCTATGATCATGGTGGTGAATAGCCACCACACTCCAGCCTGGGCAACAGAGTGAGACCCTGCCTCTCAAAAGAGAGAGAGAGAGAGAGAATGAATTGCATAAGCTAAGTCATTTCATTTAAAAGGTTAATAAACTTGTTTCGGGTGTTAATTCCCTTCTCGTATTGGGTCATCCCGCCAGGCACCCACTCTGCCTCAACTCTAGGGTGTTTATTAGCAGATGGATGGATGGTGTTGGGTACATAAGGAGGTGGTAAATATCAGGCAGAGACCAAAATAAACTCTGGAAATGAGCTATCTAATCTTTCTGGACAGAAAATAGTTAGAAGGAAAAACTTAAATACTGAGTTTCACATTAAAATGGAATTTATGAGGACAGGCCAGAGATTTATATTATTCAGTTTGGGTTGATGAAGACTGACAGGCAGAACAATCTGCATTTGTATGATGGTTGTAGAACGGTTGGAAAAAAACAGAATTGGTTACTACATCCTAGAAGATGATCTCATTATAAGGAATCTTCCAACACAGGTAATGCATTTATGAACCATTACTGACTGAGTTCTACATTTCCTATGTTCTTCTCTCTAATCTATCTCTGAAATTTTTTTTGGATCCCCTTCTGTGCTGACCTCAGTGTCCTGATTTTTTTCCTGCCTGCTTTCCTCTTCATCTCTTCATTACCAGTGGAGAAAATACATCAAAACCACTGTGCAGCGTTGGTGGTCAAGAGTTTAGGAATCAAAACCATTACCCAGTCTTTGTTAGACTTAGAATTTTAAAACTTTAACTGCTAGATTGTAGCCTTATTAAAAATAGGCTTAAATTTCAGTTCTTAATTCATTTGTGGCTGTGACCTTCAACCTAAGAACTGATCTTTGCAGGTTAAGGATAAATTTTCAAACCTGCTACTGTGTTTTAAAAGGGATTTTAAAAGGAATTTTGACAGGCTTTCATACCCTTGGGGTTAATTCACAGATTTGGAAGCAATCTGAGATATTATTTGGTCCAAACCCACTAATTCTGAAGATTAGCAAACTGAGACTCAGAGAGGTTAAATGAATTACAAAAGGTTTTCACCAAGAAAAGCTAAGGGCTCCTTCTTATGCTATCTTCTCAATTAAAAAAAGGAATTTGGGCCAGGCTTTTCCTCTTCTCCCCTCACTCTCTGTTTCTCAATTCTATAATTTCTAAAATTCATAAATAACAAATATATTAGGGACTAGTTCTTAACTTTTCTCCTCAAATATGTACTAGGGCTAGTACAACCATTAGATAGCCTAAAATTTGATTATTATATATCTCTCCTCAGAAATACCCTTAATAGTGAGTATTTTCCTCCCATAGGTGATTAAACCAATGATATTAACAATGTTAGGAAATACACAGAGTGTATTTGAGGAAGTAATTCTCTTCTGTGGCTTTAGTAATGTGGCTTCTTTCAGTTCACTTTTCATATTTCAAATCAAGTCAGATGATTTCAAAAAAGAACTTATGGAAATGGAAACAGTTTTATGTTGTTTTGATATAACCACTGTTTGAAGCAGAAATGCAGAAGCAGATGGTACTGCTGAACCAAATGTGTGAAAGGCTAGTAACTCATAGATGCATATAATTTTTAGAGTTGGAAGAGACCAAGGAGTTAAATTCATCTAACTCCCATTCTATAAGTATTTCAGATGACTGCAGTTGTGTAAGTTATTTATGAATATGATTTGTCTGCTTATAAATGTTGTGCCTGGATGACTGTCCTTAGTATACTTGTTTATGCTTGCAAAAATATGTATGTTATTATTGCCTATTTTATTGTGTAAAGTGGCCTATAAAGTGTTCTGTTGTTTTTGTTACTTTGTTTTGTTGTTGATGCTGTTTTTAAGAGACAATGTCTCTCTCTATCATCCAGGCTGGAGTGTGGTGGAGTGATCACGACTGACTGCAGTCTTGACCTCCCAGGCTTAAGTGATCTTCCCACTTCAGCCTCCCCAAGTCACTGGGACTACAGGCGTATGCCACTGCAGTGGGCTATTTTTTTATTTTTTGTAGAGACGAGGTTTCACTATCTTGCCCAGGCTGATATTGAACTCCTGGGCTCAAGTGATTCTCCTGCCTTGGCCTCCCGAAATGCTGGGATTATAGGCATGAGCCACTTCACCTGGCCAATATGTTTCTCAAATAAATCTTTTAAAAATGTAAATGCCTTTAAAGAACTTAAAAAATTTTTTTTAGAATTTTTTTTTTCAGAATTTTGATCTTTTAGGATTTCAACATTTGGGATTGTGGCCCAAACCCCTATAGGTAAGGGTTTAGCACAGTACCTGGCACATGATATGTATTAAATATATGATAGCTAATGCCAGGTGGGGTGTCAGAGCCTTGCCACAGAGAGTGATCGGCTTGAAGGTGGTAAAAAGAATTTACCAACAAAAGTATAGGTTTGAAAAGGAAAGTTGTATTAGATGGAAAGAACACTGTGGCAGAGTGCAATGGGCGGGCGCTTCGGCAAGAGAGGACTGAGGGAGCTGCAGTGGATTTTCCTTAGGGGTATTTATGGACCTTCAAGCAGGAGCTTAAGGATAATTTGGACCATATTAGTCACACAGGTAATGATAAATGATTACATTTGTAGACATTTTGGTGCTGTGACATCAGTAAGAATTGCACAGTGAGTTTTGACACGCATGCAGTCTGAAGATCTATAGAAATTCTAGTTACTTATAAGTTTTTGGGAAAGAAGCCTGGTACCAGATGCCAGCTTTAGATAGGAAGGACATCTAATTACTTCTGAATTCCTCAGATAAGGAGTTTTGCCTCCAGATGGTCTGCTTGCTGACCACCAGGTGATCTTTGCTCTCCTCAGCTAACATTAATATTATGTAAGTTGTAGTAGAGAACACCTGCAAGTCCAGTGGGCTGGAGCAAATCTCTGAGCAATGCAATTCAAGAAACATTCATTGAGTATCTATTGCATGTAAGACAGTATTTGAGACTGGGGAAAATAAAGTAAGTACTTCAAAATAATTGCCCTTAATGTTTGTAGTTATTAAAGGTGATACCTGAACTCAATAGCTTAGGGATGTTGGGGAGGGCATATTCTGGGTCTTGGAAACAGTATGCTTAAAGGCAAAGCTGAAGAGAGCAATGCTTCATTTTTCTGGCCTGGTTCTGTACTTTTCAAGGTCACTTCTCACCACCCTCCATATTCCAGCATAGTGACAGTGACAATGCAGGTGTCACTCCAGTGCTTTCTAGCCTGGCTGAAGTCACACTCACCTGGAAATCTTTAAAAACATACAAGGTGTTCCTGAGATTTCATTCATGCAATGTTTACCAAGTATTTATTGTATTTGAAGCACTATTCTTGCCACTGGGGAGAGACAGTGATAAGAGCTGTATTCTTATGGAGCTTACATTCTAGTGGGGAGAAGTGAGCATTAAACCAGTAAATAGAGGCAGATACGGTGGCTCATGCCTGTAATCCCAGCACTTTGGGGGCTGAGGAGGGTGGATCGCCTGAGGTCAGGAGTTCAAGACCAGCCTGGCCAACATAATGAAACCCCATCTTTACTAAAAATACAAAAAAAAAAAAAAAATTAACTGGGTGTTGTAATCCCAGCTACTCGAGAGGCTGAGGCAGGAGAATCGTTTGAACCCGTGAGGCAGAGGTTGCCATGAGCCGAGATCACGCCGTTGCCCTCCAGCCTGGGCAACAAGAGTGAAATTCCATCTCAAAAACAAAAAAACAAAACAAAACAAAAACAGTAAATAAACACAGAAAGAAGAGAAACATCAGCAAGCACTACAGTGCTATGCAGAATATTAAAACATAGAAATGTGAGATCATCATGGCAGATGGGAGACAGGACTAGATTGCAGCTCTAACTCGGACGGACAGAGCAGTGTGTGGAGGCTCACATCATGAATTTTAGCTCCAGAACGACTGCAGGAACAAAGCAGGAATCCCAAGAGGACCCACAGACCCTCTGAAGGAAGCAGACTGCTCCTGCAGGACCCAGGAGACACCCCAAATACTGTGAGTGCCCAAACTGCAGAAGTGGGAAAGGGAGACCCTCCTCTCCAGAACACACAACCCCACTAGGGAAAATGAACGTCTAGTTTGTGGGAAGTTTCACACCTTACCAGGAGCTGAGGCAATTTAGAGAGGCAAGTGAATTATGCAGCAGAGGAACAGGAAAGGTCCTGGGAACTTGCTGGGTCCCCAAGCAGGCCTTTCCTGCCTGGCCCCACAGGGATCCTTTTGGGAGGGCAGCCAGAGGTGTGGGGGAGTGGGGTGGGGGATGCCACAGGGAGAAGGAAGTCTCCAGCTAAACTTTGTAACAATTTGACCTGGGCAAGAAGCCTCCTGGCCAGAACTCTGGCGAGGGTGTGAATCCGGCATCCAGACTCCACAGGTGAGGGAGGAACCAAACCCTTTTCTTTTGCAGCTGGGAGGCGGGTAGCCTGGGGCAAGTTCTCAAGCCCTGCTTGCTCACTGCCTGGAAACAGACTCGTGGCTGTTAGGGATGGCACAGTGGGAATGAGAATGGCCCTTTGGATTGTGTGGGACCTGGGTGAGGCCTGTGACTGCCAGCTTTATCCCACTTCCCTGACAACCTGCATGACTCAGCAGAGGCAGCCATAATCCTTCTAGGTACACAACTCCATTGACCTGGGAACCTCGCCCCCATCTCCACAGCAGCTGCAGCAAGACCCACCCAAGCACCCAAGGAGAGTCTGAGGTCAGACGTGCCTTGTCCTGCCCCCCCCCATGGGCCTTTCCTACCCTCCCTGGTAGCTGAAGACAAAGGGAATATACTCTTGGGAGTTCTAGGACCCCACTCACTGCTGGTTCCTCTTCATATTACCACAGCTGATGCTCTCTGGAAAGCACCACCTTCCAGCCGGAGACCAACCAGCACAAAAATAGAACATTGAATGCAAATGGCCTAAACTCTCCACTTAAAAGATACAGAACTACAGAATGGATAAGAAAGAACTCACCAACCATCTGCTGCCTTCAGGAGACTCACCTAACACATAAGGACGCACATAAACTTAAGTAAAGGGGTGGAAAAAGGCATTGCATGCAAATGGACACCAAAAGCAAGCAGGGCTAGCTATTCTTATGTCAGAAAAAACAAACTTTAAAGCAACATCAGTTAAAAGAGACAAAGAGGGACGTTATATAATGGTAAAAGGCCTTGTCCAACAGGAAAATATCACAATCCTAAACATATATGCACCTAACAATGGAGCTCCCAAATTTATAAAACAATTACTAATAGACTTAAGAAATGAGATAGGCAGCAATACAATAACAGTGGGGGACTTCAATACTCCACTAACAGCACTAGACAGGTTACCAAGACAGAAAGTTGACAAGGAAACATTGGATTTAAACTATACCTTGGAACAAATGGACTTAACAGCTATGTACAGAACATTTCATCCAACAACTGCAGAATACACATTCCATTCAACAGTGCATGGAACTTTCTCCAGGATAGGCCATATGATAGGCCATAAAACAAGACTCAATAAATTTAAGAAAATTGAAATTATAGCAAGCACTCTCTCAGACCACAGTGGAATAAAACTGAAAATCAACCAGAAATAAACTTCAAAACCATGCAAATACATGGAAATTAAATAACCGGCTCCTCAATGAGCATTGGGTCAAAAACGAAATCAAAATGGAAATTAAAAAGTTCTTTGAGGAGCCAAATCAAGATGGCCAAATACGAACAGCTCCCATCTGCAGCTCCTAGCAAGACCAACATAGAAGGCAGGTGACTTCTGTATTTCCAACTGAGGTACCCAGTTCATCTCATTCAGACTGATTAGGCAATGGGTGCAGCCCACAGAGGGCAAGCAAGAGCAGGTGGGGCATCGCCTCACCTGGGAAGTGCAAGAGGCTGGGGACCTCCCTCTCCTAGCCAAGGGAAGCCATGAGGGACTGTGCTGTTTGACCCAGATACTATGCTTCTCCCACACTTTTTGCAACCCCCAGACCAGGAGATTCCCTTGTATGCCTGCACCATCAGGGGCCTGGGTTTCAAGTACAAAACTAGGCAGCTGTTTTGGCAGACACCGAGCTAGCTGCAGGAAGTTTTTTTTCATACCCCAATGGCGCCTGGAACCCCAGCAAGACAGAACTGTTCACTCTTCTGGAAAGGGGGCTGAAGCCAGGGAGCCAAGTGGTCTCACTCAGCAGTTCACACTCCCACAGAGCCCAGTAAGCTAAGAACCACTGGCGTGATATGCTTGCTGCCAGCACAGCAGTCTGAAGTTGACCGGGGATGATGGAGCTTGGTGGGGGGAGGGACGTCCACCATCACTGAGGCTTGGGTAGGCAGTTTTCCCCTCACAGTGTTAAGGAAACTGCCAGAAGTTTGGACTGTGCAGAATTCACCACAGCGTGGCAAAGTGGCTGTGGCCAGACTGCCTCTCTAGGTTCCTTCTCCCTGGGGAGGGCATCTCTGAAAGAAAGGCAGCAGCCCCAGTCAGGGGCTTAAAGATAAAACTCCCACCTCCCTGGGACAGAAGGGGTGGCTGTGGTTGCAGCTTCAGCAGACTAAAACGTTCCTGCCTGCCAGCTCTGAAGAGAGCAGTGGATCTTCCAGCACAGTGCTCGAATTATGCTAAGGGACAGACTGCCTCCTCAAGTGGCTCCCTGCCTCCTGTGCCTCCTGACTGGGAAACACCTCCCAGCAGGAGTTGGCAAACACCTCATACAGGAGAGCTCTGGCTGGCATTAGGCAGGTGCCCCTCTGGGAAGAAGCTTCCAGAGGAAGGAGCAGGCAGCAGTCTTTGCTGTTCTGCAGCCTCCACTGGTGATACTCAGGCAAACAGGGTCTGGAGTGGACCTCCAGCAAACTCCAGCAGACCTGCAGAAGAGGGGCCTGACTGTTAGAAGGAAAACTAACAGACAGAAAGCAATAACATCAACATCAACAAAAAGGACACCCACACAAAAACACCATCCAAAGACCATCAGCATCAAAGATTAAAGGTAGATAAATCCACAAATATGAGGAAAACCCAGCACAAAAATGCTGAAAATTCCATAAACCAGAATGCTTCTTCTCCTCCAAATGATAGCAACTCCTCTCCAGCAAGGGCACAAAATGGGACGGAGAATGAGTTTGACAAATTGGCAGAAGTAGGCTTCAGAAGGTGGGTAATAACAAACTCCTCTGAGCTAAAAGAGCATGTTCTAACCCAATGCAAGGAAACTAAGAGCCTTGATAAAAGATTACAAGAACTGCTAACTAGAAAAGCCAGTTTTGGCAGACACCGAGCTCGCTGCAGGAAGTTTTTTTTCATACCCCAATGGCGCCTGGAACCCCAGCAAGACAGAACTGTTCACTCTTCTGGAAAGCAGGCTGAAGCCAGGGAGCCAAGTGGTCTCACTCACATAAATGAACTGATGGAACTGAGAAACACAGCAAGAGAAATTCGTGAAGCATACACAGGTATCAATAGCCGAACTGATCAAGCGGAAGAAAGGATATCAGAGATTGAAGATCAACTTAATGAAATAAAGCGTGAAAACAAGATTAGAGAAAAAAGAATGAAAAGGAATGAACAAAGCCTCCAGGTAATATGGGACTATGTGAAAAGACCAAACCTATGATTGATTAGTATACCTGAAAGTGACGGGGAGAATGGAACCAAGTTGGAAAACACTCTTCAGGATATTATCCAGGAGAACATCCCCAACCTAGCAAGACAGGCCAACATTCAAATAAAGGAAATGCAGAGAACACCACTGAGATACTCCTTGAGAAGAGCAACCCCAAGACACATAATCTTCAGATTCTCCAAGGTTGAAATGAAGGAAAAAATGCTAAGAGCAGCCAGAGAGAAAGGTCAGGTCACCTACAAAGGGAAGCCCATCAGACTAACAGCAGATCTCTCTGCAGAAACCCTACAAGCCAGAAGAGTGGGGGCCAATATTCAACATTCTTAAAGAAGAGAATTTTCAACCCAGAATTTCATATCCAGCCAAACTAAGCTTTATAAGCAAAGGAGAAATAAAATCCTTTACAGATAAGCAAATGCTGAGGGATTTTGTTACCACCAGGCCTGCCTTACAAGAGCTCCTGAAGGAAGCACTAACTATGGAAAGGAAAAACCAGTCCCAGCCACTGCAAAAACACACCAAAACATAAAGACCAATGACACTATGAAGAAACTGCATCAACTATTGTGCAAAATAACTAGCTAGCATCATGATGAAAGGATCAAATTCACATATAACAATATTAACCTTAAATGTAGATGGGAAAAATGCCCCAATTAAAAGACACAGACTGGCAAATTGGATAAAGAGTCAAGACCCATCAGTGTGCTGTATTCAGGAGACCCATCTCATGTGCAAAGACACAACATAGGCTCAAAATAAAGGGATGGAGGAATATTTACCAAGCAAATGGAAAAAAAAAAAAAAGCAGGGGTTGCAATCCTAGTCTCTGATAAAATAGACTTTAAACCAAAAAAGATCAAAAAAGACAAAGAAGGGCATTACATAATGATAAAAGGATCAATGCAACAAGAAGAGCTAACTATCCTAAATGTATATGCATGCAATACAGGAGCACCCAGATTCATAAAGCAAGCTCTTAGAGACCTACAAAGAGACTTCGACTCCCACACAATAATAGTGGGAAATTTTAACATCCCACTGTCAGTATTAGACAGATCAATGAGGCAGAAAATTAACAAGGATATGCAGCACTTGAACTCAGCTCTGGAGCAAGTGGACCTAATAGATGTCTACAGAATTCTCCACCCCAAAACAACAGAATATACATTATTCTCAGTGCCACATAGCACTTATTCTAAAATTGACCACATAATTAGAAGTAAAACACTCCTCAGCAAATCCAAATGAATGGAAATCATAACAAACAGTCTCTCAGACCACAGTGCAATCAAATTAGAACTCAGGATTAAGAAACTCACTCAAAACTCCACAACTACATGGAAACTGAACAACCTGCTCCTGAATGACTACTGGGTAAATAACAAAATTAAGGCAGAAATAAATAAATAATTTGAAACCAATGAGAACAAAGACACAATGTACCAGAATCTCTGGGACACAGCTACAGCAGTGTTAAGAGGGAAATTTATAGCACTAAATGCCCACATCAGAAAGCGGGAAAGATCTAAAATTGACACCCTCATATCACAATTAAGAGAACTAGAGAAGCAAGAGCAAACAAATTCAAAAGTTAGCAGAAGACAAGAAATAACTAAAATCAGAGCAGAACTGAAGGAAATAGAGACACAAAAAACCCTTAAAAAAATCAATGAATCCAGGAACTGGTTTTTGAAAAGGTTAACAAAATAGATAGACTGCTAGCCAGACTATTAAAGAAGAAAAGAGAGAAGAATCAAATACACACAATAAAAAATGATAAAGGGTATATCACCACTGATCTCACAGAAATAAAAACTACCATCAGAGAATACTATAAACACCTCTATGCAAATAAACTAGAAAATCTAAAAGAAATGGATAAATTCCTGGACACATACACCCTCCCAAGAATTAACAAGGAAGAAGTTGAATCCCTGAATAGACCAATAACAAGTTCTGAAATTGAGGCAGTAATTAATAGCCTACCAACCAAAAAAAAGCCCAGGACCAGATGGATTTACAGCTGAATTCTACCAGAGGTACAAAGAGGAGCTGGTACCATTCCTTCTGAAACCATTCCAAACAACAGAAAAAGACGGACTCCTCCCTAACTCATTTTTATGAGGCCAGATACTAAAACCTGGCAGAGACATAACAACAAAAAAAAATTTCAGGCCAATATCCCTGATGAACATTGACGCGAAAATCCTCAATACAGTACTGGCAAACCAAATCCAGCAGCACATCGAAAGCTTATTCATCACAATCAAGTTGGCTTCATCCCTGGGATGCAGGGCTGGTTCAACATATGCAAATCAATAAACATAATCAGTCACATAAACAGAACTAATGATAAAAACCACATGATTATTTCACTAGATGCAGAAAAGGCCATCAATAAAATTCAACACCCCTCCTTGCCAAAAATACTCAATAAACAAGGTATTGATGGAACGCATCTCAAAATAATAAGAGCTATATATGACAAACTCATAGCCAATATCATACTGAAAGGGCAAAATCTGGAAGCATTCCCTTTGAAAACTGGCCCAAGGCAAGGATGCCCTCTCTCACCACTCCTATTCAACATAGTATTGGAAGTTGTGGCCAGGGTAATTAGGCAAGAGAAAGAAATAAAGGGTATTCATACAGGAAGAGGGGAAGTCAAATTGTCTCTATTTGCAGATGACATGATTGTATATTTAGATAACCCCATCATCTCAGCCCAAAAACTCCTTAAGCAACTTCAGCAAAGTCTTAGGATACAAAATCAATGTGCAAAAACCACAAGCATTCCTAGACACCAATAATAGAGAGCCAAATCATGAGTGAACTCCCATTCACAATTGCTACAAAGAACATAAAATACCTAGGAATACAACTTACAAGGGACATAAAGGACCTCTTCAAGTAAAACTACAAACCACTGCTCAAGGAAATAAGAGAGGATACAAATGGAAAAACATTCCATGTTCATGGATAGGAAGAATCAATATAGTGAAAATGGCCCTACTGCCCAAAGTAATTTATAGATTCAATGCTATTCCCATCAAGCTACCATTGACTTTCTTCACAGAATTAGAAAAAACTACTTTAAATTTCATATGGAACCAAAAAAGAGCCCACATAGCCAAGACAATTCTAAGCAAAAAGAACAAAGCTGGAGATACTATGCTACCTGACTTCAAACTATACTACAAGGCTACTGTAACCAAAACAGCATGGTACTGGTACCAAAAGAGATATATAGACCAATGGAACAGGACCAAGACCTCAGAAATAACACCATGCATCTACAACCATCTGATCTTCGACAAACCTGACAAAAACAAGAAATGGGAAAAGGATTCCCTATTTAATAAATGGTGCTGGAAAAACTGGCTAGACATATGCAGAATGAAACTGTACCCCTTCCTTACACCTTATACAAAAATTAACTCACAATGGATTAAAGCCTTAAATGTAAAACCTAAAACCATAAAAACTCTAGAAGAAAACCTAGGCAATACCATTCAGGACATAGGCAAGGGCAAAGACTTCATGACTAAAACACCAAAAGCAATGTGGCAACAAAAGCCAAAATTGACAAATGGCATCTAATTAAACTAAAGAGCTTCTGCACAGCAAAAGAAACTATCATCAGAGTGAACAGCAACCTATGGAATGGGAGAGAAATTTTGCAATGTATCCATCTGACAAAGGTCTAACATCCAGAGTCTACAAGGAACTTAAACAAATTTACAAGAAAAAACAACCCCATCAAAAAATAGGCAAAGGATATGAACAGACACTTCTCAACAGAAGACATTTATGTGGCCAACAAACATATGAAAAAAAGCTCACATCACTGGTCATTAGAGAAACGCAAATCAAAACCACAATGGGATACCATTTCATGTCAGAATGGTGATCATTAAAAAGTCAGGAAACAACAGATGCTGGAGAGGATGTGGCGAAATAGGAACACTTTTACACTGTTGGTGGGAGTGTAAATTAGTTCAACCATTGTGGAAGACAGTGTGGTGATTCCTGAAGGATCTAGAACCAGAAATACCATTTGACCCAGCCATCCCATTACTGGGTATATACCCAAAGGATTATAAATCATTCTACTATAAAGACACATGCACACATATGTTTATTACAGCACTATTCACAATAGCAAAGACTTGGAACTAACCCAAATGTCCATCAATGATAGACTGGATAAAGAAAATGTGGCACATATATGCCATGGAATACTATAGAGCCATAAAAAAGGATGAGTTCATGTCCTTTGCAGGGACATGGAGGAAGCTGGGAACCATCATTCTCAGCAAACTAACACAGGAACAGAAAATCAAACACTGCATGTTCTGACTCATAAGTGGGAGATGAACAATGAGAATACATGGACACACGGAGGGGAACATCACATGCCGGGGCCTGTCGGTGGGTGGGGGAGTAGTGGAAGGATAGCATTAGGAGAAATACCTAATGTAGATGACGGGTTGATGGGTGCAGCAAACCACTATGGCACGTGTATACCTATGTAACAAACCTGCACATTCTGCACGTGTCCCAGAACTTAAAGTATTTAAAAAAAAAAAAAAGGAAATAGGAATTCAGCTTTGTTCAGGAGGCTCTTTCCTGGGATCTGCTCCCAGCAGGTGACCTTACTGGATATGATCCACCACATTGGGCTCCATATCCTCTCCATGTCTGGACAGGATTCCCAGAACTGCAGGCAGGATATACCTGGAGGAGAGGCAGAAGGTGAGGCTGGGAAGTTGGCCTAGATCTTGAAAGTACTTGGATTCAGGATCAGTCTCAGGAGATAGGGTTGGACTGTGGAGCACAAGAGGAGAATATCAGTTTTGTGCAGGAGCAAAAGAGTTAAGACTTTGGATAGATTTTCTTTTTTGCCAATTCAGACTCGAGGTAATCTGCTGAGAGTAAACAGACACAGGATGTTGGAGAGCAATGAAGATTTACAATTTCCTAGGAAAGTAATGAGATATTAAAAATGATTGAGTGGTATTAAGCCTCTGTTTGAGATTAGGGACCAAGTGGTCCCTATCCTGAGAAGGCGGAAAATACCTCATCAGGAAAATTTTAAATTCTGACCTGCTCATTCTGTTGCATTTGCTTCTAGCCTGTATGTAGGGGCAGAAGGAGATGGCAAAATATTCAGGGCAGATGGCTTCTAAGCTAATACTACCAAGGGAGGAGGCCAGCTGACTTGAGAGTGCCAGTCAGAGAGTAGTAAAAGTGGTGTTGCTGGGGGTTTAGGTGAAATATGGAGTGTGCAAAGCCATCATGAGCTTGCCAGATGGTGAGAAAATGAGAGCTTGAGAGACTGGAGGTCTTAGTGCAGGCAGAGTAGTAGTGTTTGGATAAACATAGAAAACTATGGTCAGGTGTGGGATGTTGGAATTTAAAAATTTTGAGGTTTAGCAGTTCTGAGTGATGGCAAATTATCTAGAATGTGGCAAAGAAACTTGGGCAGTAAAGCAGTCATTGGAATTGATATCAAGAAACTTGAATCTGAGGTTATTAGATAGTCTTAGTCTAAGAGTGGTGGAAAATCACTGAAAAGTTGTAAGTAAGAAGTGATACGGTCACAGCGATTGTTTAAAAAGATAGCCCAGTTTTTGAGGTTGAGGATGGATTAGTGAGAGGTGAGAGTGGAAGTGGGAAGACCAATTATGTTAGTTTGGGTTCTTCACAAGCAGACCCCAAGACAAGGATTCTCAGCAAGTAGCTTATTTGCTAAATAAATGATTCCAGGAAATCCAATAAGTGGTGGGGAAGAGAGAGGGAAAGGCAGGAGCAACAAAGGGTGAATTATTAAACAGTTTACAGCTGCAGGTAACTAAAGCTGAATCCCAGCAAGGAAGAGAAACACCGGGTGTAGAACACATACTGCTGGCTTACCTCACCTGCAGTGTGAAGGCGTGAAGGGCTGGGGTATATACACATCAGCTCCTGTCAGTTACTGTTTGAGGAAGCTCCCAGTGGGTAATTTCTTGGTACTTCCTCTGCCACACACATGAGCCTAGTGGGATCTTGTGGCCAGAGAAACTTTTGGGCAAAGAAAAAAAAAAGGTAGATTCCAGCAGATGAAGGAAGTCTGGCCAGCAAGGACTGAGATGGTAAAGGCAACCAGTCATGAATGGGCATCAAAAAGGATGTGTTGCATCTGTTTGAAGGCTATTATGTTAATATTAGTACAGACAAGGGAAGAGGTAGCTTGGAAGACAGTTGTGAAAGGATTTAACAGGTGCATAAATGCTACTTTTGGGAACATTACTTTTATATTCTCCATTTTGTTAACCATGCTTGTAAGAGTGCTACATTTTTGTTCCTCTTTTAAAGTAAAGTGCAAGCCCAAGATATTCCAAGTAGATAGGAATAAAGTCTGATACTGTTACTCCTGACTCAGGTGAAAAGTGAAGGCAGTGTTGTCCAATAGAAATACTGTGTGAGCCACATGAAAAATTCTTTAGAAGCTACATGTAAAAAGCAGATAGAATTAATTTTAATAGTACATATTTTTTTACTGCTATAATCAAATATATCAAAATATTACCATTTCAGCATGTAATCATACAAAAAATATTGATGAGGTATTTTACGTCCTTCTTGGTGCTAAGGCTTTAAAATCTGATGTGTATTTTACACTTAGAGTATACATCAGTTTCAGTAAGTCACACTCAAGTGCCCAATAGCCACCATAGAGTGCAGGTCTAAGGGATGGTTTGTTTAAGAGATGTATTCTTATTTCACAGTGTATTATAAATAGCCGCTACCTAGTAGAAGGAAAATAGTTTGCATTTAAGTATTGAATGTTAAAGCTAAAATGGAAGAAGCAATATTAGTATAGTTTTGACTTTCTAAAGAGGAGTTTCCTAATCATGGTATTTACTTTGACACTGCCAAATCAAGTGGAAGATATAATTTGTAAGCTTAGTGTGGGTTTCTCCTAGTGACAACTAGATGACTAGAATGACAACTTTCTTAACAAACTGTTTTGACCTTAAATAACGAGTGGCCAGGTGCAGTGGCTCACACTTATAATCCCAGCACTTTGGAAGGCTGAGGCATGAGGATTGCTTGAACCTAAGAGTTTGAGACCAGCCTGAGCAACATAGTGAGACCCTATCTCTAAACAAAACAAACCAAAACAAGCAAACAAACAAAAAAACAAAATTAGTAGGCCGTCTTCCTGAAAATAAGCATTTCTTACTGTTTGCCAGTTGGACAGGAAGTATTCTTTAAGTTTTTGACATCAGAATCAGCCTTTTTTATGGCTCACTTCACATTCATGTCTTTCAGGCAGTATCCCAGTGTTATCTCTTCCTTTCCTTATTTCAAAACACAATTGGCAGAAGGAATGCAGAGCTCCTTGTCATATGAATCGCATGTCCCTTTCTTTCTCCGTCTTCATGATGGAAGTGAGAAATTTCTATGGCTAGGTAAGTGAAATAACTTAAGACAATATAATACAATGGTCTTTGAGATTATGATTTAATTATCAAGGGTCCAGAGCTATTCAGATGAATGAGATCAAATATTTAAAAATACTCCTATACTTAACAAAAATTTCATCCTCTAAGATATCTTTATGACAGCCACGGTCAAATGTGGCTCATTTATGTTTTTCTCCTAATTTGGGCATAGGGACAGCATAAAAACTAAGGCAACTCAGGCCGACTGTGGCTTAACCAAGGTAAGGAGTCTTTATGGCCATACCCAATTTAGGCATAAAATGTTCACTACTGGCTACCAGAATCTCATTTTTATGAGACCTTTAAGGAGTGTGGGGTGGGTTTCCTTATTTTATAAATAAAGCATTCTTCTGAGGAAGTCTAGTCACTGCTTCAAGATTGACTAAGAAAGTAACCTAGCAAAGTACAAAATAGCTTTGGAGCTTTGGCTTCAGAAATACTTGGATTTAAATCTTGGCTTTACTATTTTTATAAGATATGGCCTCAGTCCTACTAGATTCCGTGTTTCAGATATTCCCTATTTATCATAAAGAGATTTTTAAAAAGTGCTTGACTCACTAGATATTTTGCTGTGGTATATAAATCTAAATATGTATGTATATTTCTATAAAAATGGGCCGACTCTATGTATTCTGTTTGGTAACCTTTTCCATTTAATATGTTTTAAATGTTTTCTGGCCTGGCACAGTGGCTCATGCCTGTGATCCCAGCACTTTGGGAAGCCAAGGCGGCAGGATTGGTTGAGCCCAGGAGTTCGAGACCAGCCTGGGCAATTTATCGAGAACACATCTCTACAAAAATTTAAAAAATTAGCCAGTCATGGTGGCATGCATTGGTGGTCCCAGCTACTTGGGAGGCTAAAGTGGGATGATTGCTTGAACCCAGTAGGTCAAGGCTGCAGTGCGCTATGATTGCATCACTGCACTCCAGCCTGGGCAAGACCCTGTCTCAAAAAAAAAATTGTTTTAAATGTTCTCCATATCAGTAAACTAATATGTTAACAAACACACATCTGTATTATCTTTTTTTTTTTTTTTTTTTTGAGACAGGGTTTTGTTCTGTGGCTCAGGCTGTAGTGCAGTGGCATGATCATGGTTCACTGCAGCCTCAACCTCCTGGCTCAAGTGAACTTCCCACCTCAGCCTCCCGAGTAGCTGGGACCATAGGCATGTGCCACCATGCCTGGCTAATTCTTTGGTATTTTTTTCATAGAGATGGGGTTTCGCCATGTTGCCCAGTCTGGCCTCAAACTCCTGAGCTTAAACAATCTGCCTACCTCAGCTTCCTGAAATGCTGGGATTAAAAGCATGAGCCACCACACCCAGCCTGTATTGTCATTTTAATGGTTGCCTAATATTCCATTGCAAGTTATTCTGGGGATTAAAGAGACAAAACATATGAATATAACTGGCATCTAGTAATTGTTAAAACTATAAAGAGAAATGGTGCTGAAATTCATATTTCATAGAGTCAACCTGCTGGTTGACCTTTTCACACCTATCTTTGCTAGCCAGCCATTATCTTGCATGCAGGCAGTCTCCTCCTGCCTTAAAGCAAGACCTCCAAGACCTCTGCAGGAATTGCTTCATACATCAGGACCAGGAATCCTGTGTCTCAGTCACTGTAGGCACCAGAAAGAAGATGGCTCAGGGACCTGGATAGAAGATGTAGGTCACAAAGATTTTCTCTCATGGCAAATAATAGAATATTGCAGCTCCTTAGAGAAATAAAAGATATACTGCCCTGTTTCAAGATCTAGGCCATACCAAAGGAAAGAAAAACTTTTGAGAGATGGTTTTTCAGAACAGAGAGTTAACTTCTGTCTCTGTGAAGTCTTTCATTTCTAGCACCCTGGAGGTGTTTGTTCCCTTCCTTTTGGAATAAAACTCAGCTAATGACCTCTCACTTTAGTGAGATTATCAGAACTTGCAGAACATTCCAGATTCCTATTTGAAAATATGTGTTCCTCTTACTACATTCCTAGCCTTAAAATATCCTCTTTAACATTCCAAGAATTATTTTTGTAGATGATCTTGGCTGCAGTTCAAAATACTGTAGTGTTTGCTAGGCTAGTTCATAGTCCCTCTCTGAATACCATTTTACAGAAGTGTTCTCAGCTAGTCTGTGATACAGGCTATCTCCGGAGCTCAGCTTGCATGATCCCTCTGGTCATATGGGACAGGGTGTAAGAGAGGAATGTTGAGGTCTATTAGCCATTCTTCCTTTTTACTACATCTCCTGGGAAGCTATAGGTGCCAGTGAAAATAGAGTCTGCGGGGAAGGATAGCTGCATATTAGGCATCTTATGATGCTGTCCCAGGAGCTTCTCCAACTAAGCCAATTGATGTCTCAATTTCTCAACAGAAGTAGCTGTAGATAGTGAAAGAAAGAGAGCATCAGTCTTATGGCCAATGAATGCTGTTGAAGTCCTGCTATGTGCCAAATACTGTGCTGCCATTGTAAATAGAAAAATAAACCAGGCAGTAGTGATTCAGCTATTGTGGAGCTTCTTAATTAATAGAAAAACCAGTAGGTATGAGGCAAATAATGACAACTGTGTTTAGTGATAGAAACAAAGAGGAGATTGACCTAGACTAGGGAGTCAGGGAGATTTTCTTAAGGAAGTGACTCTGAGCTGAGACTTGAATTTAGGTGGGTAACAAAGATGGGGGACTGGTACTTCCAGCAAAGGAAGCACCTTGTGAGAAGGCCCCAGGTATGTTTGAGAACTGGGAGAAGTTCAGCACAGCTAGGGGCAGAGAGCTAGGGAAAGGAATGAGGCAAGAGATGTGCATAGGACCAAATCATCTAGAGCTTTATAGTCATATTAATTCCTTTGCATTTTATTTTAAGGGTGATGGGAAGGGGGAAGACAACATATGTATTAATTTTTTAGGGCTGCCAAAATGCCATGGACTGGTTGGCTTAAACAACAGAAATTTATTTTCCCACAGTTCTGGAGGCTGGAAGTCCAATATCAAGATGTTGCAGGCTTGGTTTCTTTGGAGGTCTCTCTCCTTAGCTTGCAGATGGCCTCCCTCTTACTGCCTCTTTATATGGTCTTTTCTCTGTGTGTGTGAGCCCCTCACGTCTCTTTCTTCTTCTTATAAGGATTTCTTCTTAGAAGGACACCGCTCAGATTGGATTGAGATCCCTCCATGATCTCATTTTAACTTAGTCACCTCTTTAAAGGCCTTGTCTCTAAATACAGTCATATTCTGAGATACTGGGCTTTAACATACAAATTTTATGGAAACATAATTCAGCCATAACACCATACATGTGGCAGTAGTATAGAGAATTAATTGGAGAGGGGCAATTATGCAGACCCATAGGAGTCTTGTGAGAGATGATAGCTACCCCATCAGGGTGTGTGCCATGAGGAAAGAGCAAAGGCAGAGTTTGAGAAACATTTCCATGGAGGACTGATGGCATATGGCAGTGACGTAGAGGGAGGAGCCAAAGATGCCTCCTAAATTTTTGGTTTTTGCATCTGGTTAGTGGTGTGGTTTGTTTAAAGAACAATGGAGAAAGAGAAACAATGGTTTTGGGGGGAAGATGATGGTTTTATTTCTGCTGATGTTGAGTGGTTGATGAGTAGGTTGTTTACTGGAGGAGAAATCAGCCTCTGCAACACACAGAGCTGGGATCATACGGCTCAGCCTCTATAACAGACAAAGTTGCTTGTCGCCTAGCCCTTACGTTTTACTTTTCATGGAAAAAAAACGTGTAGCCCTTTTCAAAAACATGCTCTTGATATCCTTAGAAATTCAAAATTTGTTAAACTAGGGTTCCAAGTTAACACTTTTATAGTTAACGTTGTGGAAGATTTAACATTTTTTCATAGTCAGCTTGACTTGTGACTATTATAATGTGCCTAAAGAAATTGCCTGTTACTGGGTAGGGAACAAGATGACTGAGGTACAAGGTTGGAAAGACAGACTACCCGTTTTGAATTTTTTTCTTTTTTCTTTTTTTTCTTTTGAGACAGAGTTTTGCTCTTGTTGCCCAGGCTGGAGTACAATGGCGTGATCTTGGCTCACTGCAACCTCCACCTCCTGGGTTCAAGCAATTCCCCTGCCTCAGCCTCCTGAGTAGCTGGGATTACAGGCGCCTGCCACCACGCCCGGCTAATTTTTGTATTTTTAGTAGAAATGGGGTTTTACCACGTTGGTCAGGCTGGTCTCGAACTCCTGACTTAAGGTGATCTGCCCACCCTGGCCTCCCAAATTGCTTGGGTTACAGGCATGAGCCACCTCGCCCGGCTTGAATGTTTTATCAGGTGTAAGTATAACCTGATTTAAAAAATAAATACTACAATTAAAAAAAATTTTATAATATTTATTTTATTCTCATGATTTTAAAATTTAAATTTTCAGAGCCTGTGGTCAAACATTAGCCACTGATAAAATGGCAACAGGTAACAAATCATATAAGAATATGTTTTCATTGTTCTTACTCTTGATATTCTTAAATCGATATTACTCCTAACTAGTTTGATTTTTAAATACATCTACCTACTTGCTCAACACCAAAATAAGAGTTCAAAAAAAAAAAAGAAAAAGAAAAAGAAATTGCCTGTTATCCTTACCCTGTTTGTGAGGATAAAACCACTCTTTTATTTCCTTTTCTGCATGCTAAGTCTTAGTAAAGAATGCGATCTTGCTCTAAAAACGAAGTCTGTAAAACTCTGACGTATGTGGTAAAAAAGGAGTCTTTCTATAGCAGCAGAGTCCCAGGGAGTAGAGTTGTGTGGGAGTTGGTGGCCCTCTCAGTGAGAGTGAGACTGTCAATGATAGATGGGGAGCAGAAAAGCAGGGTCAGGAAGCAGAATGTGCTGTAGCCCAAGTGCTGGGTCATGGTCAGTGGTGTTCTTGTGTGCCCTGGGATACTTGGAGGCAGGCTGCAGCTAGGTCAGAGGTGGGTCAGGAAAGAGCTGAGTTATTTCTGGAAAAGACCGAAGTTTTCCTTGAGTCCCCTGCCCCACGTTGCCTCAAAGGTCAAGGAGGTGATGCTACCTTGCTAAGAAGTAGCTGTAAGGCAGCCTGGGTGACAAGGCAAAATCCTGTCTCTACAAAAGATAAAAAAAATTACCTGGGCTTGGTGGTGCACACCTCTAGACCCAGATACTTGAGAGGCTGAGGTGGGAGGTTGAGGCTGCAGTGAGCCGAGATTACACTACTGCACTGCAGCCTGGGCAACAGAGTGAGACTCTGTCTCAAAAAAAAAAAAAAAAAAAAAAAAAGTAGCCATAAGGAGAGGAGTTAGAATGACTAGCTGTCCTGGTTTGTCTGGATCTGGGGCTGAGGGGTTCCTGGAATATGGGGCTTTTGGTTTTAAAACTGGGTTTCGCCATGTTGGCCAGGCTGGCTCGAACTCCTGACCTCAGGTGATCCACCCACTTCGGCGTCCTAAAGTGCTGGGATTACAGGCGTGAGCCACTGTGCCCGGCCTGAAATTTATTTCTAATTAAACAAGTTTTCCATAATATTTTATGAGCAAGAAAATAAAAATTGAAAGTGGAACATTACATAAGAGCAAACAGCCAATGAAAATTAAATGGAGGGTGGAGGGGGGAAGCATTGTCCAATTAGGGAAACTTTTTTTTTTCTTTATTTTAAAAATAAAGACACACACCTATGAAGGAAACATATTTTTTTTCCTTTTTTTTTTTGAGACAGGGTCTCACTCTGTCACCTAGGCTGCAGTGCAGTGGCTCGATCTTGGCTCATTGTAACCTCTAACTCCTGGATTTAAGTGATTCTCATGCCTCAGCAACATGGTGAGACCTTATCTCTACAAAAAATGCAAAAATTAGCCGCCGTGGTGGCGTGCATCTGTGGTTCAAACTACTTGGGAGACTGAGGTGGGGGGATCACTTGAGCCCCAGAGGTGGAGGTTGCAGTGAGCCCAGACCACGCTACTGCAACCTAGCGTGGGTGACAAAGCAAGACTGTCTCAAAAAAAAAAAGTAATGCACACATTGGAATAATATGCAATCCTTTTTTAAAAGGTAGCAGATTGATTGTTCTGATATGTGAAAATGCCCAACACACACTTAAATGTTTTTTGTTGTTGTTTTAGTTTTTTTTGAAACGGACTTTCGCTATGTTGCTTAGGCTGGAGTGCAGTGGCACAATCTCAGCTCACTGCAACCCTCACCTCCCGGGTTAAGGAATTCTCCTGCCTCAGCTTCCCAAGTAGCTGGGATTACAGGTACCCGCCACCACACCCGGCTAATTTTTGCATTTTTAGTAGAGATGGGTTTTCACCATGTTGGCCAGGCTGGTCTTGAACTCCTGACCTCAAGTGATCCACCCGCCTCAGCCTTTCAAAGTTCTGGGATTACAGGTGTGAGCCGCTGTGCCTGGCCTCAGGTGAACATTTTTTAAAAATTAAAAATATTTAGTGATACACGTTACTAAAATGTCTCAGGTAATTTGGTATGAAAATCATATTTTATTTATTTTTCTTTTTTTCCAGATCCCATAAGACTAATGAAAACCACATTTTTCTAAACAGGAAATTAACTATGCAGCATGTATTTAAACAATTATTAGGATAAAATATAAGTATTATTCAGAGAATAAGTATAGAGAGTATTTGTGTGTGGTGTCTAAAGAAATTCTATCCCAAATAAATCACTTCTCAGATTATGAGACATAGGTTTGAATACATTCATATTTATTTACAATCTAATTGAATGTTCATCCCCACCTTTCACCCACATTGAATATCACCTTTACATAGTTTTTCCATTTTAATGATTATTATTGACCACTAGGGGGAGAAACAACAAAAGCTTTGAAATTTTTGATACATTTGAAAGATTATTTAAATGCCAGCTGTGACATGTACTAATTGTAGTGAAATATGGATTCACAGAAGGTGCTAGCATATATTCTTGGTTGTTGGAGATCTGTTGATTCTATGGGGTCCTTCAGAAATAATGTAACAGAAAGGTGATGTAACTTCTCCAAAGGGTGAGGAACAAGGTGTTCTATGGTTGACCAGCTAAATTAGTTTTGTTCAACTTGTGCCTTTGCCCAAAGAGTAAGTGTGAAAAATAAACCTGTCTAATTAGAATGAATGATGAAAGGATTAAATGCCTTGGACTTCAAAGATGGGAAAAGTGGCAGTAAAGGAAAAATATTAACATAATCAAAACAATTTCCCTATGCTTTGCCTTAAGTGCACTTGACAATTAATACTTAAAATTATGGGCCAGGTACAGTGGTTCATGCCTGTAATCCCAGTACTTTGGGAGGCCTAGGTGGGATGATCACTTGAGGCTGGGAGTTCAAGCCCAGCCTGGGCACATAGTGAGACACCATCTTAAAAAACAAAATTACGGTTAAACATATAGAACATATTTGTTAAAAAGTGACTGAAAATTCTAACCAGCTAAAGGTGTATTTATCTTAAACTACTCAATATGTGAGTACTTTGAACTCTGTTGCTTAGTTAGAAAATGTTTTTGAACTATTTTTTATTCAAGAAATTGCTGACTCTGTTAGTTATGAGAAAAATGTATAAAATATGTTAATTCCACAAATAAATGTTTAAAGTCTACTCAATGCTAGGTACTCAGGAGACCCAAAACTGGATTAGACATATATATTTTCCTGAAGAAGTTTGTAGACTAAAAAATCTATTCATAAAAACCTATAAAACAAGGTAGATGTGAGACATACCATTAGAGAAGAGGCACTTTATGTATTAAGAAGGAAAAAATTATTTCTCTTCTCTTCTCTTCTCTTCTCTTCTCTTCTCTTCTCTTCTCTTCTCTTCTCTTCTCTTCTCTTTCAGAAACAGGGCTTTGCTCTGTCGCCCAGGCTGGAGTGCAGTGGTGTGATCACAGTGCACTGCAACCTGGAACTCCTGGTCTCAAGCAATCCTCTTACCTCAGCCTTCAAAGTAGCTAGGACTACAGGTGTGTGCCACAATGCTTGGCTAATTAAAAAAATTTTTTTTTGTAGAGATGAGGTCTTGCTGTGTTGCTCGGGCTAGTCTTGATCTCCTGCGCTCAAGCAATCGTCCTGCCTCAGCTTCACACGGGGCTGGGATTACAGGCATGAGCCACCATGCCCGGCCTACTTCTATTTTGATGTGTCTATAGGAGGTCGGGGTAGGAGGTATGAAGACTGTAGGAATCAGAGAAGGTTTTGTGAAGAATGTTGCATTTGAGCAGGGTTTAAAGATATTAAGGATATAGAAATGTGGCAATTACAGGAAAAACATTTCAAGTTCAGGGAGCACAGTGAGCAAAGGCATGGAGGTAAAATGCAAAGATGTATAAACTTCACACCGGCATTAAACAGAGGAAAGACCTGGTGATTTAAAAAGATTTAAATCTAATCCAACATGTGACATAAATTTAGTTTCACCTGTGACTGTTTGTGATGGTTAATTTTATGTGTCTGGGCCACAGGGTACCCAGATATTTGGTCAAATTTTTTTTGGGCTATTTCTATGGAAAGTTTTTGGATAAGATTAACATACACACACACATTTATTTAGAGACAGAGTCCCATTCTGTCGCCCAGGTTGGAGTGCAGAGGCGCCATCACGGCTCACTCCAGCCTCTACATCCCGGGTTCAAGCCATCCTTCTGCGTAGCCCCCAGAGTAGCTGGGACTACAGGCTTGCACCACCACAACTGGCTAATTTTGGTATTTTTTGTAGAGACGGGTTTTTGCCATGTTGCCGAGGCTGGTCTCAAACTCCTGAGCTCAAGTGATCCACCCGCCTTAGCCTCCCAAAGTGCTGGGATTACAGGTATGAGCCACTGAACCTGGCCCAAGATCAACATTTATTTATTTATTTATTTTATTTTTTTTGAGACAGAGTCTCGCTCTTTTGCTGAGGCTGGAGTGCAGCGGCGTGATCTCAGCTCACTGCAACCTCTGCCTCCTGGGTTCAAGCGATTCTCCTGCCTCAGGCTCCCAAGTAGCTGGGATTACAGGCGTGTACCACCATGCCTGGCTAATTTTTGTGTTTTTAGTCGAGAGGAGGTTTCACCATGTTGGCCAGGCTGGTCTTGAATTCCTGGCCTGAAGTGATCCACCCACCTGGGCCTCCCAAAATGCTGGGATTACAGGCATGAGCCATGGTGCCCGACCCAAGATTGACATTTAAATCTATAGACTAAGTAAAGCAGATTGCCTTCCATAATGTGGGTGGGCCTATTCAGTTGAAAGCCTGAATAGACCAAAAAAAACGGACCCTCCTCCAAGTAAAAGAGAATTCTCCTGCTTGAGACCTTTGAACTAGGACATGGGCTTTTCCTGGTTCTCCAGCAACGTGCTCCTGTTTGGACTTAAACTGAGACATCAGCTTTGCAGATTTTAAATTTGCCAGCCTCCATAATCACTTGGGTGAATTCCCTGTAATAAATCTATCTATTGATCTACCAATCGATCCATTTATCTATCCATTCATGCATCCTATTGCTGCTGTTTCTTAATACTGTTTAAAAGAAAGCATCTAATAATCTACCAACAAATATTTATTAGGTGTCATTTTAATCCCAGTGCTCTGCTAAACAATGGAAAAAATACTAGAGTAGCATAAATCTATAGTGAATAAATCCCAGAACTACTTCAATGAATATATACTGATAAAACTAATTTATTTAAAATCAATGTTTACTTTATTAATTTATTATTAAAGAAAACAATTAAAACTGTAACTTGGAGGAAAGTGGAAAAATAAATTATAACCCCAACAGCCTAATACAACCACTGTTAGCATCTAGTGTATTTTCTTTCAGTAACTTTTCCCTTTGTGGTATTTGATGTATATAAAATATTAGTTTATGAAAAATCATGCTGTCAATTCTTTTCTTTAACATGATATCACAGGTCAGATACAGTGGCTCATGCCTGTAATCATAACACTTTGGGAGGCTGAGGTGGAAGGGATAGCTTGAGCCCAGGAGATGGAGTTCACAGTGAGCCAAGATCATGCCACTGCACTCCAGCCTGTCCAGCCTGGGTGACAGAGCGAGACTCTGTTCCAAAAAACAACAACAACAACAACCAACCAACCAACCAACCCAAACATTATATCATAAACATTTCCCCATTTGTTTCATAATCTTAAGAATTATAATTTTTAATGGCTGTACAATACATAGTCTGCAAACATATAATTTTTATAATCATTTCCTTATTTTTGGATATTTAGATTATGCAGATTTTTTCTTTTTCTTTTTTTCTTTTTTTTTTTTGAGACAGAGTTTCACCCTTTTCACCCAGGCTGGAATGCAATGGTGCGAACTCGGCTCACTGCAACCTCTGCCTCCCACGTTCAAGTGATTCTTCTGCCTCAATTCCCAAGTAGCTGGGATTACAGGCGCCCACCACCACGCCCAGCTAATTTTCGTATTTTCAGTAGAGATGGGGTTCCACCATATTGGCCAGGCTGGTCTCGAACTCCGTATCTCAGGTGATACACCCACCTCTGCCTCCCAAAGTGCTGGGATTACAGGCATGAGCCACCACGCCCAGCCGATTTTTTCTGTTTTTAAGATCATCAATATAAATATCTTTATTACAGTCTTCTCACAGTTTGAATTATTTAAGAACAAATTCCTAGAACTGGTATTATTAAATCACCAGGTATGAAGTCTATATAGTAAGTCTAAATTGTTTTTCACAAATATTATACCAATTTGTAAGGCCATTGACTTTGACCATACATTTGCCTACCTAGTATTCATTCTCACCTTCATTAATCAAAGACTTTTTTTTTTTTAAGTGGGAATGTGACTTGTTATAAAAGCCTCATTTCCTCAGACTCCCTTGCATCTAGGTACGTCCATATGACCGAGATGTGGTCTATGATGGTTACAGGGTTCCGCTATGAGACACACTTTTGTTTTATTACATAAAAGGAACATGCTCTGCTGGCACACACTTTTTCCTCTTTTCCGCTCTTCTTTCTGACTGCAGGTAGAGCAGCCTTCTTGCAACTTTGAGGATGAAAGCTACAAGTTAAAGTGGTGGAAAAGGAAGCCAGAAGGAGCTTGTGACTTTCTTGAACATCTGCACCAGCTCTGGTCTCCTTTCTCTGGAATTCTTGTTACATGAATAAATTAATATGTGTTTGGTTAAGCAACTGTAGTCATATTTCTGCTGCATGAAATCAAAGGAAAACCTAATAGTAACATATATGCATAGTTATTCTCCACAATAATGAATATTGTCACTACAATTAGTGGGGATGGGGCACTGAGTTGGTACTCTTGATTGCAAATAACAAAAAACCTAAGCTGGTTTAAAGAAAAAAGGGAATTCACTGGTCCATGTACTGGGGGAGGTAGAGGGGTTGAATTCAGGCTTCACGAAGTAGCATCAGTAACACTTTTAGGTCTGACCTCTTTCTCCCTTTCCCTTTTTCCTCTCTCTCCCTTTCACATATCTCCTTTGCTTTCCTCTGTGTGTTGATCTCTTCTCTCCTACAAAAAAATGGACTTCTTCCACGCAACTGGAGAAATTGACCATGTTGGTTGAATGTCAGGAGAAAGAAAGAACTTTACAGTTTTGATCATATCAGTCCTTGGGAAGGACTCTGATTGACCAGGCCTGTTTCACCCATTCTTGGATGTGTTCATCCAAGAAGGGACGGGGAATAGAACAACTGTGATTATCATCCCCACCAGGATCACTCAAATACAGAAGAGGCAAGTCCTCAAAGAGAAAGTGAGGTGTTGACACCATAACATAGCTGCTGAAAGGCTAAAACAACCCATCATCAATAACCATTTTTTACTAATAAAATGTTTCTTATTGTTATTTTAATTTACCTTTATTTTAAGTTGAAGACTTTTTTGTTTGTTAATTTAATTTAATTTAAAAAATTTGAAAATTCCCTCTCCTAACATTGACAACCAGAATATGCTTATACCTGACAAATTGGGTAGTTGAATAGTCTCTTTATTTTGAACATGATCCCAATTTTGGGCTTGTAATCTAATATTCTGTAACTGGAAATGCCATGCACAAGGGAGAGAAAATATATGTTCTTTATGATGTCTGTGTATGTATAATGTTCTAAAGGTCCTAAATTTAGTGCGAACAGTGGCAATGGTGTAAGACATAAATTTAATCTGTAGTTGTATTTGAGTCATGTAATATATTTAGTATAGAGAGATTAAAAATATAGTAGATTCCCTTTCTAGAAGTTAACTAAATTGATTTTAATATATTACTTTGTGAGGGCTGGGGGCAGTGGCTCATGCCTGTAATCCCAAGCACTTTGGGAGGCCAAAAGCGGGCAGATCACCTGAGGTCAGGAGTTCGAGACCAGCCTGGCCAACACAGCAAAACCCTGTTTCTACTAAAAATACAAAAATTAGCCAGGTGTGGTGGCGGGCGCCTGTAATCCCAGCTGCTCAGGAAGCTGAGGCAGGAGAATTACTTGAACTGGGAAGGTGGAAGTTGCAGTGAGTTGAGATCGTGTCATTGCACTCCAGCCTGGGCGACACAACGAGACTCTGTATCAAAAAAAAAAAAAAAAAAGAAAGAAAGAAAGAAAGAAAGAAAGAAAGAAAGAAAGAAAGAAAGAAATATATACTACTTTGGGAGAAAGTTTCTTTAAGTATTACACTGGTATATTGGCATTATTGATTTTTCCCAAAGACTTTGAATTATTCAAAATGAGATTCAAAATCCTATTTAGGATTTAAGCTTTAGACTAAGGCTTAAAAGTAAGACATATTGCTTTTTCCCCCCATCTAAAGTAGTCTAGAGGATCTTTTGGTAAATAATATGAATATTTTATTAAATATTTTAAAATTTACTAAATATTCATTCATTTGGTGCTCAGAGCCATTATTTCATATGTTGTTATGGTGCACATGGGATCTTATGATTTTGGAGAGCGGGACAGTGGCTGTTGATTCTTTCATTCTTTACTTCTAGCTTTGGTGTAAGGGTAGTTCTAGGGTATTGCATGAGGCAAATGGATGAGAAACCAAGTCATCATTATGCATAGCTTTGCCTACATCATTCCAACAAACTGAATTTAAATGCCCTTTGAAAGTGGGAAGATTGAGACCTAAAAATAAGTAAGGTATTGATCATACCATGTACCCTATATATTAAATCGGCTAGATTTCCCTTTTCTTTTCAGAAAAGGGGCAGGTGATGGAAGTAAATGACTATCTTTTCTCTGCCCTCATATCTTCTTCTGTGTCTGGCTGCTCCAGACCAGCTGCCACCTGCAGTTATACACCCTGATGTGCTACTGGTTGCTGAGAAAGAGGCTTTTAAAAAAAATCTCTTAGAGTATAAATAAAATAACAGGTCAAAAATGCCTGAGACATACTGGTCTGCTGATAAATATTAATTACACCTGGATTTACATAATAGACGCTTGTTCAGGGTAGTTTGCAAACTTGCCATTTAGGCAACTGCATTTTATATGGAGCCCAGAGGAAATGACATTTACCTTCCAATGGATACTTGGAGTCCTAAGTAGGGGCTATATGCAGCTGAAAACATCCTGATAGCCATGTGATTTCATGCTTCTGTACCTTGCTTATGTTTTTCTCACCTGCCTGGAATTCTGTATTTTGTTTTTTGGGACTTAGCATGAGTTTATATTCTCTTGGAAGTGCTTTCTGACCATTCTCATTTCGCCATGACCTAGGTGCACTTTGTTTATACTCTCAGAGCATCTTGTGCATAATCATATACTTGAGTTCTAATATAATTGATTTTCCTACCTGCCTATCCCAGTGTAATTTCAGGGCGGGCTGCAACCATGTTTTATTTATCTTTGAAACATTATGGCGTAACAAAATACTAGGATCAGTGGGTACTCAGTGTCTGTTGAAAGGAGGAAGCAGTTGAATTTTATCTATGGAGTCTTCTCATCTCCCTCCTTGTTTTCCTTCTCTTTTGTGGTACCCCACCCTGTCTTACCCCATCTCACGACTTTTGTGCCTTCGTTCATTCTCCTTCTGGCTTGCTGATGGCTTCTATTTCCTGCTCTTGTCTGAGCTTGGAAATAAGTTTATTTACATCATAAATTACAAACCACTAGAGTGAGAAAAGTGTTGATCATCCATTCAAAAGTGTTGAATCCTTCAATAATTAGCAGAGTACTTTTCACACATAGGGGTTGATATGGTTTGTCTGTGTCCCCACCCAAATCTCATTTTGAATTCCCACATGATGTGGGAGGGACCCAGTGGGAAGTAATTGAATCATGGGGGCAGGTCTTTCCCGTGCTGTTCTTGTGATAGTGAATAAGTCTCATGAGATCTGATGACTTTATAAGGCAGAGTTTCCCTGCACAAGCTCTCTCTTTGCCTGCTGCCATCCAGGTAAGTTGTCACTTGCTCCTCCTTGTCTTCTGCCATGATTGTGTGGCTTCCCTAGCCTTGTGGAACCGTAAGTCTAATAAACCCTTTTTCCTGTATACATTACCCAGTCTTGGGTATGTCTTTATCAGCAGCATGAAAATTAACTAATACAGGGGTTTATTTAGACTTTAAAATATGTTGCTTTTTTTTTTTTTTTGAGATGGAGTCTTGCTCTGTCACTCAGGCTGGAGTGCAGGGGGGCAATCTCTGCTCACTGCAACCTCTACCTCCTGGGTTCAAGCAGTTCTCCTGCCTCAGCCTCCCAAGTAGAGTAGCTGGGTCTACAGGCATGTGCCACCATGCCTGGCTAATTTTTGTATTTTTAGTAGAGATAGGGTTTTACCATGTTGGCCAGCCTTGTCTCAAACTCCTGACCTCAAATGATCTGCCTGCCTCAGCCTTCCAAAGTGTTGGGATTACAGGCATAAGCCACCATGCCTGGCAATATCTATCTAGTTTTCTATCTAGTTATAAAAGTAATACTTATTCACTGTAGAGAATTTTTAAAAATACAGAATGTCATCAATCATAAAAAATCACTTATCTATCACCTATAGATAACCATTACCAATATTTCAGTACATTGATACGTATACTCTTTTGTTCCCCCGCAGGCATAAGCCAACATGGGTGGCCAATGTATATACACTTTTATTTATTTTTCTCAGCACAAATACAATGATACATTGACACATATAACAGTTCTTTTCCATGCATATATACTCTTTTCCTTTTTGCAAAATTGGGATCATACTGTATAAAATCTTTTATCCTACTTTTTGTATTTAACATGTATCATGAGCTTTTTATCATTATGTAAGCATTCTTTTAAAATGTCATTTATGTAATGCGTTTCTTATTTATGGATATTTAGATCATTTCCAGTTTTTCCTTTTATAAAACATGTCTGTGATAAAAATTCTGTGCCTAAATGATTTCTTTAAGATAAATTCCTAGAATTATTTGACCACTCTGTGTGAATATTTTAAGGTCTTTTGATTCAATAGCCAAACCAACTTCCAGAAATATTATATCACTTTTCCATTCATCCACCCACTAGCAAATATATATGTATTTTTTTTTTGAGAAAAAAAAGCATATATTTTTTTGAGATGGAGTTTCACTCTTGTTGCCCAGGCTGGAGTGCAATGGTGAGATCTTGGCTCACTGCATGCAACCTTCATCTCCTGGGTTCAAGCGATTCTCCTGCCTCAGCCTCCTGAGTAACCGGGATTACAGGCGCCCTCCACCACACCTGGTTAATTTTTGTATTTTTAGTAGAGACGGGGTTTCACCGTTTTAACCAGGCTGGTCTTGAACTTCTGACCTCAGGTGATCCGCCTGCCTCAGCCTCCCAAAGTGCAGGGATTACAGGCATAAGCCACCGAACCTGGCCAGCAAATATTTTTGAATCCTTTACTATGTGTTTGGCTCTAGGAGCTAGGATTATAATGGATAATAATACACTCAAGGTCCTTGCTCTCAAAAGACTGACATTCTACTGAGGAAGACAGACAATAAACAAATAAGTGACAACATAAAAGAATAATAGATTGTTGTCGCTGCTCTGAAGGAAGCCCTAGTAGAGTAGGACTGTACTTTGGTTAAAGTGGTGAGAGAAGGCTTTTCTGACAGAGTTAATTTAATCCGAAATATGAACACTAGCCATGGAAGTGGAGAGGATCATCTGCTGCGAAGGGCAGAATGGCAAGAAATGAGGTCGAGAGGGCTATGACGCCAAAGGTCCAAATCATGGTCCTGTGTTAGGTGACAGGGAGCTATTGAATATACCAATCATGGCAATGTGTTTATAGGCATCAGGAGGTCCACGCTTAATCACTTTTGGTGAATGTCTGCATTTTAACAGACGTTTCTAGAAATACCCTCCTTAACTCTAAAGAATGCCCCCACTGGTGGAATTTTGGGCATCACAGTTGGTGGACATTTCACTGCCTCTTAGGTCACATTTTATATGGAGGTGGCCTGCATTTCCTACATTCGAGGGTTTCTTCTCAGGCTATGTCCTCTTCCATCAATGCCCACGAGTCTACACAGATATTTTGGACATATACAGCAACAATACAAGGATCAAGGCTCATTTTCTTGCCTTCTCAATTAAGGTTAATAAAACCTGCTTAGCCATGATTTTCTTGGATTGATTTTATATCTCCTTAGCAGTGGAATTATTTAAGATGAATTTTTAAATATTTAATCTAAATATGCTTGCCACATTTGCACTCTGTATTTCTAATATACATATACTATATTATATATATTATAATAATTATATTACTTAATATTACATATTATATGGAATTATATATTATATATAGAGATAATATATGTAGAGAAATATATACGGACAATGAAAATAATCTTTTGTATAAAGAATTAAGAAGAAATTAATTTCCAAAAACTTTGTAGTATTATCTGAGATACATATTGAGATTCAACAGCAGGAGCTGTTTCTGAATCTAAATTCTTGGCTTTGATTAGTTTGTGTTTATATTAGGAGTCAGGATCTGTATTAGCTTTCAGATTTATTTTTGAGTATTTTGTGCATTGATATTTTGCTGAACACATTCAGATTTATACATATTTAAACATGAAAAGCTTTTTATTTTGGTAGTATAGATTTTACTTATTTCTTTCCCATCAAAAAGAAAATGATCCTCTATTAGAATTCAGATTTTTTCAAGACCATTCTGAAATCAAACATGATTATGGTGAGGAAAGCATTCTTTCAATTCTTTGTCTAAAAAAGCATGTCTGTACCGTACTATTCTGATTGTTCTTTTGAAAAGACATATTATTATAAGCAATCAAAACAAAATTTGTCTTGTATAACATAAAAGGAAATCAACAAATATCTACTGAGTGTCTACAGTGTACCAGGACCTGAGTAGTCACTGTGAGGACAATTGAGAAGTGCAGTATGTGATCCCTGCCCTATAATTGCTGACAACCTAACAGGGGAGATGAAACACAGGGATGGGGGAGCCCTTGGACACTGACATCTATAGCGCACCTGCTGTGGCCTAGGAATTGTGCTAGGTACTTCCACATAACTTATCTCATGCATTGCTGAGCTCAACATCATCCCCTAAAGTCTTCAGTATTCTCCTTCCCACTCTATCCAGTCATCTAGGCTTCAGGTCATCCTTAGTCCTTGCCACCCTAACTTACCTCCCACATCCAATCAAGATGAATTTTCATTCCTGGATCCTTCCAGTGGTCCTTTGACTGGTCTCATTGCCTCTATTCTCTTCCCTTAGCAGCTCATCCTCCTTCCATATTGTGGACAAAGTGAACTGTCAAAAATAAAAATATGATTAGATTAATTACAATTCTTTTGGGGTGCAAACAACATAACTCATTTAAGCAAACGTGAGCATTTATTATTATGACTGCAGCAGTGATTCTTGGGGTCCCAAGAGTAGGTTGCAGTGGGGTTGGATGAACAGAATGGACTGAGACTGCAGTCCTTCCTTTCTAACTCTTGTCTTTGCTCTTCTTTAAATGTTTACTTTATTTCTTACTGCAGATCAACTTTTTCTTACTTCTGGTCTATGTGGCAGAAAATGACAGCCAGACTGAGCCTGGACTTGATCAGTCCCCATTCTAAATTCCTCAGGGGAAGGCGTCATTTGACGAGCTTGGGTCAGGTGTCACCCCTGGATCAATCGCCAATGGCAATCAATGGCAATCACAGTTACCTTGAAGGAAAAAACAACTGAAACGTTGTTATTGAAAGGGAGAAGGAGCAGTTCTCAGGAAATGCATTGCTAGGCAGACAAATCAGTAGGCATTTCTTGGAGAGGCTGAGCATTTGAGTTGACTGGAGTATGTGATTGAATTAGAGGGAAAAATAAATAAGGTTGCAGGGATGATAGTTTGGAACTAAATTTTCAAGAATCTTTATGTAAAGCTAAGAATGTGAAGTTCATAGATATTTGGAAGTTACTGCAGTTTTTAAAGAGAGTAACATGATGAAGCACTATTTAGGATAATCTGGAGGCAAAGTAAATAGATTAGAATTGAGAGACACTGGAGCAGAGCCCATCTAGGAAGAAATTACAAGAGTCAGATATAAGAGCACTGGAAAAACGAGTAAAAATATTAGGAAGGACAGGATTACTTGGACATAGGTAGGTTTTTTGTCTTGTTTTTTGTTTTGTTTTTGTTTTTTTTGAGACAGGGTCTTGACCTGTTGTCCATGCTGAAATGCAGTGGTATGATCATGGCTTGCTGCAACCTTAAAATCCTGGGCTCAAGTGATCCTCTTGCCTCAGCCTCCCCAGTAGGTGGGATTACAGGCACACACCACCACACCCGGCTAATTGTAAAAGTTTTCCTTTGTAGAGACAGGGTCTTGCTCTGTTGACCAGTCTGGCTTCAAACTCCTGGCCTCAAGTGATTCTTCTGCCTTGGCCTCCCGAAGTGCTCGAGTGGTGGGATTACAGGTGTGAACCACCACACCTGGCTGACTTCTGTTTTTTAATCTATGTGAAATTTTTGTGACTATCATACTGCTATGGGATACAACACAAAACAGACCATATGTTTCACAGTTCATAAGGCTGAAACCATGTAGTTCAAACAATGCTATCATGGTTGTTAGAATTTCTAATTTTCTTTCCTCTGGGAAATAACAGCCAGGGTTTTTTTTTTTTCCCTGTCTCCCACCATCCCCACCCCACCGTATCATATATTGGGAAGATATTATTAGAAATAGGAATGAAGCCACAAAATTCTGGGGACTGGTTAGGCAGAGGGCAGGGAGAATGACGAAACCATGACCGATTGTTTTCAATTCAAGAGTGGAGTTCCTGTAACAAGGATAAAGCTAATATCATTAACTGTGAGTATTGGTGAGTCATTTTTAAGGAAGATCTGTCAAGTTTTTATAGCAATTTCTGTGTAAAGTTTATTTTAACATTTATCACATTGCATTTTACTTATCTCTCCATGTGGCCACTCAGCATTGGGCTGTCAGCTTCTCTAGGGCAGACATTCTTGCTTATTAATTTTTATATCCATGGTGCTTGGCACAATGCTTGACTTGTTATAAGTGCCCAACAAATGCTGAATATCCCCCATTTGATTATAGGCTTTTGAAGGTAGGGTCTATGCTTCTCCATATAACTTCCAAAGCATGTTGAACAAAAATGCTTTGAATTGAACAAAAATTACTAATATATGAGTTCCCAACCTTTCCCCTGTCTTGATTCTTTTGGATTTTTATGCTAAGAATCAAGAGCAAAAAGAGTGTAAGAGAAAAACAAGAAGGCTACGTTTGGGTGAAGAGTTTTCTGGGGGCTTGTATAGAAGAAGTGAGGGACTACCGGGGATGTGTGAGGACAGTGGATGGGACAGCATAGAAAGGGATTTTAAGAAGTGTTGATGTGAACTGTGTGCTTTCTTCTTGGTGTTCGGACAACACAAGTAAAGGACTTGCTTTATTTTTGAACTCCTGTTTGTTCTTGGACTGTGTGCCTTTGATGATGCCATTCTGGGATAGAACTATAAGGGTCACAGGTACATGAGCTTTATATTTATTTAGTAAATATCTGTGAAAGGAAGGAGAAGAAAAGAGAGCTAAAGAGAGAAGACAATGAGGGCTGGATGAAGGAAGAAAGAAATGAAGGGAGTACATTAATGTCAGATATCATAGAGGAGATATGTGAATCTAAACCATATACTTCCATTTCCATTTAGAAACCAATATGGTTCATCTGAATTATTATTAATTTTCTCTGAAATTGGTGAGATTTCCAATTAGATATAAGGAGCTGGGTGAGTTTCAAGTGAGAATAAAAAGCACTGGGACAAGCTCATTTTGCATTAAGAAATTCAGCTGATCTTTTATTACAAATAAAATGAACACTGAATAGTAATTTTCATTAAAGAATGAAAGCATTTAACTACTTACAAATACTTCAATTATTAGTTTTCAAAATGTATTTTATAGTAGAGATCAATACTTTTTGTCCAAGGAAATTACCCGCTTAAAATCTAGTATTTTTATATAGAAACATCATTCCTGGGATAAATTAAAAACTATTTTTTTCTAAATAATATACATGGATGTTGAGACTAATGTGGTATGCTATATTGGAAATATCTTCACAAACTTTAAAATAGAACATAAAAAATATTCAAAGGGCAAACGAAATAAAATAAATTTCAGGAATGAATCTGTTTTTAAGGTCATGTATAACTACTATTATTACATAATATAATTCTGAATAAATAAATCGTGTGTGCATGAACAAGCTAGAAGCTTATTTTAAGGGTTTCTTGAGGCTTTCTCACATTTAAAAAAGTCAGGCTATTGATTATAGAATCATAGCATTTTAGAACAGAAAAGGGCCTTGGAGATGGCCTTGTTCAACCCTTTCATTTTACAGGTGACTAAAGTATGTTATTTGGGTAGCAGCAAACTAAAAAGTCTTCAACGATGGTTCTCTATTGCGGTAACAACCACTCTGGCCTAACTATTCCTTCACCAGATCACTGCAACTCAACTGCAGGAACACAGAAAGAACAAAAGCGACAACATCAAGCCTCCGGGTTTGCTGGAATTCATTAATGACATCCCTTCCTGCTGAGCTAACAAAACCTTGAACCAGCAAGCAGTTGTCTTCTTAAATTGAGCTTGCCAACTGTGTTATAATGGTGGATTTAGAGACACTAGGTGACTCCACTTGAGCAGTTGTGGTGGCCAGAGAAGAATTATTCTTATCCTCATGAAACGTAGCCCAAACAATCATTACCAGTTGGTTCTAGGGAACTGCTTTTAGTGAGACTATTGTTGTCAGTATTGTTGAGTTGGGGTAAAAAGAAATAAGGTTACAGGGATGATAGTTTGAGGCCAAATTTTCAAGAATCTTATGTGATGTTAAAGATTTTGAAGATTGTCCTAAAGACATTTGGGAGTTACTGCAGTTTTTTTAAAAGGGAGTGATATGATAAAACACTATTTAGGGTAATTCAACTGGAGATGAAGTAGACAGATTAGAATTGGGATACTCTGGGAGGATAGAAGGTACAACAGAACAAGCAGGTGTGCCCCACTGAATCATCTATACATTTAGAAAGGTAAGACATATGTTTATCTCATAAAACAAATGAGTGGGCCGGGTGCAGTGGCTCACACCTGTAATCCCAGCACTTTGGGAGGCAGAGGTGGGTGGATCACTGGAGGTTGGGAGTTCGAGACCACCCTGGTCAACATGGTGAAACCCCGTCTCTACTAAAAATACAAAAATTAGCTGGGCATGGTGGCAGACTCCTGTAATCCCAGCTACTCAGTAGGCTGAGGCAGGAGAATCGCTTGAACCCGGGAGACTGGGGTTGCAGTGAGCGGAAATCATGCCACTGCACTCCAGCCTGGGCGCCAGAATGAGACACTGTCTCAAAAAGCAAGCAAACAAAAACCAAATGAGTGAAGATAGTTCTATGAGCAAAGCAGCTTTTAAATACCTGCTAAAGTGTGATTTCCCTTGTGAATTTTCTTATGTCCCTGTATTAGTCAGTCCTCGCATTGCTATAAAGAAATGCCAGAGACTGGGTAATTTATAAGAAAAGACATTTAATTGGCTCATGGTTCTGCAGGCTGTAGAGGAAGCATAGTGGCATCTGCTTCTGGGGAGGCCTCAGGAAGCTTCTAATCACAGTAGAAGGCAAAGTGGAGCAGGTATGTCACATGGTGAAAGCAGGAACAAGGGAACAAGGTGGGAGATGCTACACACATTTAAACAACCACATCTCATGAGAACTCACTATCATGAGGACAGTATCAAGGAGGATGGTGCTAAACCATTCATGAGAAATCTGCTCCTATGATCCAATCACCCCCCACCAGGCCCCACTTTCAACACTGGAGATTACATTTCAATATGAAATTTGGATGGGCACACAAAAATAAGCTATATCAGCCCTCTTCCCGACTCCACCACTGTAATTAATCAAGCAATATTGCAATGATTAATTTACATGTCTCTCTAGTTTACCAGTAATAAGCTCTTTGAAGGTAGGCATAGTCTTATTCCTCTTTGTATATCTACCACCCCATAAATATTACATAGATTGTTTTGAATTGAATATATTGTTATTGTTTGGTCTTGTAGGTCCTCATCATCAATCTCTAAATGAAGTTACTTGAAGCAATTCTTGAAACCATAATAATAATGTCTCCAGAATTGGTGGATTCTTGGTCTCACTGACTTCAAGAATGAAGCCACGGACCCTCGCGGTGAGTGTTACAGTTCTTAAAAGCGGCGTGTCCGGAGTTTGTTCCTTCTGATGTTCGGACATGTTCAGAGTTTCTTCCTTCTGGTGGGTTCGCGGTCTCACTGGCTTCCGGAGTGAAGCTGCAGACCTTCTCCCTGAGTGTTACAACTCTTAAGGCGGTGGCACATCTGAAGTTGTTCATTCCTCCTGGGGGTTCGTGGTCTCGCTGGCCTCAGGAGTGAAGCTGCAGACCTTCACCATGAGTGTTACAACTCATAAAGGCGGGGAGGACCCAAAGAGTGAAGAGCAGCAAGATTTATTGCAAAGAGGGAAAGAACAAAGCTCCCACACTGTGAAAGAGGACCCGAATACATTCCCATTGCTGGCTCCAGCAGCCTGCTTTCATTCCCTTATCTGGCCCCACCCACATCCTGCTGAATGGTCCATTTTACAGAGAGCTGATTGTCTGTTTTACAGAGAGCTGATTGGTCTGTTTTGACAGGGTGCTGATTGGTGCATTTACAATCCCTGAGCTAGACACAAAAGTTCTCCAAGTCCCCACTAGATTAGCTAGACACAGAGCACTGATTGGTGCATTCACAAACCCTGAGCTAGACACAGGGTGCTGATTGGTGCATTTACAAACCTTGGGCTAGACACAGAGTACTGATTGGTGCGTTTACAATCCCTGAGGTAAACAGAAATGTTCGCCAAGTCCCCACCAGATTAGCCAGATACAGAGTGCTGATTGGTGCATTCACAAACCTTGAGCTAGACACAGAGTGCTGATTGGTGTATTTACAATCCCTTAGCTAGACATAAAGGTTCTCCAAGTCCCCACTACACTCAGGAGCCCAGCTGGCTTCACCTAGTGGATCCTGCCCTGGGGCCACAGGCGGAGCTGCCGGCCAGTATCGGCATGCACCCGCACTCCTCAGCCCTTGGGGGTTTGATGGGACGGGGCGCTGCAGTGCAGATGGTGGCGCCCATTGGGGAGGCTTGGGCCGCACAGGAGCCCATGGCGGGGAGCCGGGGGGAAGGCTCAGGCATGGCAGGCTGCAGGTCCCAAGCCCTGCCCCACAGGGAGGCAGCAAAGGTCCAGCGAGAATTCGAGTGCACCACGGGCGGGCCGGCACTGCTGGGGGACCCGGCGCACCCTCCAAGCTGCTGGCCCAGTTACTGAGCCCTTACTGCCGGAGGCTGGCGGCGCCGGCCGGCTGCTCCGAGTGCGGGGCCGCCGAGCCCACGCCCACCCGGAGCTCGCGCTGGCCCGCAAGCACCGCGTGCAGCCCCGGTTCCCGCCTGCGCCTCTCCCACCAAACCTCCACGCAAGCTGAGGGAGCCGGCTCAGGCTTTGGCCAGCACAGAAAGGGGCTCCCACAGTGCAGTGGCGGGCTGAAGGGCTCCTGAAGCGTGACCAGAGTGGGCGCTGACGCCGAGGAGGCGCCTAGAGCGAGCGAGGGCTGCCAGTACACTGTCACCTCTAAATAAGATAAACATTTGAAGAGTGCCTTTAATGTTCAAGGAATTGTGAAAGACACAAAGTTGAACATGACATGGTATCTGCTTTGGAGAGGCTCATAGCTAAAGAAGTGTATTGGTTTGCTAGGGCTGCTGTAACAAAATACCACAGACTGGGTGGCTTAAATGACCACACAGAAATTTATTTCCTCACAGTTCTGGAGGCTGGAAGTCCAAGACCAAGGTGCTAGCTGGATTGGTTTCTTCTAAGGGCTCTCTTCCTGGCTTGCAGGTGGCCACCTTCTCACTGTGTCCTCCTGTGGCCTTTCCTCCGTGCATATGCCTCCCCGTTATCTCCTTGTATGTCCAGATTTCCTCTTCTTATAAGAAGCAGTAAGATTGAATTAGGGCCCACCCTAAAGGGCCCACCCTAGTGGCCTCATTTTAACTTAATCACTTCTTCAAAGGCTCTATCTCCAATTGCAGTCACATCCTGAGTTTCTGGGGGTTAGGGCTTCAACATACGAATTTGCCGGGGGGACACAATTGAGCTTATAAAAGGAAGGAGACTATAATAAACAGTTTAATACCAATCAGCTTTGATGGGAGGCATCTGGGAAATAAATAGTTCAGAACAGTAAACTTTGCAGCAGAAACTGGAGATGAAAGTTTGAGACTTTAATGGAATTTAATAATCAATGCATTCTCTTGAAGTCATTTTACAAAAATCAATATAAATTTTCAAATACCTTATTTGGAAAGCCACTGTGTAACTGGGCCAGATGGTCTGACATGAACTATACTCATTTATAGTCTTTTAAGGTAAAATGTCCTCCATGGGTATACAGTGTAGTAGTTTACTGGCACTGATTTTGGAATTACATTGTTCCGGTTTGAGCCATGGTTCTGACAGGTCCTGGTCTCTGTCGTTTATCCTCAGGCAAATGGCTTATTCTCACTAAGTTTCTTTCCTTGTCTGTAAAATAGGGGTAATTCTAGTTCCTATTTCATAGGGTGGTTATGAGGATTACATTAACATATAGGCTTTGTACATAGTAAATGGTCAATAAATTGTAGCTCTGTTCACAGGCTGTTAGTGGCTTGAATTCCTCAGACAGATTCTTTATTAAACATAATTATTCTTTCTGCTCACCCCTGAGGCTTAACCCAGTTTTTCATGCAGTATTATTTATTTATTTATTATTTATTTATTTATTATTTATTTCTGTTGCCCAGGCTGGAGTGCAGTGGGGCCACTGTACTCACTGCAGCCTTGAATTCCTGAACTAAAGGGACCCTGTCCCCTCAGCCTCCTGAAATGCTGGGATTACAGGCATGAGCCACTGTGCGTGGCCTCCAGTGCTATTTTATTAATCTTAAGAGATGTATCCGTGACAGTTCTAACTTGAGAACCTTAGATAGAGATAGTATAACATAAATTCAAAGCATTACTATAGATTATGGTAAATTTTAATGGTTCTCATGAAAACAATAAGGATTTCTTTATCAATCTGAGAGAAATTCTGTTGGGAAGGTATTATAGCATTAACCACTCTGTACTGTACTGTGTATATGTTTGCCTCCTTGGTTAGACTGTGAATTCTTAGAGAAAAGAAAACATGCCATGTTTATCTTTGCACTGTGATGCAACGATGGTGTAGTGGTTAAGAGCATGGTCTTTGGAGCCAGCCTTCTTAGGTTGATACCCTGGTCTATATCCAGACTTTTGGGATTCATACTTTACTTGTTTGTGTGTCCTTGGGCAAGATACTTAACCACTTGAGAACTCACTCACCTGTGAAGTAGAAATAGTAATGATGTCTACATACTTCATAAAAACTTCTATGAGGACTAAATGAACTAGTATATGTAAAGCTTAAAATAGTACTTGGTATGTAGCAAGCATTCAGTAGATTTTCACCATCATTAGTATAGCACATAGCTTAGCTGTGCTTAATAAACATGTGTTAAGTGAATGAATAACACGGATTCTGAGTAGTAAGAAGTTGGTGGCTCAGTGCTAGCTGGCATTCTATAGCTAAGCATGCAACCAAAATCGTATAATGAAGGACCACTGTCAGGGAACAGTGGCTTATGATAATAATGTGCTAGCAAAACCTGGAGGTAAGTTTCCTGTAACTTTGTAGAATGTGTGCTAATGCTGATGAGTCCAACACTGTGCCACACATTTTCCAGCAAATAATGAATACTTTTTGAGGGGGAAAAATCCCTGGGAAAATAAAATAGCTTCAGGAAGCCATGAAACTCTTGCTTTATTTTTGACTTGGCATAGAAGGTGGGGCACATACCTTGTTCTGAACCGAAGAAAGTGTAGTGAAAATATTATTTCATATTTCTCTTTTGTCTTTGGTATAGCAGAGTCTTCTGGTGCCCATACAATACTCCTTCTCTCTTTTTCCTTGCCAACAGTCGTGATTTTATATCCACCCCTCACCTTCCTGTTACAGATAAATCCTGATTTGTCTAAGTCAATTGTGGACACAGACACAACTCCAAACACACACACACACACGTGCATGTGCATGAGTGCACGCGAGTCTGATTTAGGAAGGAGCATAAGACACAATTCTGGCCAAAGAAAAATGAGGATAAATCTGTGATGAGGGCTTCTGGAAAAGATTTTCTTACTCTTAAAAAGAGACACGCAGGAGGAGGCAACCTCATTTTCTGCTGCACATTGCCACGTCAGGATGAAACGTTTGGAATTGTGACAGCATCTTGTAAGTATGAGGGGGAGCTAGCTATCAAAATGTAAACAAATTTTCTCTTTAGAATCAGTGAGATTTAATCTACGACAGAAATTTAAGCTTAGGTGTGAAATGACTTTCTCTATGTCTCCTATGAAGTTTGTGGTTATCTCATTATTACATTCTAGATTTCTACACTTTCCATCTAGTGCATTCAAATATGTTGACAATTTTTAGAGTTACAACTATGTACTGTTGCTTACTTTATATCTGTGATTTTTGATCCTTGTTTCCAGAAACATCTTCAATCTTATTTTTTTATAACAGTTTTGTCAAAATCTAATTCACATACTATGCAATTCGTCAATTTAAACTGTACAGCTCAATGGTTTTTAGTATATTCACAGAATTAAGCATTCCTCACCACAATCGCGGTTAGAATATTTTCATCACCCCCCAAAGAAACTTTGTAACCGTTAGCAGTCCTTCCGCATTTATACCCACTCCCTCTAGTCTTAGGCAGCCACTAATTTACTTTCTGTCTCTATAGATTTACTTATTCTGGACATTTCATTTAAATGGAATCCTGTATGGTCTTTTATGACTGGCTTCTTTCACTTGGCATATGAAAGATTCATCCATGTTGCAGTATGTATCAGTATAGCATGTCTTCTCTTGCTGAATAATATTATATTGTATGGATATGCCATATTTTATTTATCCATTTAAACAGCTGATGGACATTTGAGTTGTTTCCATTTTTTGGCTATTATGAATAATGCTGCCACTGATGTACTTGTACCTTTTTTTTTTTTTTTTTTTTTTGAGACAGAGTCTCTCTCTGTCACCAGGCTGGAGTGCAGTGGCGCAATCTTGGCTGACTGCAACCTCCGCCTCCTGGGTTCAAGTGAATTCTCCTGCCTCAGCCTCCTGAGTAGCTTGGACTACCGGTGCATGCTACCACTCCCAGCTAATTTTTGTACTTTTTACTAGAGACGGGGTTTCACCATGTTGGCCAGGATGGTCTCCATCTCTTGACCTCGTGATCCGCCCTCCTCGGCCTCCCAAAGTGCTGGGATTACAGGCGTAAACCACCGTGCCCAGCCACTTGTATATATTTATGTACACATTTTTTGTGTGGCTATATGTTTTCATTTCTCTTGAGTGTATACCAGGAGTGAAGTTGCTGGGTCACATACTAACTCTATGTTTAACCTTTTGAGAAACTGTCAGATATTCTTTAAAGTGGCTGCACCATTTTGTATTTCCATCAGCAGAATATAAGGGAACCATTTCTCTACGTTCCCTCCAATACTCATCATCTTTCTTTTGGATTATAGCCACCTTAGTGGTATCTCAACATAGTTTTGATTTGCATTTCTCTGATGGCTAATGATGTTGAGCATGTTTAATGTGCTTATTGGCCATTTGTGTATCTTCTTTGGAAAACTTTCTATTCATATTTTTTTAATTAATAAACTTTATTTTTAGAGCAGTTTATTTAGGTTTATCGAAAACATGAGCAGAAAGTACAGAATTCCCCTATATTCCCTTACCACTCCCCCAGTCCACACACAGTTTCCTCTATTATTATTTTTTGAGACGGAATTTTGCTCTTGTTGCCCAGGCTGGAGTGCAATGGCGCGATCTTGGCTTACCACAACCTCCGCCTCCCAGGTTCAAGCGATTCTCCTGCCTCAGCCCCCCTAGTAGCTGGGATTACAGGCATGTTCCACTACGCCTGACTAATTTTGTGTTTTTAGTAGAGATGGGGTTTCTCCATGTTGGTCAAGCTGGTCTCGAACTCTCGACCTCAGGTGATCCGCCCACCTTGGCCTCCCAAAGTGTTGGGATTACAGGCATGAGCCACCGTGCCCAGCCAGTTTCCTCTATTATTAACATCTTGAATTAGTCTGATACATTTGTTATAATTGATGAGCCAATGTTGGCACATTATTATTATTACCTAAAATCCATAGTTTACATTAGGGTTCACTCTACATTGTACATTCTGAGGGTTTTGGCAAAGTTATAATGACATGCAGTCACCACTACAGTATCATACAGAGTCGTTTCACTGCCCCAAATATCCCCTGTGTTCCACGTATCCATCCTTCCCACTTCCCCTTTCCCCCAAAACCCTGGCAGCCATTAATCTTTTTACTGTCTCCATAGTTTTGCCAATTTCAGAATGTCATGAAGTTGGAATTGTATGGTATATAGTCTTTTCTAATTGGCTTCTTTCACTTAAATATGGATTGATGGTTCCTCAATGTCTTTTTATGACTTGATAGTTCATTTCTCTTTATTGTTGAATAATACTTTATCGTATGGATGTACCACAGTTTATTTATCCTTTCATCTATTGGATGGCATTGTGGTTGCTTTTGAGTTTTGGCAAATATGAATAAGTGGCTGTAAACATTTGTGGGCGGGGTTTTGTGTATAAATATATTTTCAATTCATTTGGGTAAATGAATGCAGTTTCTGGATTATATGGTAAGAGTGTGTTTAGTTTTGTAAGAAACTGCCAAACTGTCTTCCAGAGTGGCAATACTATTTTGTATTCTCACCAGTAATGAATGAGAGTTCTTTTTGCTCCTTTTGTCTATTTTTTAAATTGGGTTATCTGTCTTTTTATTACTGACTTGTAAGAGTTCTTTATATATTCTAGATATAAGTCCCTCATTGGGTGCATGATTTGCAGAATTTCTCCCCATCCTGTGGGTTGTCTTTATTTTCTTGTTGGTGTCCTTTGAAGCACAAATTAAAATTTTTATAAAGTCCAGTTTATGTCTTTTTTCTTTTGTTACTAGTTCTCTTAGTGTCTTGTCTAAAAAGCCTTTGCCTAACCCAAGGTCATGATTCATTCCTATGAATGATTCTTCAAAGAGTTTTATAGTTTTAGCTGTTTTATCCATTTAAAATTAACTTTTATATGTGATGTAAGTTCGGAGTCCAGCTACACTTTTTGTATAGGGATAATCCTGCTGTCCCAGCACCATTTGTTGGAAAGAGTACTCTTTCCCCCATTGAATTGGCACTTTTATTGAAATTAACTGGCCATAAAAATGAAGGCTGATTCTTGGGCACTCAATTCTGTTTTAGTGATCTGCATTTGTATCCTCATGCCAGTACTACACTGTCTTGATTACCGTAGCTGTGAAGGAAAATTTGAAAACAGAAAGTGTGAGTCCTCCAACTTTGTTCTTTTCTTCGAGATTGTTTTGTCTATTCTGGGTCCCTTGTATTTTCATATGAATTTTAGGATTGGCTTATTTTTTTCTTTTCTTTTCTTTCTCTTTTTTTTTTTTTTTTTTTTTTTTGAGACAGACTCTTGCTCTGTCACCCAGGCTGGACTGCTATGGTACAATCTCAGCTCACTGCAACCTCTGCCTTACAGGTTCAAGCGATTCTCCTGAGTCAGCCTCCTGAGTAGCTGGGATTACAGGCGTGCATCAGCATGCCCGGCTAATTTTTGTATTTTTAGTAGAGATGGGGTTTCACCATGATGGCCAGACTGGTCTCGAACTCCTGACCTCAGATGATCTGCCCACTTTGTCCTCCCAAAGTGCTGGGATTACAGGTGTGAGCCACTGCACCTGGCCGGTGGAATTGTTTCCTTAATTTCATTTTTGAATTGTTTATTGCTAGTGTACAGAAATACAGTTGATTTGTGTATATAGATCTTATATGCTGCAACCATGCTGAACTGGTTTATTATTTCTAATAGTTTTAGTAGATTCATTCTGTTTTTCTACATATGAGATAATATTATCTGGAAATAGAGGTAATTTTACTTTTTCCTTTCCAATCTAGATTATTTTTATTTCATTTTCTTGCCTACTTGACCTGGCTAGAACCTCCAGTACAATGTTAAATGGAAGTGGCAAGAGTGGATTTTTTTTTTTTTTTTTTAGATGAGGGTCTAGCTCCGTCACCTAGGCTGTAGTGCAGTGGCATGATCTCGGCTCACCACAGCCTTGACCACCAGGGCTCAAGCAATCCTCCCACCTCAGCCTCCTGAGTAGCTGGGACCACAGGTGTGCACCACCATGCCAGACTAATTTTTTGTATTTTTGTAGAAACAGGGTTTTGCCGTGTTGCCCAGTCTGGTCTTGAACTCCTGGGCTCAAGTGATCTGCCTGCCTTGGCCTCCCAAAGTGCTGGGATTACAAGCATGAGCCACCGCGCCCAGCCTGAGAGTGGACATTTTTGTCTTGCTCCTGATCTTAGGGAAATAGTTTTCAGTCTTTTACTATTAAGTATGATGTTAGCTGTGGTTTTTTTTTTTTAAATAGATGCCCTTTATCAGGAGTGTCTAAGGAGAAGAGAGACAGCAACAAGCAATGGAAAAATAGATGTTGATGGGTATCTCATAGAAGGTTCTGTGCCCTACCTTTTGATCAAAGCCCCAAGGACAGGTAAAAACCTGTGACTGTCTAAGGCATTCAAAAACAGAGCCAGATTGTGCCGTGCTCCATACAGGTAAAATCAGAGTTCAAAATAGAAACTGGGCTGGGTGCAGTGGTTCACACCTGTAATCCCAGCACTTTGGGAGGCCAAGGTGGGAAGATTGCTTGAGCCCAGGAGTTTAAGACCAGCCTGGGCAACACAGAGAGACCCTGCCTGTACAAAAAATTTAAAAAAAAATCCAGGCATGGTGGTGTGTACCTGTGGTCTCAGCTACCTGGGAGGCTAAGGTGGGAGGATCGCTTGAGCCCAGGAGGTCCAGGCTGCAGTGAGCTGTATTCACACCACTGCACTCCAGCCTGTGTGACAGAGCAGGAACCTGTCTCAAAAAACAAACAATAAAAAAAAATGAATTTAAGTTGTAGGAAAATAAAGTTACATTTTTTGCTCACACAAATTGTAAGCTGAAACTCATAATCACTGTGTTATTAATCACCAAATAACTTTTACATCGGGTTTTTTTTCACTCATAAGTGGTAATGGATATGTATAATAATAATTTCCAGTAACATAATCTTTCTGGATGCCTGTCCTGCTCAGTATGAATCAATTCTGTTTCTTAGTGAATACGTTTTTAAAATGCTAAAACATTTTTTGGAATTAGCATTGATTTTTTAAGGGAATCTCCTGTGGCTAGAGCAGCGTATCTTTAATTGATTTGGAGTTAGAGAATAATACATTTATAGAAAAGACAATCACATTTTACATAAAAATCAATGCCATTTTGCCATGTAAAGGCTTCTGGGAAGCTGACTGAAGATGTGAATCTTGAGGCATTCCCTTTTATACGTTCAAATGAAACATTTATTCATTACTTTCTTATTTTGTAGGACTGTTATGTAATCAGAAGCAGGATTTCATGCAAAGTGTGGACATACATTATGATTTTCCTAATTACCACACTGCATTTTAATAGAAAAAAACCCATCAAAATTATTGAATTTAGCCCTGGAATTCAAAACAAAAACTATTTAAAATAATATTTTTCCTACGTTTTCAAAAATTTTCCCATTTTGAGAAGCCTACATTATCATATTTCTTTGAGCGCTTACTTTACTTCTTTTTCTTCTTGAAAACTTAGAAAAGCATTGATACTGGGTATTGTTTTTTACTTTATAACCAGTGGTTCTCAATCCTGGCTATACATTAGAGTCAAGTGGGTTGCTTTTATTTATTTATTTACATTGTTTTAGTTTTTATTTATTTATTTACATTGTTTTGTTTTTTATTTACATGATTGTTTTTTAGAGACAGGTTCTTGCTCTATCACCCAGGCTGGAGTGCAGTGGTACAATCATAGCTCACTGCAACCTCAAATTCCTGGGCTCAAGTGATCCTCCTGCCTCAGCTTCCTCAGTAGCTGGGACTACAGGCATGTGCCGTCACTGGGTTGCTTTTAAAAAATAACAACACGCGGGCCTTAGGCACCCCTGGGGGTGAGAGTTTGTCACTGATATTCTTTAAAAGCTCCCCAGTAATTTTAGCATACAGCTAGGTTGAGACTGTTATTTAAATGATCACTAGAAATGGTGAATTTTATGGTATGTAAATTATACCTCAATAAAACTGTGTAAAACAATAATCACCAACAGGTATCTAAAGCCTCACTGACATAAAGTGTCTCACCCATATGACTATCAGGTGCCAACAGGCCCAGTTTCCCCAGGATCGAGAGGTTTCCCCACACGAGGGACTTGCAGTGCTATAAAACTGGGAAAATCCTGGGAAAACTGGAAGAGGTGGTCACACTGTAGTATGGAAGAGATGGCTTTTCTAGATAGAAAAGAACATTTTTCCCTTCTTGGTAAAGGTTATTTGAGGAGAAACAGAGGTGGTTCTAGCTTCTTGCCCTTCTCAAAGACACTCATTGTAGCCACTTCTTGACCTCATACTCACTCATGAACACCTTGTCCTTTGACTTCAAACTCCACCACCTCACTGAAATTACCCTCTTGGAGATGACCAATGACTTTGTAATCACCAAATCCAGTGACTCATCAGTGTCTTCTGCTGATGCCTTTACCCCTTCCTTCTTGCTTTCTGTGGCATAGTATTAGAGTGTTTTTCCTACTCTCCTTGAACCATTGCTATTGCCTTTGTTAGCTCTGTTTTTTTTTTGTTGTCTAGGTGTAGGCATTTTTCATGGTTCTGTTGTCGGCTCTTTTCTTGCCTATATATACTTATGATTTCACCTGTTTCCTTTCTGCATAGATTCCTATTGTCAGTAGCTGTTTTCATGACCAGGACAGCCTTTCCCTCTCAGTATCTATGGCCCTAATGGGGTAATAGAAGAGAGAAAGACACACACCTGCTTGCACAATCTTAGAAAACTTTATTGTCTTCATAGTGAGTCCTGACATTATAGGGGGCAGATATGTAACGTGACACATCAAGACAAATTTATAGTAGTTAACTTTGACAAAGGTTCATATTTCCTGCCTCAGTAAATTGCAAACCCCATGAAAAACTCTGTATTGTCTCCCTAGCATTTGGCAAAGTGCCTGGTACATAGTAGGCACTAAATAAGGAGCTGTGCATCTTCAATAGCAACACATTTGCTGTTGTTTCTCAGTTCAGCCTTTCTTACACCATTCTCAGTCACATGCCAAAATTAGTAGAGGGAGATGGGAAAGGCCTGATTGCCGATGAAGGGGTATGGCCTGAGGGTTCTCTTAAGTTCTCTCGGTATTTTGTGACATATAGTATTTACCTAGGAGCCCTGGAAAAGTTTCCGGATGGATCTAGATACTTTAAAGATAAAGCTATTCCCATCCCAATTTCCATTAAACCTCAAGTTTCCATAAATGATAACAACACTGTGTAACTGTATCCCAGTTCCAAAATAACCACACAATATTCTAAGTAAAGAGGAAAGCAGGGAAATAGTCTGTAGGGAGCCTAGAAGAAAGGGAGTCAAAGGGGAAGACTCGGACATCATGTCTCTTCTGTTTAGAACGTTGGTGGACAGATCATAGCAGATGCTTTACTGCACCTTGGCAAATGTCTCTCTATGGGTCTAATGAGCTGCGTGAGGCTAAGCTAGCCAATGGAGATTGTTCACCTAATTCTATCTCTGATTTTGTGATCAGCAAGCAGGAGTCAGATTATGTTGTAGCAACCAACATGGACTTTTCTACAGGTACGAACTAAGCAATGTGAGCTCTAGAGTTGAGTTGACAATTATGTTTCTCACTTTAAAGTTTGACTTTACGTTAGTCTGTAGCTGTAGCATGCATTAGTTGTCCCAAGGCCAGTCATCTCTGGATGCACTGACAAAATGGAATTTTTCATTTGACCTGCAAAACTGGAAGAATATAGTGGCTACATCAAGGAGACAACACTGTGAAACAGCAAGCTGACCCGAGACAACGTGTCTGGCTTTCCTTTTCTACCTCTGAAATTCCTATTTCATATCTCTAGCTCTAACTTCTCTTGAGTTCCAGTCATCTGGGCATCTCCACCTTTGTATCCCAGGCCCATCTCAAACTCATTTTTTTTTTTGGTGTCAGGGTCTCACTCGGTCACCCAGGCTGGAGTGCAGTGGTGCAATCATGCTTCACTGCAGTCTCCACCTCCCAGGTTCTAGTGATCCTTCCATCTCAGCTTCCTGAGTAGCTGAGATCATATTTTTATTTTTTGTAGAGATGGGGTTTCCCTGTGTTGCCCAGGTTGGTCTCAAACTGAGACCAGCGATCCTCCTGAGCTCAAGTGATCCTCCCACCTCGGCCTCCCAAAGTGTTGGGATTACAGGTGTGAGCCACCTCAGCTGGCCTCAAACTCATTCCTAAGTGCAAATTACTAACCTCAAACTTCCAATCCTGTATTGTACCTGCTTTGGATTTCTTCAGAGGACTTCTAGCTTGCATAGCACTTACTTGTTTTATACATTGTTTGTTTCCCTCCACCACAATATAAGGTCCATGAGACAAGAGTTTGTGTATGTTTTGTTCATTGCTGTATTCCCACTACCAACAATAGTGCCTAATATGCAGTGGGTATTCGATGGATATTTGTTGGGTGAATGGAGTCCTTTCAGTCTTGTTTTCAAATATCTTTTAGGTTAATGTTGTCCTTTCCCTTCTTATTGACACCATTACGTTAGACTATGAAATAGAATCTACCAAGTCTCATATAATCTAGGTTTCTGTTACTTTAATCCTGTGCATCATTGCCAGATCAATCCTACTTGGAAATTATCTCTCATTGTGTCACTCCCTTAGTTGTAGCTCAATACTGTTTAAATATAGGATCTTCAGCCAGGCATTTGGAGCTACCACAATATGACCCCAATCTGTCACTTCAATTTTCTTTCGTGTGATTCCTTTACAGATGCCTTATAGTACAACCAAATTGGGCTGCTTGTTCTTTGAGTATTTCTTGAACTTTACTACCTCTGTACTTCTCCCATTCAGTTACTTTGCTCAGGAATGCCCATTTCCAGCTGTTTCTGTTGGTATTTGCTTTTGTGTAGCTAATAATATTCATAGATGACTATTTTAAAATTTATCCATTTAAAAAATTGACATTGTGGTCAGATGAGGATTTAGCTCTTTTATACTATCACACTTCACCTCTGTGCCACACAGCTTCTGTTTTTCCCTCCGGTTCCTCTGTCCTATATGGGCCACATCAACAGCTTCTGTGCCTCTGGCTCCTTGCTGGGTTTGGACAGTGGCATGTTCAAGGGAGGGAGGTGAGGCAGGTGACGGAGGTGAGGGTGTTTATTACCCCAACTCTCTTCCACTGTCCCTCAAACGAAGGTTATTGTTCCATTCAATACGGCCTCCTTTTCACAGACTTCTTTTGGATTTTGGTCAGCTCCCTCCCTCTTTCTTTGGACCTAGGGGACCCAACCCTGGGTTATTAAATATCCCTGTGATTTCCTTACATGCTGCCCACATTTTTGGAGATGACATTTTTATAAAGAAACGCCTCTGGTTAATCCTAATCTGAATGCACCCTCTGCTTTCTGTTGGGATTTGGCTGACAGATGTATTCTCTCTGCATCCTCCCAATTTAGTTATATTAAAATTTTTGTTACACCAATATTATTATTGTTATTTTTTTTTTGAGACAGAATCTCTGTCACCCAGGCTGGAGTGCAGTGGGGTGATCTCAGCTCACTGCAGCCTCTGCCTCCTGGGTTCAAGAGATTCTCCTGCCTCAGCCTCCCAAGTAGGTGGGACTACAAGTGTGCATCACCGCACCTGGCTAATTTTTGTTTTTTTTGTAGAGATGGGATTTCACCATGTTGGCCAGGCTGGTCTTGAACTCCTGAGCTTCAGTGATCCACCCACCCCGGCCTCTCAAAGTGCTGGGATTACAGGCGTGAGCCACCACACCTGGCCAAAATCAATATTATTTATAATAATATGACATTATAAATATCATAGTGTTCCCCCAGCAAATTTCCTTTCTGATACAGCCTTTTGTTTTTTCACAAATCGGTTATTATCTTATTTGCTCATTTGCTTAGTTTATGTGGAGCTTTTTTTTTTTTTTTTTTTTTTTTTTTTTGAGATAGATCTCCTCTGTCACCCAGGCTGGAGGACAGTGGCGTGATCTCAGCTCACTGCAACCTCCGCCTCTCCAGTTCAAGCGATTCTGCTTCTCAGCCTCCCGAGTAGCTGGGACTATAGGCGCATGCCACCATGCCTGGCTAATTTTTGTTTTTTTGTAGAGACGGGATTTCACCATGTTGGCCAGGCTGGTCTTGAACTCCTGAGCTCCAGTGATCAGCCTGCCCTGGCCTCCTGAAGTGTTGGGATTACAGGCGTGAGCCACCATGCCCAGCCTATGTGTAACTTTTGCCGCTTCTTCCTAGAAAGACAGTTGAACAGATTAGACATTCTATTTCTTCTGGAAATTTCCCTCCTGAGTCTTACCGTCTTTTTTTTTTTTTTTTTTTTTTTTTTTCAATCATGCTTAGGAATAGTCTAGGCTTGCATTCAATATCTCTGGAATCCTAAGACTTTTTCTTGGTTTACTCCTTTGATTTACTGAAAAATATATAACAGTAGTTTCCTAAGAAGTGAGAGGCAAATTCTTTGAGGTCTTGACTCTCGAAAAAGTTCTTGATAATTTGGTTGGGTACAGAATACTGTGTTGAAAATGGCTTTTCCCTCAGGATTTTAAAAGCATTGCTTTATTATCTTTTATTATCTTGTGTTTTTGATGAGAAGTGCAATACCATTCTAATTTTCTAACTTTTTTTTTTTTTCAAGACAGAATCTTGCTTTGTCACCCAGGCTGGAGTGCAGTGGCGTGATCTCGGCTCACTGCAACCTCCACCTCCTAGGTTCAAGCAGTTCTCCTGCCTCAGCCTCCCAAGTAGCTGGGATTACAGGTGCCCACCACCACACTTGGCTAATTTTTGTATTTTTAAGTAGAGACGGGGTTTCACCATGTTGATCAGGCTGGTCTCGAACTCCTGACCTCATGATCTGCCCACCTCAGCCTCCCAAAATGCTGGGATTACAGGCGTGAGCCACCTCACCCAGCTTTCCTAACTTTTGAATGTGATTTTAAGAAGTGTTTAGAAGATGAATCTTTGTGTTAGTCGTTTGATTTTTTTCACTGTGATTGACCTGTGATACATCCTTTCACTCTGGATATCTGTGTCCTTAAGTTCTTATCATTTTTTTTCTTGCAATATTATAGAATACGTTCTTAGCTGCCTGCTCAACAGACATTCTCTTCATATTCTTTGCTAACAGAATCCCGTTTTTATCCGGGCAACAATGCGTCCAGACCTACAGGATAGATACATCATGATTGTTAAAACAAATCATGGTAATCCCCTTTCCGTTTGCCAGATGCAGCATTTACTGTTCCAGCTTACCTTGTAACTAAGGGTGGCTATGTGATACCTTTCTTCTGGTCAATACGATAAAGGAAGTATTCTCGGGGGAGGAGAGGCTTCAGGGAATGGTTTTATTTTCCAATATAAGCCACAAGCATAGGAAGAGCTTATTGTGTTACCACTTTTCTCTTCTTTGGATTTGACTGTGAGAGAGCATATTGTCACCTTAAAATTGTAATAGCCATCTTACAGTCAAGTGGGGACAAGCCTAAGGCAAAATGCCAAAATACTGAGACTGTCAGAGTTGATTGAGTCAGTACATCAAACCAGGCACAGTTCCTCCAGACTTCATGTTATCTGAGATAATGGAACACTTTCATTATTTTAGCCAGTTTTTGCGGGTATTTTGTCAGGGGCAGGCAAATGACTTCTGATTGGAGCATAGTCCTTTGATAAGTTTTTCTCTTCATTTTCCCTGTCTGTTTCTGGAACTTCTATTAGCTGGAGCCCCTGGATTCATTTCTTTACCTTTTCCCCTCTTCCTTTTCCCCATCCCCTTTCTCACTGTTCTAATTTCCTGGGAAATTTCCTCAATTTTAGCCCCAACCATTCTACTAAATTATTGATTTAAGCCATCAGGTTTTTAATCTCATAAATGTAACATTTTTTAAGAATTAGAGGCTAGTAATTATTGTTTTGAAAAGTTTTCTTCTGCTACCTGCATTGTCTTTATTTCTTCTGAATTCCTTTTCTACACTGTTGTCTTTAGGGTAAAGGTATTCCTCAACTGTTGGGTGATACTAGGCTGTCTTTTTATATTTGCAAATGGTTCTTAAAAGTTGATTGGGAGCTTTATGTATATGGATGGACTTCCTTATATGTGATGAGGCAGCAAGCAAGCTTTTTTGTTTTTGAGACCCCAAAATAGCAGTTTCTATAGATCTTTTAGGATTTTAAATTTCTTCAAAGAAAATCATCAAAGGAATATACAGATACATGCAAGCATTCTAGGAGTAGCGTAGGTGAAAGTGATTATAGGCCCCACAGTTTACTACCTAGACTTTCACTTAATCCTTCTGTGATGTACTGCTAAATATTAACAACTAGTTATGTGAAAGGGGGAAAAAAAGACCTGATTTGTAGCATTTGCCAACATCTGTGTGTCATTATTCTCAACATGGCCAATTTCAGCCTACCAACATGATGTCATTTAATGTGGAGTTGGGAAGATACACATAGTAGCTTGCCATCATCACATAGTATTTCTACCATACGAACACAATAGGCGTAAATAACCTCGAGGAAATAGTAAAATATAGTAAAAATAATTAGGCAGTTATAAGCTTTGAATATTGATTATGTCTGTTTTTAATACAATTTATTTAATTGTAAGCTTATATAATTTAAGTTTTTTCAATGGCACTGTTTAACAACTGGCTTGCCAAATTCCTGAAAATTTAGCAATCAGTTCTTGTGAGCTGGTACAAACTAGTTCCAGAGCATCACTGCTGTTTCCAGTCCTAGGCCCAACCCTCACCATTTACTGTGTCTGGCCTTCCTGATTCTGGAGCCTCTATTGCTGATTTTCTCCTGAGAATATAGTTCTGGTAGCCTGCAAGGTGTGGTGGTGAAGGATAAAGGATAAAGAGTTATGGCCTAAATGTATGGGTTGTGACTGAGTAAAACTAGGAATCTATAGCTTATTCTACAGGCTTTTGACAAATCCCTATATTTTCAGCCACCTACCTAAGCACTTGCCTTCGACAGTGCCTAGCACCACAGATTCCTGAGCCCTCTTTGTCTCTGCCAGTAAAAGAAGCTTCTCTGCAGACACCAAAGAGCAGTGCCTCTGCCTTCCTGGGTCAGGTGCTGCTGTTCTACCTGCTTCCTCTCTTCTAAGATGTTGACATCACTTCTTGGTTATTATCTTTTCTCCCATTCTCTTTGTCCTTGTGGATTTATGCCTTTTATATGTCCTTTCTACATTTTAGTGGCAGCAGATAAATAAGTGTATTCAGTTAGGTTTGTTTAACTGGAAGAATAGCTCAATAAGTATTGCATTTAAAATTTGTTGAATTGACTTAAGATTCCTGGAGTTGTTGTAGCAGCAACTAAACTCTGTCAATTGTTGCTGCTGTCAGTTAGCAGGAACTCTGTCAATTAGCAGGAACTCACCAACTACTGATTTATTTAGTGTATTATTGTATCCTAGGCTATTAGATACCCACTTTGATTTTTCCTCTATTCTTTCCTTAAAATGAACTTTTTATTTTAGAGTAGTTTTAGATTTACAGAAAAGTTACAAAGACTGTACAGAATGTTCTCATATACCCTTACCCAATTTTCCCTATTATAAGTATCTTAGTATGTTACATTTGTCACAATTAATGAACCAATACTGATACATTACTATTAATTAAGGTCCATACTTTATTCAGGTCTCCCTAATTTTTACATAATGTCCTTTTTCTGCTCCAGGATCCTCTTCAGGATACCACATTACATTTAATCAGCATATCTCCTTAGGCAAGTCTTGGCTGTGACAGTTTTCAGATTTTCCTTGTTTTTGATGACTTTGACAATTTTGGAGAGTACAGATTAGGTATATTATAGAATGTCCCTCAACTTGGATTTGTTTTTCTCATCATTAGACTGAAGTTATGGGTTTTTGGGAGGAGGACCACAGAAGTTAAATGTCATTTTAAATATATCGTATTAAGGGTCTGCAATACTTAATGCAATTCTGATGCTAACCACTTGGAGTAGCACAGACTCCAAGTTAAGGTCACAATCCCCAGCAAGACTGCTCTCACTTCAGATGCTAGCCATACGTTTGGGGGTTCCCAGGCCACCCACACTTCTGCCCAACTAACTACACATTCAGGGGTTCCCACAAGCCCTTCAGCTTTGATAATTCCCTAGAATGACTCACGGAACTCAGGGAAGATCTATACTTACGATTATAAAGCACACAAATCAGGGACAGCCAAGTGAAGAAACACATAGCAAGAGGCCAGGGAGAGCCTCAAACACAAACTTTCATGTCCTCTCCCCATGGAGTCAGAATGTGTCACGCTCCTGGCACATCAATGTGTTCACAACTGGAAAGCTCTTCTGAGCTGTGGTGTCTGGAGTTTTGAATTAGAATTTCATTACACAGGCATGATTGATTGAATTATTAGCCACATTTTTGAACTCAGTGTCTGGGACCCCTCCCCTCCATGGAGTTGATTGAGCTGTGTTGATATCACCTGGCTCAAAATCTCCAAGTCTCTAATCACATGATTGGTCTTTCTGGCATGCCAGCTCCCATCCTGAACTATCTTATTAGCATAAATTCTATGATCTGAGGGGCTCATGAATAACCGTCACTCTTATTACTTGGGAAATTCCAAGTACTTGGCATCTTCCTCCCAGGAACCAAGGATGAATGAAGGCCGGTCAAATTCTTTACTATACAGCATACTATCAACATGACATATCACTGATGATGGTGACCTTGATCACCAGGCTGAGGTAGTGTTTGTCAGGTTTCTCCACTGTAAAGTTATTCTCTCCCCTCACCTTTTCCGTACTCTACTCTTTGGAAGGAAGTCACTACAGGCACTTCAGATATAAAAAGTTATGCCCAACCTCCTTGAGGGGTAAATATTTACATTAAATTAATCGGAATACTTTGACAAGAGAGATTTATATCTTCCTCCTGTTTATCTATTTATTAATGATTTACTTTATATCAGTGTGGGTTCATGAATATTTTATACTTTGGTTATAATCTAATAGAGCTTTATTTTACTACTCACGTTGTTCTAGCCTTGGTTGTTGGGAAGTCTTGCAGAGGCATCTTGTGTTCCTTTGACTTCCTCCCGCCACTGTGAATTGTTTTGTTTTTGTTTGTTTTTAGCACTTCCTTTCTTGTACTACAAGATGCTCTAAGCTCATCTTCTGTTTCCTGCCCCAGTCCTAGAGCCAGCCATTTCTCTAGAGAGCACTGGTTTTTTGAAATTGGAGAATACGTTTTATCTACATTCTTTTTAATCATTTTCTTTTCTTTCTGACTTTTGTTTAAACTTTATTTTTGGAAATAATATAGCTAGTCAGTGCTCATTCTCATTTTGGGTGAGATTACTGAGATACAGAAACTGTAAATCAGGGTCTGTCTTTCCTCTTGCACAGGAGACAAAAACAGCATTTTAAGTAAAAATTGCAGTTGCAAAGACCCGGAGTGTTTTCTTTTTGATAACCCCCATAATCCCAGAAGGGATGGAATTGTCTAAAATGAAAAAGAGAAGCACAGTTCAGGGAGTTGTTGGATGAGACTACGGAAACAGCAAGAGAAAACATGATTTTGACTTCATGATTTTTGTCTAGAATTTTATTTTGGAGATTTAACACTGGAATTTCATCTCTGGGAGGCCTGGGATATCTATTTTCTTACCAACATTTTATGTTATGAAGAATTTAAACATTTAACAAAGATGAAATAATTTTAGCCTGAAATAATTTTATGGTGAACTCTGTTGATATCACCTAGATTTTATCATTAACTGTTTATACTCCTTGTTCTATCACATATCTGTTTATCCCTCTGTCCATCTATTAATCTTCTTATTTTTGATATATTTTAATTGCAGACATCAGTATACTTCCCCCAATACTTCAGCATTTGTGTCAATAGCTAGAGTTCAATATTTACTTACAGTTTTTAAAATGTAAAATTTATATACAATGAAATGTGCAAAGTGTCCATCCATCAACAGATGAATATATAAAGAAAATGTGGTATATATACACAATAGGATATTATTCAGCCATAAACATAAATAAAATATAGTCATTTGCAACAACATGAATAGAAGTGGAGCCATGTTGGCCAGGCTGGTCTCAAACTCTTGACCTCAGGTGATCCGCCTGCCTCAGCCTCCCAAAGTGCTGAGATTACAGGCATGAGCCACTGTGCCCAGCCTTAATTGCCTTTTATTTATGAAAATACCACAAGTTTAAAATCCATTATTTTATTGACTGGGCATTTTCCTACTTGAGACTACTACGAAAAAAGCTGTTATGACCATTTCCGATTAAGTCTTGTTGGCTATATGTTTTCATTTCTCTTCGGTAAATGCTTAGCAGTGCAATTGCTAGGTCATAGAACAGGTGTATATTTAAGCCTCATAATGCCAGACCACTTTCCAAAATGGTTGCACCACTTAAAATTTCCTCTAACAAAGTGTATGAAAGTTCCGATTTCCTCACAACCTTGTCAGTGTTTGGTTTTGTCAGTTCTTTAAATATTTGAGATTCTGGTGATTATGTAGTGATACATCATTGTAGTTTTAATTTGTATTTCCCTGTTGACTAATGATACTGAGCACTTTTTCATGTGCTCATGGCTATTCATGTAGCTTCACTTTTATGAAGCATCTTTTCAAACCTTTTGTCTATTTTTCAATTCAATTTTTTTTTGTGTGTGAGTTCTGGTATTTCTTTATATTTTAGATCAGTGCTGTCCAATAGAATTTCCTACATTTGTTCAAAATGTTCATTGTAAAATGTGTCTAGTGTAATTGAGAAAAAAACTGTATTTAATTTTGATCAATTTACGTTGATATAGCTACATTGACTGATGACTACCATATCAAATAGTGTAGTTCTAGATATGAGTCATTTTTGGATACATGTTTTGTGAATATTTTCTCCCAGTCTGTGGCTTGGCTATTCATTTTCTTTTTTTAAAAAAATTAAAAACAAAATTTTTAAGTTTTATGGAAGTATGGTAGTTGTATATATTTATGGGGTACATGTGAGATTTTGATATAAGCATATAATGTGTAATGATCAAATCAGGGTAACTGGGATAACCATCACCTCAACCATTTATTTTTTTTTTTTTTTTGGGGTTAGGAAGATTCCAATCCCACTCTTCTATTTATTTTTAAATATACAATGAATTATTATTAACTGTAGTCACCCTATGTTGCTACTGAACACTAGAGCTTATTCCTTCTATCTAACTGATTTTTGTACCTATTAACCAGCTCATATTTATCGCCCTTCCACACTGCCTTTCCCAGCCTCTGATAACCATCAATGTATTCTCTATCTTCATGAGATCAAGTTTTTCACATATGCGTGAGAACACATGATATTTGTCTTTCTATGCCTGGCTTATTTCACTTAACGTAATATCCTCCAGTTCTATTCATGTCGTTGCAAGTGACAAGATTTCATTCTTTTTTATGGCTGAATTATATCCTATTGTGTATATATACCACATTTTCTTTATCCATTCATCTGTTGATGGATGGACACTTAAGTTGATTCCATATTTTGGCTATTGTGAATACTGCTGCAATAAACATGAGAGTGCAGATATCTCTTTGATATGTTGACTCTCTTTCTGGTTATATACCCAGCAGTGGAATTGCTGGATCAAATGGTGTTTCTAGTTTTTTATTGTTTTGTTTTTTTTTTTGAGACGGAGTCTCCCTCTGTTGCCCAGGCTGGAGTTCAGTGGCGTGAACTTGGCTCACTATAACCTCCGCCTCCCGGGTTCAGGTGAGTCTCCTGCCTCAGCCTCCCAAGTAGCTGGGACTACAGGCACCTGCCACCACGCCCAGCTAATTTTTGTATTTTTAGTAGAGACGGGGTTTCACCATTTTGCCCAGGCTGGTCTTGAACTCCTAACCTTGTGATCTGCCTGCCTCGGCCTCCCAAAGTGCTGGGATTACAGGTGTGAGCCACCGCACTTGGCCAGTTTTAGTTTTTTGAAGAAGTTCCATATTTTCCATAGTGGCTGTACTAATTTATATTCCCACCAACAGTGTAGAAGGGTTCCCCTTTCTCCACATCTTCACCAGCATCTGTTATTGCCTGTCTTTTTGACAAAAGCCATTTTAACTGGGGTGAGATGATATCTCATTACGGCTTTGATTTGATCTGATAATTAGTGATGTTGAACATTTTTAAAAAACCTGAATATCTGTATATATTTATTTGTACATCTTCTTTTGAGAAATGTCTATTCAGATCTTTTTCTCACTTAAAAATCAGACTTTTTTTTTTCTGCTTTTGAGGTGTTTGAGCTTCTTATGTATTCTGGTTATTAATCCCTTGTCAGATGGGTAGTTTTCAAATATTTTCTCCCATTCTGTGAGTGGTCTCTTCACTTTGTTTCCTTAGCTGTGTAGAAGCTTTTTAGCTTGATATGATCTCATTTGCCCACTTTTGCTTTGTTTGCCTATACTTTTGAGTTCTTACTCAAGAAATCTTTGCCTGAACCAATGTCCTGGAGCATCTCCTCAATGTTTTCTTCTAGTAGTTTCAAGTTTCAGCTCTTAGATTTAGGTTTTTATTTTGATTTGACTTTTGTGTATGGTGAGAGATAGGGGTCTAGTTTCATTCTTTCTCACATGGACATCTAGTTTCCCCAGCACCATTTATTGAAGAGACTGTTCTTTTCCTAATGTATGTTCTTGGTCCCTTTATTGAAAATGTGTTGACTGTAAATGCATGAATTTATTTCTGGGTTCTCTATTCTGTTCCATTGGTGTATGTGTCTGTTTTTATGCCAGTACCATGTTGTTTTGGTTACTATAGCTTTGTAGTATGATTTGAAGTCAGGTGGCTTTGTAATATAATTTGATGCCTCTAGCTTTGTTCTTTTTGCTTATGATTGCTTTGGCTATTCTGGTTCCTTTGTGGTTCCATATAAATTTTAGGATTGTTTTTTCTATTTCTGTGAAGAATGTTATTGGTATTTTGATAGGGTTTGCATTGAATCTGTAGATTGCTTTGGGTATTATGGACATTTTAACAATATTGATTTTTCCAATCCATGAACATGGAGTATCTTTTTCCTTTATTTTTTTCATTAGTGTTTTACAGTTTTCATTTTAGAGATCTGTATTAGTCCATTCTCACACTGCTATAAAGAAATATCTGAGACTGGGTAATTTATAAAGAAAAGAGGTTTAATTGGCTCATGGTTCTGCAGGCTATATAGGAAGTGTGGCTGGGGAGGCCTCAGGAAACTTACAATCATTGTGGAAAGTGGTCATTGTAGAATGTGAAGGGGAAGTAGACACATCTTCACATGGCCAAAGCAGGAGGAAGACTGAGATGGGGGAGTTGCCACACACTTTTAAAAAACCAGATTTCATAAGAACTCTATCAGTAGAACAGCACCAAAGGAGGAAATCTGCCTGCATGATCCAATCACCTCCCATCAGGCCCCACCTCCAACATTGGGTATTACAACTCAACGTGAGATTTGGGTGGATACACAAATCCAAACCATATCAACTTCTTCTCTTTCTCCTTCTCCTTCTTCCTCTCTTCCTCTCCTCCTTCTCCTCCTTCTCTTCCTCCTCCTGCTCCTCCTCTTCCTCCTCCTCCTTCTCCTTCTTCTCCCTCTTTTTTTTTTTTGACGGTCTCACTTCCATTGCCCAGGCTGGCATACAGGGGTGCAATCTTGGCTCACTGTAGCCTCAACTTCCTGGACTCAGATGATCTTCCCACCTCAACCTCCTGAGTAGCTGGGACTACAGGTGCACACCACCATGGCTGGCTAATTTTTTGTATTTCAGTAGAGGGGATTTTGCCATGTTGCCCAGGCTGGTCTCAAACTCCTGGGCTCAAGTGATCCACCTGCCTCACCCTCAAAAATTGTGAGCTGTTGTGCCCAGCTGAGATCTTTCACTTATTTGGTTAAGTTTATTCCTAGGTGTTCTATTTTATTTGTGGCTATTGCAAATTGGCTATTCATTTTCTTAGTGGGATCTTTTGATGTGCAGAAGTTTTAAATTTTGATCGTGCCTAACTTGTACATTTTTTAAAATGGCTTTTGTATTCTGTGACACATCTAAGAAACTTTTGATCACTCCTAAGTCAGGAGTAAATGCTCTCATTTTGCACTTTCTCAAGAAATTTTAGAATCATCTCATTAATTGCTGGGATTATGATTGGGGTTTTGTTGAATCTATAGATAGCGTGCAAGTAACATTGACTTTGATATTTTTAATTTGAGACTTTCAGGAATGGATATCTATGTTGGTCGATGTATTTTAATACTTTGGCGAAAGGAAAACAGGGTCTGATCAGCCTTCTGTGTTTTAGGCAAGAAGAGAGCCTATAATAGTCTACAAAATACTTCTATTTTGTGTTGTTTACTCAGAAGGACTTTGGACAACAATTTCTTTGACTGAAACTGGGGTCAGAGTTGCAGACTCCCTGGAACATGAAAAGTCAATAATCTAGTTCCCAAAAGGCAGACAAGAAACTATTCCCAAGATGAACAAATGATGAGAATAGAGGTAAAGGTGAAAATGATGGTAAGTGTGAAAAATCCATTTATAACACTTCAATTTGTGTTCTTTAAGGAAGAAAATATACCTTGTGCTTTTTCTGGTCTGCAGCATCTCTAAACTATTTGCCTTTATTTTCTCAAAAGTATTTTAGGAACAGTGAAGTTACACAACTTTGTTCTCTTCAGTTCTTATTTTAATTCAATATGAGCTTGGAAGAAGAATCTACAGATTATTTCATTTAATCCCTTCATGGTGTATGAAGTAAACAGATTTAGAGTTAAATGATTTGTCTGAGGCCATGCGGCTAGTTAGTAGCAGAGTTCTGACAACATCCCAGGCTTTTCTATCTCTCTACTCCACTGATATTTCCAGTATGCATTGCTTTTATAATAGCTAACCACTCACTAACTCCTGATCCCCTACAATGTGCCTGGCGCTGTGCTACATATAGGTGATATAAATTATCATTATAATATACTTTTGTTCCTCAAATACCACATAGCTCTATGTAATAGAAGACATATGAAAATAGTAAAAGGGGCCAGGTACGGTGGCTCACGCCTATAATCCCAGCACTTTGGGAGGCCAAGGCGGGCAGATCACCTGAGGTCAGGAGTTTGAGAACAGCCTGGACAACATGGTGAAACCCCGTCTCTACTAAAAATACAAAAATTAGCTAGGTGTGGTGGCAAGTGCCTGTAATCCCAGCTACTCAGGAGGCTGAGGCAGGACAATCGCTTGAGCCGGGGAGGCAGAGGTTGCAGTGAGCCGATATCATGCCACTGCACTCCAGCAGGGGTGACAGAGCAAGACTCTGACCCCAAAAAAAAAAAAAAAAAAAAAAAAAGAAAAAAGAAAAGATTGTATGAGAGAGACCTGACATAGGCTAGCATTGCTAACTTCAATTTATAAAATGAAAGCAATCAAACTGCACCTTAAATTCATGTTCTATTAAATAAAATGTTAACTGTTAAGGAAGGTGAAGTTTAATGCTTGATGAAATTATCAGAGAAGTCTATAGAAAAAGAAAAATTTGAGACAGAATTTCAAGGAATGATGGAATTAGGAAGGGTAGAGGGATTATAAACTATTATAATCGGGACACAACAAATATGTTAATAAAAACTTGAATACCTTATAAATTAAAATGCAATTTCAATGCAGTTCAAGACAAGGACATTACATATGTTTATGGGCTTCTGAAATAAATTACTTTTAACTAAAACTAATGAAACACAGATTTATATGAGAAGCTTAGAGGTAAATTAAGTCGTGAAGTAGGCATTCAGATTTCTTTCTGCAGAAGTAGTGATATTTCCCCCAGGCGCTTCTCTTATGGTAGCTGGTCCTAAGGGAATACTCTTTTGTCAGTAGCATGCAGTAGTCCTGTATAGGTAATAAGAGACCTCCATCTCCATATTGCTTTCAGCAATTTGCCCTAAAACAAATAATCTAAACTCTTTGATTCCTCATTTCCATATGCAGTAATAGGACTAATAATAACTGCCCTGTCAATCTCATGGCAGTTGTGAAAATGAATATATACAATTTTTATTTATCAATTATATTACACCTCAATAAAACTGGAGAAAATGAGAAATGTACAGATTATGGTTCAATGAAGATTCTATGAAGATATTTTTAGGGACAAAATCTGCAGTGTTGTCTGCAGCATTGACTTGGTTGTCTCCAAAGATTATAATAGCATTAATAATATTTTTCCTTGGGTTTAGATAACTCTATGGTGTCTGTGCAGTATGATTAATTGAATGCTTCATATGTACTGAATCTTTTTTCATGAACTAGGCTGATTTACAATGATACAGTTAGCAGTTATTTAGGGTGTCACTGGAAAATTCTTGTTTATATTACTTTTTATTTATACATTATGTACAAAAAATTGCCTTCTTCATGCTTGTATCCATATTATTTACATAATTGAAGAATGATGATGAACTGCTAATGTAGACAGAGAATGGAGATGAAACTAATTTCTTATATAACCACTGAAGAGAAGAGTGGTCATGGAGAGAAGAGTAGAACAAGAATTATAATCATGTTTAATTTTTCTTTCACTTGGAAATGACTTGAGTGGGTTCAACCATTACTAAGAAAAATATAATTTGATTTGTGAAACAAAGAGATTCTAAGAATCTCTTTGTTTCACAAATGTCTCTATTCTCTAGTATCTAATATTAAAATATTATTTTATGGGGTTGGCAATTAATATTATAAAATGAATGAATTATTAATAGTTAATAACATTTAATAACTCTCAACAAAGATTCAAACTACACAAAGGTTTTAATTTTGTAACAAAATGTGCAATTTTTTCCACAAATGGCAAAAAAGAATTGCTCACAAGAAACTATACCTTGACTGTAGACTTATTAAAATCTAGGTTATTGAGTATTAGTTATCTATTGCTGCATAAAAATTGCACAAACTTGGTGGTTTAAGACAATATGCATTTATTATCACACGGTATCTGTGGGTCAGGAATCTGGGCACAACTTGAGTCCTTTGCTTCATAATCTCTCACAAGACTGCACGGAAGAATCTGCTTCCAATCTCACATGGTTGCTGGCAGAATTCAGTTTCTTGCAGGCTGTTGGACTGAGGGCATCAGCTTTCTGTTGGCTATTGGCTGTCCTTTGCTACATGGGCTTTTCCACAGGGCATTTCACAAGATGATAGCTTGCTTTCTCAGAGCCAGTTGAGGGTCTCCTAGCAAGACAGATATACCATGTTGTGTAATATAATCATAGAAGTGATATCTATCAGTTTTGTTGCATTTTATTGATTAGAAGCAAGTTCTAGGTCCTGCTCACTCTCGGGAGGGACTTACACAAGGGTGAGAATACCAAGAGGTGAGGACCACTGGGGGCCATCTTAGAGTCTGTGGAAAAAGAATGGATTAATTTGACATATGGTAGAGTGAAAAGAGAGGGTAAACTCAGATGCTTATTAGCAATTCATATCCAATTAATTCTATAATCCAGAAGCAATTGGTGGGAATGGCTTAATAGAATTTCCAGTTAGCGATATAGTATCACAAACTAATAAGCACAAGGTGCTAAGTACATTATTTTCTTCTTCTGTGATCCTGCTCTGTCTCCAGTGCTGTCAGCTGTGAAATGAGAAAGCCTTCCATCAGACCCTGGAAAAGATGTAAAGAGCTGTACTTCAGAAAAATATTGGAGAAAAGTACAAATCTTAAAAAAATTTTTTTGAGTAGTGCATTTCATCAGCAGATGCTGTCAATTTTGTTATACTGGTAACAGATATCTATGGAAAATGAAATTCTCAACAGCACATTGCCAGCATGTTCCCCCACAAAAACAGCCATGGTTAAATAAAATAGAAATTCTTGCACATGATTAGAAATTTGCAAAAGAGATTAAATGTGGCATTGATATAATAAAGCCTTTGATTAACTAACAAAACTTCATCAGGTATCTAAAAGAGCTGTTTGAATTTCTAACCAAGTCAGAACACCAGCTATTACACTCCTTAAAACAATTATGCCCCAAATTAACATCTTATATGCAAAAACATTTTGTCTGTTTTGAAGACTAACAAAGACTGGAAAAGCATGAGAAAGATGAGTAGTTATCACTTCAATAGTGTTTGGATTATTGAGTTATGGTTAATTGATGGTCTTTAATAGGATTTACAAAGCTAGTATCATAGACGGTCAGGGAAATCCTCTTTCCAAACATTATATAGTTAAGTCACAGAAGATGCTGTGGAAAATAGACCCAAATAGTGCCTATAAGTATAGTTGGTATGAATTGAAGCACTACAAGCAGTGATAGAGCTGTGTGGAAGACAGAAGACAAACATCACACTTTTAAGTTTGCCGATCTACCCTGGAATAAATTGATGTTACAATCCTTGATGTTTGTATTTCTGCTCTGTTGCTCTAAGTGAGAATATAGGATGTACTTTGAGAGATTACAGTAAGTTGTAGGAGTTCCTCACTCATATAAATGGATTGAACAGGGCCAGGTGCGGTGGCTCATGCCTGTAACCCTGGCACTTTGGGAGGATGAGGTGGGAGGATTGCCTGAGCTCAGGAGTTCAAGGCCAGCCTAGGAAACATGGGAAGACCCTGTCTCTATGAATGAATGAATAATAAACAGATTTAATGAATTCTGGATCTGCTGTATTTATCGCATATCATGTATAATATCTTTATGTATGGTTAATAAATTCTAAATAGAAAAGGTTAATAAATGAATCAACAAGATTGGGTACCAGAACACCAAGTAGATAAGATATTATCCAAGCCACACGATTATAGAGAACATCCTCACATTTTGGCAGCAGCATAAAACAGACAAACATCTACATTATCTCATTTTTCCTGAAGAAAACAGAACTTCACATGAGCTGAAATGAATGCTTGGTATCATGATGGGTCTCTGTCATTGTCCTTGGTATGTCCTCTAAAGTAAAAACAGGAAAATCCTCTTCTGAATACCTAATGAAGTAAGGTTTCAGCAAAGTCTTGTAGAAACTTATGTTCTCTAGTCTCTAAGAATTGAAAGGTGGGAGGGGCTTGGCTAAAGGAATACTTGTTTGGTACTGGAGAAAATGAAAAAGCAAAAACATGGGAATTCTGGGGTTCCGTGCCTCGCAAATATTTGTCTTGGGTGACAAATTTTTTTCCAAATTCTGATTGTGTGGCTCCTGTTTCAGGATGGGCTCTTTGAAGCTTTAAACATTAATCAGAGACTATATTCAGGTATAAAGCAAGCCTGTGACCTTTGTCCAAGGATTCAGTTCAGTCTTGTAAATCAGAAATTCAAATGTCAAATCATTCATGATTTATTCAGCTTTGGATATGGGCATTTAGAAACACATGCTGTCAAAGTATAGAGGTGTATTTTTAGTCATTTGAGGCATATTCTCTGAAGTCTATCCCATCTACAAAGATACATACATTTCCTTTATGTAATTTTAAATTATAAGAATGGGGAACGTCTTTGACAGGACTAGTTTATGCCAGTTAAGATGCTGAAAGGCCAGCAAAGTCTTTGATAGGGGAAAGGCCATGAATTTCTAGATCACATTTCATATTGAGAGAGTGGCTCATTGTGGGAGCTATTCACTTAAACAGATTTATTCTATATTTCAATGTGCAAATTAGTATTCAATGTAGCTAAGAGACAGTTTCATGCTTGGAGCCATGAACAGGGAGGTTTGAAAACAAATCACAGTGTGAGGCAAAGTAGGGTCAATTAAGGGGGTTGCCATTTAGACAAGTCCCATAGATGGGATAAGGTTTTCTTTTTGGTGAGCCTTTGGACAGGATGAGAAGGTCAGTTGTGGACAGTAACCTCAAACTAAAGGAACTGAAATAAGTTTCTGAGCTTTATTCAGTATATTCAACAGAGACAAACTGTCCAAGATACCCTATTCTTCCTTAGTGAGTTGAGCAAGGGAGTGGATCACACGTTCTCAGCTGACATTGACACAGCCTGAGGCCTATGGAAAGGGAATGAGGTAGTCTTCTTATCTGTGAGGGAATCTGAAACTTCAGTGAGTCCTTAGTCACCTAAGAAGGGTTGTCTTTTGGGAGGAACGAGGGCAACCTTACAGGTATAAATCCTTCCTTTTTAGAAAACAATACAAGGTATTACTCTACACATAATTAGGAGATATTCAAAAGAATCTTCTTTATTTTGATCAGTATTTATTTATTTATTTATAAATTTCTGTCAGGGTGGGGGAAAATCTTGTTCAATACAGATTCCACCAGGATTGTAGCTAAGTCACAGACAGCCTATGCAGTGTCCAGATATCCACATGCTGAGGTGAACTTCATCTTCAAGGTATTTATCTATGCATACCAGCATCCATGGAGATGCTAATAACTAACCATGCAGATTGTTGCCAAATGTTCCCTAATTCTTGACCTTAAGGACTCTTTAGGATCAGCATTCTCTTAGCCACTTTGTGGCTCACTCAGATCTATCTATCTGCCTAAACATAACACTCAACCATTCTTATTCTGTGGTTCTGCCACTGCACTGAGCTCCACCTGGTAATGGGGACATTGATTCTGTTGTTTTCACATCCCCCAAGCTGATTTGGGGTTCTGTTGTCCCCCCTCCCCACTAGAGATTAATCTTGGGTGAACAGGAGAGAGGTAGTCTCAGAGTATGGGAGTCCTTCTTATTCGCTGTAACAGGCACAGATTATTGTAGCTCAAATAACAGAAATCCTAGCCAACAGTGGCTTAAATATCTCACATAACCAGAGGTCTGGAAATGCAGACCAGGACTGGTATAGCAGCTTAGTTATACTGCCAAGAATTCATCTTCTTGCCATATTTCCTCTTTGTCTTCCTCAGCTTTTGGCTTCTATTATTGTGGTTGTCATTATTGTGCTTTTCATGTTCACAAGATGACTGCCACATCTCCATGTCACATCCATGGTCAAGGTGGGAAAAAGGAGTTAGCACCAACTACGTTCCACTCAATCAGAAAAGCAAAAGCTTTCTCAGAAACTTCCCAGAAAAATTTCCCTTTACCACATTGGGTTAGCCAATTACAAATGACTGGTACAAGAACCCATGGATATTTAAGTTCTCAGTTTTCTTCAGATTCTCTTCATCCCTCATAATCCCAGGAAACTTGTTATAGTCTGTCTAGGACAGATACTAACTTGGCTCATTGACTACCCACTTCCAGTCACATTCTCCATTGCTTTCCTCTACTCTACAGGTTAGAGAGCTCTAAATGCTTAATTTCTCAGTTTCTCTTGGTTCTAAGGATGGTCATGTGACCCGGTTCTAGCCAGTCGGGTGTGTGTGTGTGTGTGTGTGTGTGTCTTCCTTTCCTGAATAAAAAAGGCAAAGGCTCACTAGGAAATTCTCTTTGTCATTCCCTCCTCTTCCTATATGGAACATAGCTTTGATGCCTGAAGGTACAACAAACATCTCATGACTATGAGGGGATGAAAATGGATACCAAGGATACCAAGATGATGGAACAAAAAGAATTGATTTGGAACATGACGGCACTATGGATTCATCGTATTGGACCTCTGTGATATAATTCTGAACTTTTCATATAAGACTAATATACCCCTACTTGTTTAATACAACTGTAGAGTTATCTGCTACTTGCAGCCAAATGTAATCCTAACTAATATAGGCAATAAATCATGTTTTTATATCACTATGTAGGTCTTCCAATCTATTGTCTTTGCCAGAGCTGTCTCCATTCTTCTAAAAGGTCCCAACTTCCAAAATTCAAAACCAAGAAAACAACCTCTTTTCTCTGACATTTTTATTGGGTCAGACATTTTGCTGTGTCAGAAAATGATTCCATATAATTTGTCCAAATGGGGAAGGGCTATGCGAGATACAAGGAATTATAGGGAGAAAATTATTGACACATATTTAAAAATATATCTCAGCATAGTTACAAATACACAGAAACCCATCCAAATTAGACTAAGACAGTAAATTTATTGGGTGGATGTAAGTATATCTTATGGACCTAAGGATAGGAAGTCCGGTTGAACCTCATTATGAACTGGAACCAGGAACTGAAAAGTTATGAACCAGTGCAGCTCTTCTCCCTTTCCTCTATGGTAACATGATCTCTTATGATCTACTTTCTTCTTCTCTCTTGCATTGGCTTTATCTGCTTCTGCATGCACATAGTAGAAAATAGTAATTTCAACTGTATTAGCTCAAAGACAAACTAAGATTGACTAACACCTGTTACTTTTATTTTCCAGGCTCTCTGGAGAATTAATCTGATTGGTCAATTTTTTGGTTGTACATCAGTCTTTAGTCCAATTAGTGACCTTGGGAATGGGGTCAAATGACTTAGCAATTCTTAGGACCAAAGGAGAATACCCTTTTGAAAAGAGGCCATGGATATGTATATGTGTGTCAGTGTTTTTTGGAGAAGAAACATCTCTACTACTCTCCTAAAATTTTAATTTGGGGAAAGGTAAACCAAAGTAATGATTCAGCCATTCTACAAACATTATTCTCACTTGCTCCTCCTCTTATGTTTTCTCTCAGGGAATTCATCTAGTTGCTCATGTCATAAACCTCTACACAACCAATGATTACCACAATAGCTAACAATTACTAACTCTGTGACAGCTGTTCTACATGCATTATCTTAAGTTCAACCTCACAACAACCATAGAAGTAGGAATTAACTATTTTATTGATAACAAAGTGAAATTTAGAGATGTTAAGTCAAGCCTTCAAGAGAGAGACCTCATGTCTCCTTGTCTCTGATCTTGCCCCGCTGATCCATTTCTTTTTTAACCCAGTAATCATAGTGGTATTTCTAAAACACAAATCTGATGTTACTTTCCTGCTTAAAATCCTTCTATAGTTCCCTTAGGATAAAGTCCAAATTTCTTTACAAGATATATACAGCCTTTCTTGATTTAGGCAACCTCCATCTAACCAACCTTCACTCCATCCTCATCTCTTTTAGTCACTTTGTCCTAAGTTGCACAGATCATTTACAGTTCTTAACAATCCAGAAAAGAAATGTATTTTCTACTCCTCTTGTGTTCTCTCTTCTTTTCTCTCTTCTTTCTTTTTTTATTTTTATTTTTGATATCTTTTTTATTTTTTTATTTTTATTTTTTAGTATTTATTGATCATTCTTGGGTATTTCTCGGAGCGGGGGATTTGGCAGGGTCATAGGACAATAGTGGAGGGAAGGTCAGCAGATAAACATGTGAACAAGGGTCTCTGGTTTTCCTAGGCAGAGGACCCTGCGGCCTTCCGCAGTGTTTGTGTCCCTGGGTACTTGAGATTAGGGAGTGGTGATGACTCTTAACGAGCATGCTGCCTTCAAGCATCTGTTTAACAAAGCACATCTTGCACCGCCCTTAATCCATTTAACCCTGAGTGGACACAGCACATGTTTCAGAGAGCACGGGGTTGGGGGTAAGGTTATAGATTAACAGCATCCCAAGGCAGAATAATTTTTCTTAGTACAGAACAAAATGGAGTCTCCTATGTCTACTTCTTTCTACACAGACACAGTAACAATCTGATCTCTCTTTCCTTTCCCCACATTTCCCCCTTTTCTATTCGACAAAACCGCCATCGTCATCATGGCCCGTTCTCAATGAGCTGTTGGGTACACCTCCTAGACAGGGTGGCGGCTGGGCAGAGGGGCCCCTCACTTCCCAGACGGGGTGGCCGGGCAGAGGTGACTCCACCTCCCGGACGGGGTGGCGGCCGGGCGGGGTCTGCCCCCCACCTCCCTCCGGGACGGGGCGGCTGACCGGATGGGGGCTGCCCCCCACGTCCCTCCCGGACGGGGCAGCTGGCCGGGCGGGGGCTTTTCTCTCTTCTTTCATCTTTCTTCCTTCTACTCTCTTCTTCTTTCTTCTTCCTTCTTCTTTCTTCTCCTTTTAATTTCCTCTTCCTCCTTCCTCCTTCCTTCTTTCTTCTTCTTCTGACAAGGTGTCACTCTGCTGCCCACGCTGGAGTGCAGTGGTGCAATCATAGCTCACTGCATCCTTGAACTCCTGGCTCAAGCAATCCTCTTGCTTTGGCCTCCCAAAGTGTTGGAATTACACGCGTGAGCCACCATGCCTAGCCTTAGCAGTCCATTTCTAACCTCTTTACAACAATCTCCTTGCCATTCTCCCAGCTAACTTCTACACATTATTCAGATTCAGCATTCAGCTTAGATATTACCTAATTTAGAAGCTTCCCCTGATTGAATTGAGTGCCCTTTCTTTGTATCACTTTGTCCTTTCTCCTGTATCCCTCAATGCTTTTCTCCTGTACTTATCATATTATACCGCAATTTTGTTGTTAACTTATTCTGTCTTTTGCACTGGATTATAAAGCCCTTTAGTGGAGGAATTATGTCGGTCTCAATGCTGAATATTTTAAGTCTACTGTAGTACTCGGTACATAGTAGTTGCTCAACGAATATTTGTTAAATAAATGAGTCTTAAGTCTGGAAGAACTTGCAAAGTTCTTTACCAGGTTGCTGGTAAAGCAACCTGACCTTTCTTTCAGGGAACTGTCAGCAACACAAGCCATGAATACCAACGCAAAACAGACTCTCACTGTAGATCACACGGGAAAAAATAAAATAAAAAGGTAAAATCCTTAACGGTGGTAGTATTTAAATGACCATATACTGCTTAGTAAGAAATCCTGGGGTCATTTTCAAGGTCCCCCATTTCCTACTTTTGTTAAGCTGGGTCAAGTCTCTTTAAACTTTCTCCGTTTTCTTGTCCATAAAAAGAGTATACTAGGTAAGTCTTCTGTCTACCTCGGGACTTCTGTAAGTATCATAAGAGATGTTTTATATGACAACACTTCACAAACGTTTAGTAAAACGCTGCAAAATGTTTGTAGCTGGCTATAAACAAGATCATGCAGATTGGGTTCCTGAGCCAACAAACCCAAAGAAGACCGGTTGCTAGGAAGAGAAAGCCGAGCGTTGCTCCGTGACGTCATCACTCCGCGCCACCCGCGACAGTTTCCCAGCAGGGCTCACAGCAGCGTTCCGCGTCATGGGGATTTGGCAGCGTCTGCTGCTTTTTGGTGGGGTGTCGCTCCGGGCTGGTGGCGGGGCCACTGCCCCGCTTGGGGGAAGCCGAGCGATGGTTTGTGGGCGCCAGGTCCGTGGTGCTGCAGGGCAGGGGGAAGCGGGCTGACAGATGCTGGGCTGCAGGGCCGCAGATGCCCTGGCATTGCTTCTTGCCAAAGACTCGCCTCAGTTCCTGAGACCCCCAGTGTGCTGGACGTGCCTACTTTTCAGGCAGGCCCAGGCTGAGGCGTGGCGGGACTTGAAACACAGTTAGAACGTAGATGTGGTATTCTACATTGCTTTCTTGGCTTTGGGTTATTTATCAAATAGATTGAAGAAAAGCAAAACACGTGGAAGCCTTATCTCCGTAAAGAGGCAGCGTTTTTACATTTTTAAACGTTCAGCGTATCCTGCTAGAAAAATTTCAATTTAAGCAATGTGTCTTTACAATTGTTATCAGTAGTAGTAGGTAAATGTCTCCATAGTGAAGATGAGCAGAATTAGAAAAGAAAGCCCTCTTAATTGCAAACCCCAGATTGTTTTTGCTTTTACAGTGTGATGATGGAGATGGCTTATTTAAAACGGCTTTTTATTATTATTATTTTTTAAAGTTGTCTGGCGCCGGGAGTGAGACCCTAAAACAAAGAAGAACACAAATCATGTCCCGAGGACTTCCAAAGCAGAAACCGATAGAAGGTGTTAAACAAGTTATAGTTGTGGCTTCTGGAAAGGGTGGAGTCGGAAAATCTACTACAGCAGGTATTATAGGATATTAATTCTATTCCTGATTAAGAACTTATGCCAACAGACAAGTGCACACTATTGAAATTATAGTTTTGTGTTTTAAAAATTTATTTGTGAAGTTCCTAACATGTGATTCCTTAGTTTCAGGAGTTGGTAGCGGGTAGACGCTTAGATTTTGGAGTTAGACAAAAGTAGGTACTAGCCGGGTCTCCCACCCCTTAACTCAGGAAAAAGTGGTCAGATTGTACAGCAAATCTTCAGTTCACTTAACTGTAAAATGGAGATAACTTCTTTCATAAGATGGTTATTCAAATTGCACAAGCTAACCACTTAGCTTAGTGTTTACTAGTGTTCAATAATTGGTTGCTGTTATTTTTAAAACATCTAGTAACTTTTTTTTTTTGTTTTTTTTTTTTTTTTTGAGACGGAATCTCGCTCTGTCACCCAGGCTGTAGTGCAGTGGCGCAATCTCGGCTCACTGTAAGCTCCGCCTCCCGGGGTTCACGCCATTCTCCTGCCTCAGCCTCCCAAGTAGCTGGGACTACAGGCGCCCACCACCACGCCCGGCTAATTTTTTTTTTGTATTTTTAGTAGAGACGGGGTTTCACCGTGTTAACCAGGATGGTCTCCATCTCCTGATCTCGTGATCCGCCCGCCTAGCCCTCCCAAAGTGCTGGGATTACAGGTGTGAGCCATCGCGCCCTGCCTACTAGCTCATTTTTCCCCATTTTTATCAGAAGGGAATTCTGGAAGAATTTGTCAGATGTTTTGGAAAAGTTAAGATTTACCAAATATTGTATTTGTGGTGGATCACTAATCCATTACTATTTGATAGATACCATATTGTTAAAAAAAATTAATAATCTGTTCTTAATGAATTCATGTGCTCTCCTGCACATTTTTCCTTTCTTTCCTAAAGGTTTACAATCCATCTGGTTGTTTTTAAAATTTAGAAGCTCTTAGTTTTTGGTTCTAGAACCTTTTGGAGTACATTTTTCAGTTTTCAGTGGTTTGAATCCTTTTGCATGCTCTGTGATTACTTGAACTGGATAAGGATGGAAGGTGTTTTCATGATTGTAGCCATAAGTTCTTTGCGTTTTGTAATTTGTTGGGTCTGTAGGCTGGCACTTGTTTAAGATTGTTTGTTTATTATTTTTAGTTGGAAGATGATTGTTGCCATGAAATGTGAAAGCATTTAAACAGGAAAATGTATGAGAAAGTGTACAACATGTGACACGTAATGGGTGCTTCAGTAAATGTCCCTTTCTCACTTTTTTTCTGTTAACATTATACCATCTGTCCCGAAAAGCTGGCCCATACTTTTTCATAACAGCTCTGTGAGCATATCTAAGTCTTAAAAATAGGTTATTTTTATGTAACTCTATTGGTATTATTAATATATTTCTTTTCCTTATATGTATTTATTCCTGCCTCAAACTACTTCAAAATACTTCCCATTTGAATATACATGCTAGAGATGTTTTAGATTAGAATGATGACATTTGACTAATGCAAATATGCTCAGTGATTCTATTGTTTAAATGTAGGAAGAACCTAACTCTAAAATGAATTGCCCTCTGAAAGTTTCTGCCTTAAAGTTGTATTATGTGTAACCTATCTTGTACCTGAAATTCAGAATTTTGTAACTTATAAAAACGAATTTATCAAGTCTTTGCCCTAGGCTAAGTATTTTACATGCAATATTTCGTTTAATCCTGATCACAGTTATGAAGTAGGCATTGTTTTCATTTTATAGAAGAGAAAACAGACTTATGGGTAAAATAACCTACTCAAGAGTACACAATAGAAGGTGGCAGAGCTGGGATTTGAACCAGGTCTGCCTTAAAAATTTATGCTCTTAACTAGTTTTAAGAAAATAACCCTGACATAGTTTATACCATTGTTCTGTAAGGAAATGTGATTCACATTATGAGCGCCTATTTGTTGATCAGTCTTTGAATTGTGTTACTCTTCTCGGATGTAGCATATTCCTATTGCTGGTCTAAAGCTGGCTTTGGGACTACTGCTTTCCTTCTTTATGGGATTCGTCAGCATAAGCAGTTTGGGAACACATTTTACTCTCTTACCTTTTACCCTTTTCCCTTCCCTCTGTGCACAGTAGTCCAGCCTTTCATATACATGAGTATTTATGAATTAGATACTTGGAACTCCTGCAATATCAGCATTTATTTTTAAAAGGCAGTAGGGGCAGGATGCGGTGGCTCATGCCTGTAATGCCAGCACTTTGGGAGGCTGAGGTGGGAGGATTGCTTGAGCCAGGGCAACATGGCAAGACCCTGTCTGTAAAAAAAAAAAAAAAAAAAAAAAATGAGCTGGGTGTGGTGGTGCCCACCTGTGGTCCCAACTCCAGCCTGGGGGACAGAGCATAGTAATCATAAATGAAAGGCAATGAGATTGTGTACATTTTTTAAAATAAAAAGACAATTTTTCTATAAAATATGGTTTTGAAAATAATTGAATTATATATTAACATGATTTTAAAAAATTAAGTGGATTATTTGAACAAAATTGTAACAGAAATGGATTTTTAAAAATGTTAGTTTTGGGACATGCATCTATTGCATTTATTGGCAAATTACTTTTTTACTTTTCTTTTTACTTTCTGTGTTCCTCCATGTGCTTGCTCTTTACAAGTAAGGGATATATGTTCAAAATTTATATGCTTAGGTTATTACATGAAAATATTAAAATTACATGAAATTATTAAAAATTACATGAAAATATTAAAAGATAAAATGAATTTTAATAGAAGGAAAGTTACTAAATTCAATTACTTTTTTTGTTTCTTACAGTGAATCTTGCACTTGCACTAGCAGCGAACGATTCGGTAGGTGTTTATTAATAGAAATATTAATTTATTAAAATGTTTTTAAGGCAATGATAAAGAGCATATTGGTGTTTTTTATTTACTCTGTCAGAAGCTATAGTGTAGTTGTAGTGAGTTGCATATCTTTAAGGAACTCAATGCTGCCATCACTACTGGTTACATTTAATAATAATAATGTATTTAAGTGTTGACCATATATTGTTTGCTATATATCCCACAAGAGGCTTTGATGTTCTTTATATCCTAAACCAATTTTGCCTTTATGATTTACAGAAGCATTATTCTGGGTTCAGTTTTTAAGTGTTAGGGATTAAGTTTTTTTAAGGGGAAAGATATTCTGAAAGTAGTGTATATCCATTAAAACAAAATTCAAATGGAATACGTGTGTAATGCAAAACTGAAAGTTTATGCATTCCTTTCTGTTCCAGAGAATTAACTTAGGCTATAGTTCTATGTATATCCTTTCAGCTCTTCCTTTCTCCATATAAAAATCTAAAACAATGTACATGTATGTGTGTGTGCATACATCTTTCCATGATGTGCCTCATTCTTAATGGCTGGTGCATTAATGGTCAATGATAATATATTTAACCAGTTCCCATTTGATGAAATATTTAGGTTGGGTCCCATTTTTTCCCTACTCTAAACGATGCTATGGTGGAGTTCTTAAATAGTATTCTTATATACTAAGTGATGACATTTTTGTAGGATAGATTCCTAGGAGTAAAACTACTAGGTCAAAAGATATTCCTACTTTAAATTGTACTCCTAAAAGTTTGCTTGTAAAAAATTTCAGTTCCATTCTTTTCCTTGGGAGAAGAAAAAAAAATTCAGCTATAGTCTATGGGAGTATCAATTTTTCATAGTCTCATTATTGTTGGATGTTATCTTTTTAGATATTAAAAAAAATAACATTCAACTTATTTGCAACTCCATAAATTATCAGCTACTAAATGAAAAGGCACACACGTATTTCAGAATTGATTTTAATTTCTGCTTCATACCTATTTTATAGAATACAGGCAAGAATCATTTAATATGTTTAACTGTGGCTATACTTCTAACTTATTTTCTACCCGTACTATGTAACTTCAGTTCCTAATAAATAGCACATATGAAAAAATAATATGTGGTATCTCTGTAAGTATGTTATCAGTATATGGAGTCCAGAATCTGCCAGATCCTGGAACTAGACATAGATATTCATGTCTTCTGATGCTTGGCTGTATATTTCTGAAAATTGGAAACTAATAAACAAGATTTATAATATTTTGGTTATGTAAATTTTATTCACCATAGAAACAGGTAGCATAAAAGGACTTTTAGGGAAGAAAATGTAATTAAGTTTCTCTAAAGTTGCGCTTCTAGAAAGAGAAGATTCAAATATCAAGACAAAATTTTTTCTTAAAAAATTTTTTTTCAACTTGCTTCCTTTTATGGGGGACCTACTTTCATGTATCCCATCTTATCCTCTTTCTTGAATTCTTTTTTTTGTTTTTCTGAAGGACACCCTTGAGTCCTTATATGGTTTGGTAGGCAGAACAGTGGCCTGCCAAAAGTGTCCACATCCTAATTCCTGGAACCTGTAAATATGTTACTTTTCCTGCCAAAAGGAACTTTGCTGGTGTGACTAACACCAGCAAAATTAAAGATCTTGAGATGGGAAGATTATCCTGGATTATCTGGCTAGGTCCAATTGAAGATCCTTATAAATGAAAGATGGAGGTAGGTCCGAGTCAGAGTGACTTGATAAGAGAAGGATTCAATCCACCATTGCTGGCCTTGAAGACAGAAGGGGACCACTAGTCAAGGAATGTAGTCAGCTTCCAGAAGCTTGAAAAGGCAAAGAAATTGATTTTTCCCTAAAGCTTCCAGAAGGTACGTAATTCTGCCAACACCTTAATTTTAGCTCATTGAGATCTCTTTGGACTTCTGTGATAATATTTTATAGAAGTAGGAAACTAATACATATAGGAAGTAAATTTGCTTATTTCTTTAATTTCCAAAAGTGTCTTTAATTTATATTCGTTATTTGATAGCTTAACTAGATTCTAGTTAACTATAAAATTCCAGGTTCAAAATAATTTCCTCTCTGAACTTTGAAAACAACATACCGTTTTTTTCTAGCATGCTAATGAAATGTCTGATGATAGTCTGATTCATGTTCTTTTGTAATAACCAGTGTTTTCCCTCTCAAAGAGTTTAGGTTTTCTTTATGTCTTTTACATTTAAAAGTGCCACAAACATGCGTCTAGTTATTGGCTTAACCTGCGTGGGATTTGGCCCTGCAGTATCAAGCTTTGAGTATTTTTCAGCATAGGAAAAATTTCTTCTGCTCATTGATTATGTTTTGTGATGTGTTTGTTCTGTCTCCAGAAACCTGTTAGGTAGATACTGACCTTTATGCTTGTTAATTTTTCTGTCATATTTTGATCTCTTTGTCTTTTGCTCTGTGTTTTGAAAGATGTCTTTGACTATTTTTCACATTGCTGTATTGGACTTTAGTTGTTATTAGGTTCTTCTGATTTTGTTTTTCATTTGGAAATTATTTTTTTTTCCAATTTTTCCAGAACTATTTCTTATTTTCCACTTGCTGTTCCAAAAAAAAGGTTGTACCATTCTCTTGAATCTCTCCGAGGATGCTAATTGAAATTAATAAAAAGTGTTTTTCTTAGTGACCTCTGCTTACTTAGGATGGTTCTTGTAATGTGGCTGTTGACCAGCAGAATCAGCTTTACCTGGGAACTTGTTAGACATGTAAAATCTTGAGCCCCACCCTAGGCTTACTGAATCAGAAACCCTGGGGATAGAGATCTGCAATCTGTGTTTTAACCAACCCTCTAGGCGATTTTGATGCATGCCAAAGTTAAGAACCATGGATCTAGAATTTTCCACTTCTAACCTGCTAATGTCACCCTCTTTTGTTTTCTAGTGTGGTTATGGTTTTATTTAGTTTTAGACTATTTTGTTTCCTTGTCATTTCAATGGAATTTGGAAGAGAAGGGAGATAAACATATATGTTTAGGCAACCGTATTGAGATAAGAGCCAGTAATATGGTTTTTTTCCTAGTGATTTTAATGACAGCACTTAGTTACCCTAGAAAAAGGACCCTGTCTTCCTTAAGGAAGGAAACGGAAAATTCAATGGATGGGAAGGTAGATAAATTTGTAGGTGTGGACCTCTTTTAATTTGGTTATCATTGCAGCCAAAGCTTTGAGTCTTATAGATAATGTGAAGTAACTATGTAATAAGGGATCCAAGGATGAAAAAAACAGTTAACTCATTTCCTGTTTAGAAAAAAAAAGTGCAGCTCGCTGCCAGCACTTATTTAACTTTACATAAACACGCCCTTCGAGGCTGAACCAAATCTGACTGATTTTCAATGTGAAAATAAAATATAAAAACTCTTCTTGGAGTTATTTCTAAACAGAACTAACATTAGAATTCTCTGAATCATCAGAATTGTCTATTTCAGAAAAATTGGATTCATCAAATGAATCTTCGGCCAACAACTGTTTGAGGATGATATTACCATCACACTCAGGAATGCTACGTTTTCTAGGATTTGACATTTTCAGTGATTGAGAATTACTATATTTTGTAAATTGAAATGCTGCTACTAAAAATAGAATGCTATAAATAGAATGATGTCTTTTGTTTCCAAAGTTGATATACTAGAGTGATGTGAAAATAATAATAAAAGCAAGATATTTCATGGAGTGGCAAGATCTAATAAGATAAGGTTGTAGGCCTAGGGGAAACAGGTCCAGGAAGCAATTCATTTTACTTTTCATGTTGTACTTAGTAATATCTGAAGTGGATTGCGTAAGCCCTGGGGAGATTTGCAAGACAGTCCATTGGGATGTGGGCAGAACATTTTTCTTTTCTATTTGAATTAATTTTTATTTTAATATTTGTTTGTATATACCTTATATATGGTATTAGTATAGTAGCTCTAATATAATGTATAAACAAATATATTAACATATTGAGGATGTATGCCCAAATACCTTTTAAAAAACTGATTGGGGTACATGATCAGAAAAGTTTGAATGTCACTGGTCTAGGCTAAAGGAATTTCTGGGCTGGACCATATGCCTAGTTCAAAAGAAGACTACCTCTACCTTGTAGATTGAGTTTTTTTTGTTTTTGTTTTTGTTTTTGTTTTTTAAGATCTCGATCTGTTGCCCAGGCTGGAGTGCAGTGGTGTGATCTCAGCTCACTGCAACCTCCGCCTCCCGGGTTCAAGTGATTCTCATGCCTCATCCTCCTGAGCAGCTGGGATTACAGGTGCCCGCCACAACACCCAGCTAATTTTTGTATTTTTAATAGAGATGGGGTTTCACCATATTGGTCAGGCTGGTCTGAAACTCCTGACCTCAAGTGATCCACCCACTTCTGCCTCCCAAAGTGCTGGAGTTACAGGTGTGAGCCACCATGCCTGGCCTGCATTGAGGTTTTAAAAGCATTATAGGAATAGGGTGTAGATTTTTCCTGCTTTTTCCTTGCCTTTTATACTTTCCTTTGAGGATGTGGATGGGTAGTATTGCAGAGCAAAATTTGGGGATCATGTGTACTATGCATATAAATATTGCAACCCATGGTGTGCCTGAGCCAGTGCATACTGGCTTGTGACAGCTGATTGTTAAATTTTCGGTGAATTTTGCAGACCAACTCGTATCATGTTGTTAGCTTGAAATAGGCCCATGATGGGAATATTTAAACCATGGAAATTGGCAAACACTGAAAATCAAGCCCACTACCCCAAGCCAGTTGTTAGACCTTAATGGTACCCACTGATCTTATATATTGACAATCTTATTTTTTGATTTTTCTTTTTTCTCTTTCTTAAAAACATCCTTATTATGGATCTCATTCTTTTACGGCAAAAATTTGATGCACAGTTTGGAAGAGCACTGAGACTGGGAGAGGGAAACTTAAAGACCATCAGAAACCATTGATAAGCTCTGTGAGATTCCTAAGTCAGTTCATTTCAGTTCATTTTAGTTCAGCAAACATTTATTGAGCACCTCTAACACTCATTGCCAGACACCGGCAGAAAGTAAAGAAGAATAAACATATACTGTGGAAGCTTATAGCCTGCTAAGATTACATTCACAAATGTTTAGTCTATATAAATATGTTGTATATTTATATAAGTGTATGTCTGTGTTTATGTGTCTATATTTTTTTGGTATATAGTTGAAATTGGTTTAATAGTTTCTTTTGTGAGAAAGTTTAATTAAAGCAACATTTAATAAGGTTTTATTAATATTGCTTCATAACAGAGTAGACACCAGTGTACTCTTAAAGGTTTTATAATCTGATAAGGACAAAAGGAAGACAAATGTTTTAAAATGATGAGATATATTCAGTGTCAAATATAGTAGTAAATCTGCCCAAGATGAGTAGCTTTTATTCCAGAGTAAAGCAGTATTGTTTTAAGTAGAGCATTTTCATGAACATAATTATATTTGATTCTCACAGAAACCTGTAATGCAATCCACATAGTATTTATCAGTTTTACAGTCTTTATTGATTCTCCCCTAATATCCTTGCCACATTTCATCAGCAAGCAAATATCCCTTTTCCTATCTCTACAATATTTTTCCAGTATGTTCCCATTGTTCTATTTCCACTGTTCCTATTTTAATTAAGGCACGTGCTACTTTTGGGTCATTCATTCATTTATACCTCAAACAATTATAGAGTGCCTACTCTGTCCCAAGTGCTGTGTTAGTTCTGAAGATACAAAAATGAATGAGACACAGAATCCCTGCCTTTGAGGAACTCATAGACTAGCATCCCACTGCAATGACCTTTTACCTGCCCGTACTTAGTTAAATCCTTCCAGTACATGATGCCAGACTTCTCTCACTATTGAAATCACATACTCCCTTGCTCAGAGTCATAGCTGGATGCTTTTGCTGATATTCAATATCCTCTGCCATCTGGCTTCAATCTACCTTTCTGGGTTTATCTTTAGCTATTCTTCTAAATGGCTTCTATGCTCTAGCTAATCTGGGTTACTTGCCAAAGCCAGTCTAGGCTGGATATACTATTCTTGATAGCTTACAGTTATTCTTCTACTTGTCTACTGGAATGTTTGTGTTACCTTTCACCAGCTTTATGTGTCCTATCTTTCAGGCTTCCTTATATGGCTGTGCTGGTTATATCCTGCACAAGGATGCTTGTTGAGGGGATTGAGTGATGATAGAAATTCAGGCTACCCTCCTCTTGATGTGCACCTCTTGTTCTGTTGTTTATGATCTGTCAAAAAAAAAAAAAAGATGTGCACCCATGGGCTGCTTTGTAATTCACACAAAGGCACTGTGTGAGCTAGCCTTGCTCAGAAGGGCAGCTCAGCAGCTCATTGAAGTGTTCCCTGAATTCCTGCCAAGTGAGTGTCTTCTTCTTTTTTTTTTTTTCTCACTCTGTTGCCCAGGCTGGAGTGCAGTGGCATGATCTCGGCTCACTGCAACCTCTGCCTCCTGGGTTCAAGTGATTCTCCTGCCTCAGCCTCCCAAGTAGCTGGGATTACAGGCAAGCACCACCATGCCTGGCTAATTTTTGAATTTTTTGTAGAGACGGGGTTTCATCATGTTGGCCAGGCTGGTCTCGAACTCCTGACCTCAGGTGATCTGCCCACCTCGGCCTCCCAAAGTGCTGGGATTACAGGCGTGAGCCACTGTGCCTGGCCTGGCCCTTTCTTCATCTTTTGAAATCCAGTAACACTGTTGATTTGTATTATTATTGCACTCATGCAGCCATTCTGATAAGTTTTATAATAGGAAATAACTAACTTTCATGGAGCATTCATTATGTGTCAAGCACTGTTATATGTGCTTTCCATGGACTATTTTAATCTTCATGACATGGTTCTTAGTTCATTTACTCTTCACAGCAACGTTATGGGAATAAGTACTATTGTGATCCCCACTGTAGTTGAGGAAGCAGAAACACCTATAGGTTAAGTAATTTGCCTCAAGTCACCCAGAAAGTAAATGGCAGAGCTAAGGTTCGAATGCCAACCTAGATCCTGTGCTCTTAACGTACTTGGTGTATTGCTCCTATTTTAGCTAGATTCTTTTTTTTTTTAATTTTTTTTGTGATGGAGTCTTGCTGTGTCACCCAGGCTGGAGTACAGTGGTGCAATCTTGGCTCACTGCAATCTCCGCCTCCCGGGTTCACACCATTCCCCTGCCTCAGCCTCCCGAGTAGCTGGGACTACAGGTACCCGCCACCACACCCATCTAATTTTTTGTATTTTTAGTAGAGACAGGGTTTCACTGTGTTAGCCAGGATGGTCTTGATCTCCTGACCTCATGATCCGCCTGCTTCGGCCTCCCAAAGTTCTGGGATTACCGGCGTGAGCCACTGTGCCTGGCCTAGCTAGATTCTTATGATTAAGAACTAGGTTGTCTTTATTCTTGGCTACCCTCAGCAGCTAGCGCAATGCCTTATGACTTAGAAAATACATGGTAAATGTTTGCTATACGTATGATTGTACAGGCAGATTTGAAAGTATTAAGTGTAAAGTTTCGTTTTACTTTATTTTTTGTGAGAAGTGGTATGGGATGGAGGTGTTTGTTGCGACTTAGTGGCCTACACACTGTTCTTTTCCTGCTTCTTAAAAGATGACGTATGGTCATGCTTTACTTTATGATGGGGGTACCTTCTCAGAAATGCATCATTAGGCGACTTCATTTTTGTATGAACTGCGTAGAGTGTACTTAAACAAAGCTAGATAGTATAGCCTACTGTACACCTAAGCTATATGGTATAACCTATTTGTCCTAGGCTACAAACCTGTATAGCATGTTACTGTACTGAATACTGTAGACGTTTGTAACACAATGGTAAGTATTTATGTATCTAAACAAAGAAAAGATACAGTAAAAATATAGTATAAAAGATACAAAATGGTACCCCTGCATAGGGCACTTACCATGATTAGAGCTTGCAGGACTGATAGTTGTTCTGGGTGAGTCAGTGAGTGGTGAGTGAATGTGAAGGCCTAGGGCATTAATGTACACTTTTGTACAAGTAGCACAGTAGGTTTGTTTACACCAACATCACCATAAACACGTGAATCATGTGTTGTGCTGTGATGTTATGATGGCTGTGCTGTCACTAGGCAATGGGAATCTTTTAGCTCCATTATAATCTTATGTCACCACCGTTGTATATGCAGTCCATTGTTGACTGAAATGTTGTTATGGGGCATATGTCTGTATTCCATGATTCTACTTGGCCCTCTTCTCATTTTATACTCTACCTAGTGATCTCAGCTTTTCCCACTGCTCTGGTTACTAGTCACGTGCCTTTACTCCAGATGCATCACCAGCTTGCATATCTCTCCTGGGTACTAGTCTGGTCTGTCTGGTTTTCTATGGTAGATGTGTATTTGAATGCTTTATAAGCATTTCAGACTCAGCATGTGTAAAACCAAACTCTTCATCCCTGTGACTGTCTTTGTCTCATGGAAGTCTGTCTACCTATCTATGTTTTTTTGGTGGAATATAGCTGAAAGAATCATACAGTTACTTCCATTCCCAAATCAATTACCTGTTCCTGCTGCTTCTGCCACTTAAAGTTTTATAGACTGTGTCCTGTTATTTCATTCCTTAATGCCACTGCTTTATTTGGATCCATATTGTGGATCTTCTGTGATGACTTCTTTTACTATTATTCCAGCATTAGGTTATTCTTGTTCTCTATTTTCTCTGCTATGGTGCCTTGAGGAAAGGATGAACACTTTCTATATTATTTTATAAAGTTTGTTTACTATCTCCTCTGCTAGTCTGTGAATATTTAGGGGACAATAATTTTGGTTTTATTCCTTTTTTTAATCCTTGGTGCCTTGTCCAGTAATGGAACATAGTAGGTTCTTGATAAATGTTGGTAGTGACTGTGGAGCATGTTAAGTGAAGAGTGGCCACAAATGAATGAATGAGTGAGTGAATAAATAAATAAAATATACACAGCAAATTCCAAGTGTTGGATAAGGTGCCTATAGTTTTGTTCAATACATATTATGCTTTATTTTTCACTGAGCAAATGAAGTAATTAAAATCTGAGATAATGTGTTTGAAGCGCTTAGCACAGTGGCTGACCTATCATAAGTTTGAAATAAATTTTTAGTATTGCTAGCTAAATAAAAGCTTTTAAGTAATATTGCAAAATAAATCAGTGCACATCTTATGTACTCAAAAAAAATTTTTTTTTTTTTGAGACAGAGTCTTACTCTGTCACCCAGGCTGGAGTGCAAGTGGTACGATCTCGGCTCACTGTAACCTCTGTCTCCCGGGTTCAGGGGATTCTCGTACCTCAGCCTCCTGAGTAGCTGGGAGTACAGGTGTGTGCCACCATGTTCAGTTAATTTTTTGTAGTTTTTTAGAGACAAGCTTTTGCCATGTTTGCCAGGCTGGTCTTGAACTCCTGACCTCAAGAGATCTGCCCGCCTCGGCCTCCCAAAGTGCTGGGATTACAGGTGTAAGCCACTGCGCCTGGCCTACTCGATTCTTTCCTTCTTTTTTTTTTTTTTTTTTTTTTTGGAGAGATGGAGTCTTGCTCTGTTGCCCAGGCTGGAGTGCAGTGGCCTGGTCTTGGCTCACTGCAACCTTTGCCTCCCGGGTTCAAGTGATCTTCTGCCTCAGCCTTCCGAGTAGCTGGGATTACAGGCACATGCCCAGCTAATTTTTGTATTTTTATTGAGATGGGATTTCACCATCTTGGCCAGGCTGGTCTTGAACTCCTGACCTCAGGTGATCCGCCTGCCTCGGCCTCTCAAAGTGCTGGGATTACAAGAGTGAGCCACTGCTCCTGGCTGGCCTACTTGATTCTTTTAGCAACTTATTTTACATTTTTACTGATTTTTCCATTGCTACAAGGAATCATTAACCAGAATTTTAATTGGACTTAAAGATGGGAAAGAAAGCAGTTTTATCTTCAAAGAGTTTATGTTTCTTCTGTTATTTCTTTTTTATTGATGTTTATCTCAAAGCATTTATTTTTTTCTCATGATTACATAATGTCTTAACACTTATTCTTCCTAGATGTACTGCTTTTTTTCCCCGCAAATTATTATGAGTGGTTCTTTAAACATAATTAAGATTATCTTTAGCCCTTTGAAGTTCTGTGATCATGTCAGAACAAACTAAGAAATTGTAATTCAAGATTTAGGTTTTGATTTTTGAAAGGTTCAACAGTCTTAAGTCAGAATATATTTTGTATCACCACTTACAACACTATGATTTTCTTCATTAATAAATATGTATATAGTATCTAATAGTCCAGCATTTTTGTGTGAGATACATCTGGGCTTGATTCTGGCTCTGCCTCCTGCAAACTCTGCGACTTTTGCCTGTACCTACCTAATAACGTTGTTGTGAGTATTAAAGGAAATAACTCATGTAAAGCACTTAGCACGGTGTCTGGCATACAGTAAATGCTAATAAGAGTTGTTCTTATTAGCTCCGTGTTATTATAATCTGGAATATTAGTTATGTGAATTTGGAGTAAATATGGATGAAAATATGTTTCTCACAGTTACATATGGCAAATCCTGATGTATACTATTTAGTTCAAGTTTATAAGGTTGGAGGCTCATCTTTTCTTTAATACATGTGTTGTAAAGGGATTATGCTATATTAAATTAACCAATTCTTAATACTTTTATTATAGCTTGGAAGTAAATACAATACATAACATTTCTTATGAAAAAAATTGTGTTTCAGTATTGTGGTTAGCCATTTTGGAGGAAAGGTATGCTATTTTTGTTTAAAGTATAGTTATTTTAAAGCTAGAGCAGAAACCAGGGCAAAAGGTCAGATTCAGAAGGAACAACTGCAAAATCATTATTTTTTGCTTTTTGCTTGTCAATTCAAAGGCAATTCTTGGTAAGAAATGTGTTTTATATTTATAAGTGCATTTGAATTCACACATTTCATGTTCACTGAGAGAGGGGCTCAGAAACTATATTTGTAATTATAAAGCAAAACTGTTTACTAAAACTAAGAATATTTTCAGGATAAGAAATGGAAATACTCATTATAATTGTTTAATTTTGTCGTGAATATTTGATAATTGTGACATCTACACACACACTTTCATATATTCATTTACCAAATGTTTGCTAAGGGCCTGTCATCTCTTAGGTGCTCTGATTGGCATGGGGGATACAAAATGGAAAGAGCCCTGTCCTTGTCCTTTTCTTCATTTATTTTTAGAGACAGTATCTTGCTCTGTTGGCCAGGCTGGAGTGCAGTAGCATGATTATAGCTTACTGCAGCCTTGAACCCGTGGGCTCAAGCAATCCTCCTGGTTCAGCCTCCTGAGTAGCTGGGACTATAGGTATGTGCCACCATGCTTGACTAATTTTTTATTTTTGGCAGAGACAGGATCTCACTATGTTGCCCAGGCTGGTCTGAAACTCTTGGGCTTAAGTCGTCTTCCTCCTTTAGCCTCACAAAGTGCTGGGATTACAGGTATGCACCACTAGGCCTACCTTTATCTTAGTTAATGTATAGCCTAGAGACTGTTTGGGAGATTGTTGTTTCCAGTTTGCTCCAGGCTCTCTATATGGCTTGATGATTCCTTAACTATCTGCAGTCTTCTTGTCATTTACCACAGATGCTCTTCTAAATCGTTCCCACTTTTATCAGGTCCTCTATCCAATTCCAATTTCCTTATTCCTAGCACATGGTCTTGCTTCCTATTCCATGTGAAAAATGGACTTTTCATTGGTAACTTATCTGGAGGCTTTTCACTCACAAGTTTGGTAGCTGCCCTGAAATGACATGAAGGCTTAGTTCAGGTAGGATTGTTGATTGCAGTGCTTTTGCATGGCTGTTCCATGTTGCATGGCCTTCCTCAGCATGGCAGCCTCAGTGTAATTGGACTTACTTGGTGGCTGAGAGCTCTAAAAGTTAGTGTCCCAGTGAATAAGGAGGAAGCTGTATGGCTTTTTGTGACCTTGCCTTGGTAGTCAGGCTGGATTAGTGGTTGAAGTAGTTATGTGCCTTCCCACATTCAAGGGGAGGAGACAGACCTCCCTTTTGATGGGAGGGGTATCAAAAGCCTTGAAACCTTAACATCATCCTTGTCTTTCATCTCTTTCATCTCACCCACTCTACTTCTATATATCAGTCACTAAGTGGGTTTTTATTTGAGAAGTATCTCTTTCTCTCCACTGTCGTGAACCTAGCTAAGAATTTTATCATCTTTCACTTGAGAGTTTTCCATAACCTCTTAATTGGTCTGTTTAATCTCATCCACCTTGAATTAAATAATGGTTCTTCATATTGATTGTAGGGTAGTTCTTATGGCCTACAGGCCTCTGCTGAGATTGCTTGGCTTGGTTTGTTTGTTTGTTTGTTTTGAGATGGAGTCTTACTCTGTGGCCCAGGCTAGAGTGCAGTGGCCTGATCTTGGCTCACTGCAACCTCCACCTGCCAGTTTCAAGCGATTCCCCTGCCTCAGCTTTCCAAATAGCTGGGATTACAGGTGCCAGCCACCACGCCCAGCTAATTTTCGTATTTTTTAGTAGAGATGAATTTTGCCATGTTGGCCAGGCTGGTCTCGAACTCCTGACCTCATGATCCACCCACCTTGGCCTCCCAAAGTGCTGGGATTACAGGCATGGGCCACCGCACCTGGCTGCTTGGCTTAGTTCTTAAGGGTTGGATTCTGCCTAATTTTGCACTCTGTACTTGATGTTGTTGGCACTGCTCCTTTACACTGGCTGTCTTCCTTGCCTTCTTTGCCCAGCTCCTGTCATCCTTCAGGTCTTGGATTGGATGTCACTTCCTCTGTGGAGCCACCTTAGTGGTTTCAAGTAATGTCATTTCCTCCTCTATTGGTTCATATGTTTATCTCATGCCATTAGAGTGACCATGACTTTCACAAGGTCGGGGACTGCGTCTTAAATCATCTGCCACTATTGCCTGGCCCGTTGTTATGAACTCAGTAAATGGTAAGTGATTGAAAACAGATTACACTTTGGCAGAATTCTCCAAAGTTTTGAATGCATTACTGGGTTTTCTAAAATGTCCATAATATTACCAAGGAATCATTTTGACTTGGGAGAACTATGCTTAGAGAAGGTTTTAGGTAAGGGAGTTTATATCTTGTGCTTCAACATTTTTATTTCAGTTAAAACATATACAGCAAAACCCCAAAAACTTGTTTGAACTCTTATTCTAATATGCCAGAAAATTTAGGAAAGTGGGCAAGTATTAGATTTAAAACAAGCTTTGGTAAGATTAAGGGCTCTGAGAATTGAAATCAGAACAGTTTTGTTTTCGGTTGTGGCATTTTAAAGCTTTAATTTTGGCTGTGAAATATTTCACGTGACAGATTTCATTCCAGCCTGTTTCTTTCTGGTCAGGAATGTGTGATGGTTCACTTTTGGCAATTGCACTATGTGAAAGGGCTTGGGTCAGCACCACTGTGCAGAAATGGGTCAATGAGCGTTCAGATGAAAGGGAAAACACTTTTAAAGAACCTTTATATATTGCTGATGTAATAAGACAAAACTCATTATAAGCTTGAAACTCTCACCATGTTCTTGCTTTCTCCTTCATCTCTCAAATGCTTTGCCAAATTAACCACATCAACTAATTTTACAGAAAATGGATTGCTGAAGAAGCTTCTTCAGAAAGTCTCTCTCTCTTGTCTTCCAAAAGGACATAAGTCTCCTTTGTACTTCTGTAAAAATCTTAAAATGGCCACTTAAAGAGAGCGGGCAGCTTGTTGTAATTCAGTGAATGATAAAGTACAACCGCCTATTTTTCAGTTGAGTTGGGAGGAAGAACTGTATCCTACTGTTGCTTTAAAAGATGATTTTATTACTGTCAGGACAAATAACAAGCTAGGATTTTCTCAGAGCAATAACTGACGAGTTAGATTACTGCCTGTGGCTCTTAAACAATGTAACATTCTTGAATTAAGGAAGGAAAGTACTCAGGTAGTCTTTGAAGGAAGTCTAGGTTCCCTGCATGGCTATAGGGTTGCTGTTTCACTTTTTTCTGAGTAGATAAGGAAGCATAAGCCTTCTCCAAACCCTGGAAAAGCCTTTGCTCTCAAATTTGTGCTGGAATGTTATCTGGAGTGTGATGGAGCCCTTTGCCAGTCACCATGGAAACTGATGAAGGCTCTAGTTGTCCTTTGGGCTATTTGGGGTGGCTTAAATAAAGGATGACCAATGCGTCTAATCCTGTTCTCCACATACGCTTTTTCTTTAAAAATGATTAAAAATACAGCTTACTTAAGGAGGAAAAGGATATCTGTATCATGTTTCTATTAGGCTATTTAAAACATTGTGTGCAGCTGAAGGGTATCCCGGCCAAGAAACGTTAATGAAAACTATCATTCTGGATAGGCATAATTCCACTGGTTTCTGATGTTGTCTGTTAGCCCCCAAGCTGATATATGCAACAGAATAACAAATGCTAATTTTCCGTTTACCTACTTAGTGATGGAAAGGAACTTGTCATAGAAATGAAGACATGGGTAGTATTTTAGTATGTCATTGCCAAGTGAAATGCAGTTTCAGTGGTGGTGTCAGACATAAAAATTAAAAGCATCTGTGAGCAATTAAAGCATTAATTATTCTTATTTTGCAGACATCTCATAGCACATTTTCCAGAATCACCAGTCCGTAGCTAAAGCTAGGGAAAAGAAGTCTTACGGTAATCTTTAGATGTCCATATTTTGGCAGTCCCTCCTGTTCCCTTAAGTGGGGCACAGAGGAGGAAGATCTGAGCAGAAACTATTAATATCTAGGGTGTTACCTGGTGCTGATAGAAGAATGTTTCTTAATTAGTTAATTTAAAAAATTGAGGTGAAATTCATATTGATAGAGTTTTGGTTTGTGAGCCACACTGATTGCACTGTGAAGGATTTGTTCCATTTTCAAGGTCTGACCCTGATTGAAAAGGCAAAATGGGAACTTAAGATGATTGAGGCTTGCCTCTTGGTTGTTTCAAATAACATGCTTTCCTTTAATGTCCAATAAAGGCTATTTATATGAAATGAAAATCAAGGATATAATACTCAGTGCTTCTACAAATAAGGATAATTTTATTAATTAGTTCAAGATTTTACTGAGTACTTTACATGTGCTGTGTGCTCTTTTTAGTCCTAGAGATGTAGTGGTAAAATGTGTAAGTTTCTGTTCTTAAGGAGTTTAAGTGTATTGGAAGAGACATAATAAACATATACTTTTAGGTGGTTATAATGGTTACAAAAAATAATAAAAAAGTGTAAGGATGTAGAAAGTGATGGGAGGTCTGGGTGCTGTGGCTCATGCCTTTAATCCCAGCAACTTAGGAGGCTGAACTGGGAGAATTACTTCAGGCCTGGACTTTGAGACCAGCTTGAGCAACATAGTGAGATCCCCGTTTCTACAACAACAAGTAGCTGGGCATGGTGGCGTACAGCTGTAGTCCCAGCTACTCAGAAGGCTGAGGCAGATCACTTGAGCCCAGGAGTTCGAGGCTGCAGTGAGCTATGATCACACCACTGTGCTACAGCCTGGGCAACAGAGTGAGACCCCCATCTCTAAAATATAAAAAATAAAATGAAAGTGATAGGAGGTGCAATTTTAGATAAGGATGTCAGGGAGGAGATCTCTGAAGACATGACATTTGAGCAGACATCTGAATGAATTGAGTAATTGGGCCACAGGAAGAGCAAAAGCCCTGAGGTAGAATCAACTTGGATTATATGAAGTGTTTTTATAAATGGGAGGAAAGCCTCATGAACAGAATAAACAGGAAGAAGGTCCATGTGATTGGAGTGGTCTAGGGGAAAGGTAGATAGAGGCATGTCATGCAAAGCCTCATAAGCCGTGGTGGAAATTTGGATTTTTTTCTGTGTACAGTGTAGTGGGTTTTTCACCAGGGCAGTGACAGTCTAATTTACTCCTTAAAAGGATCTGGCTGTAATGTAGAGAATAGAGTATAGGAGAATAAAAATAGAACAAGACGACTAGCTAGTAGCTAATGCCAGTGTGTAAGCTAAAGTTGATAGCTTGGACTATGGTGGTAGAGGTAGTGATAAGTACATCTGTTCCAAAGATATTTTGAAGATAGAGCCAGGAGGACTTGCTGATGAATTGGATGTGGATGGTGAAGGAAAGAGATGGTTCTTTTTTTTTTTTTTTTTTTGGTATGGTAAAATATGCATAATATAAAACTGACCATTTTAATGATTTTAAAGTGTGCAATTCAGTGGCCTTAAGTACATTAACGTTGTGTAACCATCCTCACTATTCATCCCCAGAACTTTCTTATCATTCCAAACTGAAACTCTATTCATTAAATAATAATTCCCCGTTTTCTCCTGTTCCTAGCCCCTAGTAACCACTAATCTACTTTCTGTCTCATGAATTTGACTGTTCCAACTCGTATAAGTGGAGTCATATAATATTTGTCCTTTTATGTCTGGCTTATTTCACTTAGCAAATTGTTATCAAGGTTCATCCATGTTGTAGCATATATTCAAATTTCACTTCTTTTTAGGTTCTTTGGTTTTGCTTTTAGCAACTATGTGAATAGTATTGAAATTTCCTGGGATGGAGAAGACTCTTGAAGGAGAGGTTAGGGGTTAAAAATCAGTTCTCCTTTACACATGTTAAATGTAAAACGCGTGATAGACACCCAGGTGGATATGTTGAGTAAGTCTGGGGCTTGGAGGAGAGGTTGGGGCTGGAGATTTAAATTTGGATGTCAGCATAGTATAGGTGGTTTTTAAAGTTATGAAACTGGGTAAGTTTACCTCAGAAGTAAGAGTAGACTTGAGAAAGTGGCCTTTTAACTAGTACAATTTAAAGTTATGATAAAGGAATACATATATTCTAAGATGTACACAAATTGCTAAATTTATAAAATTTTAAAAGTTGGCATTGATTTTTAATGTTTTAATTGATATAGCACATTAGTTTTAAGCAGTTATTTGCTTGTTATTTTGTTAGTCAATTCGTTTACTTTCATTGGCTTGAAATAGTGGTAAGCCTTGTTTTTTAGTAGTTCTCTAAGAAATTAAAAAAATAAATTAGTGTCAAGGTGAATTGGGTACTGGCTAGAATGGCTGTTTTCAAAAGTCACACATATAAATTTTATCATAGTAGGGACAATTTGAAAATTAGTAGATGCCATAGATAATAGGATTAATTATGTAAAAATTAATTTATATGTAAATATAAAATTAATAGATAATAGGATAAAGGGGGCTTGTTTATGAATGGAGTATTCTAGTGAGCAAACACCAGCTGTGTGTGACTAAGGGTGGCACCTATCCAGGGGAAGGATGTTTTCAGGAAAATTTGTGTACTTTTTTTTTTTTTTTTTAACAGCAGAGAGGCTTTTTAGTTAGACTACTGGTCTCTTTTCTTTTCCAAAGGATTAAGTTTCAAAAGAAGGATCAGACCACTCTTGTGGGGTGAAATGGGGGTGGAGGAAATATTTGGAACAAGAGGAATGTTTGCAGCAACACTGGAGTAGAACTTTCCCTAGACGCTGTGGTTCATAGGCATCTGACCAAGTCTTTCAGAGGCAAATCTTAGTATTACTTATTTTTTTTTCCATTTAATGAGAGTTGCTTAGCTTGATTAGCTCCCAGTTTTGTCTTTACAATGGTCATACCACAGAGCTTGTGAATATCAATTCTTTTACATTTCCTTATTATAAACGATACATGTTTTGAGCATCATGTCTTTACAAAAGTAGCCTGATAGTAGAAATTGTTTTGTAATAGAGAAAAAAGGATTTGGTTTTATGTTACTAAAGATGTTACAATTAATCAAAAGAAAAAGGAAAATTTGAAGATTTAGGGAGTCTACCAAATGTCATTTTTAAAGGAGGAAATTAAAGTCAGGAAAGAACAGACTTGCTTGGAAACATGTCCTATAAATGGAACTTGAGTAGCTAACATCTGCCTCTGACAAAATTCCCTGCAAGGCTGCTATTTTTCCTTGTAGTCCTTGAGTTAGGGCACTGACATTTTCATATTTGCCGTGGAAATGATTGTGATAATATAAATGATGTTTTATTTTTATACATGATTAGATAGGGAAGATGGAAGCCAGCTGTTTAAATGCATGTCTTATGAAACGCTGCAGGAAATATAACATAGGCAGTAGTAAATCAAAGGTGGCAGAGAGGGTATTGCTGAGGCTCATGTAGCAGGGATGGGGCAGAAAACCTCTCTTGTTTCTCTTGGTGACTGCTGGTTTTAGCTCTTGCAGAGTTGGGTAGGTTAGCCCATTACATCACACAGCATGTGGTTTTATGATTTAGAGGACCCAAGGCATTTCTGTAAAGCACGTTTATTAACTACCTGCTATATATTAGACACTGTGGTGGGAATTTTGGATAAAATGGTAAATAAGATAGTTTGAATTATTTATTTACATCTGTGATAAGTGCCACAAAGAAGTCCTGTCCTCAGGAAAGCAGATAACAGGATACTGATCCTAATCTGAGGATTGAGAGAAGACTTCCCCCAGTGAGTAATACTAATTAGATCTGCTTTCCTACAACCATTATTACTCCCTATCTCTAAGGGCAATAGGAACAATTTTAAGCATGGTATAAAACCGGTCAGATTTTCTTAAAAATTACTTTGCTGTTGTATGGAGAATGGAGGGGATGTTAGAGTGGATACTGGAGATCAGGTTAGGCTATTACAGTAACCTCAGCAGGAAAGAGCATGGTGATATCTTGGACTGGAGTGTTGACATTGGAAATGGAGAAGGAGGTAGAATTGGTAGGTCTCGGTTATAGATTGGATATGGGAGTGGAGAGGAAGGGCTCAAGGATGACCGCTATTGCAGGTTCTTGACTGTACAACTGAGTTGATGTTAGATATATTTTCCCAATGCATTTGAAAATAATATGCATATTTTCAAGTTTGGTACACAAAATTGCCCTTGCTTATGAAAATTCACAAATGTGTTGTGTTTTTCCAGTCGTCCTTTGGTCAAGATGCAAAACCACAGTACTTTTCAGCCTTTACCGTTTTACCTACTATTAAGTAACCTATGTATTTGATTAAGGCTTGCTAATTGTCATAATTGACTGAAGTTCCAGCAGTTTTCTTTTTTTTTTTCCTGACAGGGTCTTGCTTTGTTGCCTAGGCTGAAGGCACCCAACTTCTGCCTCCCGGGCTCAAGCAATTCTCCTACCTCAGTCACCCAAGGAGCTGGGACTACAGGCATGTGCCACCACTCCCGGCTGATTTTTTAATTTTTTGTAGAGATGGGTTCTTATTATATTGCCAAGGCTGGTCTTTAACTCTTGGGCTCAAGTGATCCTCCCACCTTGGCCTCCCAAAGTGCTGGGATTATAGGCATGAGCCATTGCACCTGACCCCCAGCAGTTTTTTAAAAACAGTTTTAGAGATGTAGTTCACATATTGTGCAGTTCTTCCATTTGAAGTGTACAATTCAGTGGCTTTTAGTATATTTACAGAGTTTTACATCCACCACCACCAATTTGAGAACATTTTCATTACTTCCAAAAGAAACCCCATACCCCTGAACTGTCACTCCTTAATTCCCCCATATACCCAAGCCCTAGGCAACTACTAATCTACTTTCTGTCTCTATAGATTTGCCTATTTGGGATATTTCATATAAATGGAATTGTCTTAGGTTGGGCTACTGTAACAAACTACTGTAGACTGTGTGGCTTAAACAACAACTTGTTTCTCACAGTTCTGGAGGCTGGGAAGTCCAGGATCAAGATACTGGCAGATCCAATGTCTGGTTGAGGGCCTGCTTCCTAGTTTGCAGATTACCTTCTCATTTTATTGGATTATCACAAAGTGGAAAGAGAGTGAGAGAGCTCTTTGGGGTCTCTTTTATAATGACTCTAATCCCATTCATGAGGCCTCCACCCTCATGGCCTGATTATCTCCCAAAGGCCCCACCTCCCAGTGCTTTCACATTAGAGGTTAGGATTTCAACATACGAATTTTAGGGGACACAGATATTCAGTCCACAACAGGAGTCATACAATATGTGCTTTTTCTGACTGGTTTCTTTCACTCAGCATGTTTTCAAGGTTCATCCATGTTGTAGTGCAGGGGTGTCCAATCTTTTGGCTTTCCTGGGCCACATTGGAAGAAGAATTGTCTTGGGCCACATATAAAATACACTAACACTAGCGATAGTTGATGAACTTAAAAAAAATCACAAAAAAATCTTATAATGCTTTAAGAAAGTTTACGAGTTTGTGTTGGGCCACATTGAAAGCTGTTTTGGGCCACGTGCAGCTCTGAAGTTGCGGGATGGACAAACTTGTTATAGTGTATTTGGTACTTCATTTCTTTTTATTGCTGAATAATATTCCATTGTATGGATGGATCATATTCTGTTTATCGATTTCATCAGTCGATGGACATTGGAGTTGTTTCTACTTTTTGGCTATCATGACTCATGCTGCTATGAACATTTGTGTGCAAATTTTCGTGTGTACGTATGTTTCAGTTCTCTTAGATATATACCTAGCAATGGAATTGGTGATCATACGGTAACTCTCTGTCTAACTGTTTGAGGAACTGCCAGGCTGCTATCCATATTTCTGTTCTATTTCACATTCCCACTTGCAGTGTGTGAGGATTTGATTTTCTCTATATCCTCACCAATACTTATTTTCTGTCTTTTTGATTATAGTCATTCTCATGGTTATGAAGGGTTATCTTGTGGTTTGATTTGCATTTCCTGACTGTGTTTCTGTTGGACTAAAATGTTAATGACATTGAAGCTGGGAAGTTTACTGGCTGACATAGAATTTAAGAAGTCATTTTAATTCTTAGAGAGTACAGATGTACAGATGAATTGGCATATACAAGTAAGTATTTTCAGCATTTTGTAATGCTTAACATTATCTTTATGATTCTCATTTAGCAACTAACAATTAAAACATGTTTTGTATCTTAAGTTGTACAAGGTTTGAAGTACTTGAAAAATAATTTTCCTTAAACCCCCAAACACTTTTGTTGCAGGTTTTTTCCCCTTTAAACAGCAATGGTCATTCCTTTGGCCCCTAAACAACACAATTGAGAATATCTAAGTGATTATGGACAAATTCAGTTGAACCAATCCAAGAACCATCTGTGCTAGACACTATGTTTATCCATGGTGCTACCCTCACAAAGCCTCCAGCCTTGTGAGGAAGACCGATATATTAATACATATTTATTTACATAGAAGGAAGAATGTGGCAAGTGCAGCAGTTTGTGGGTATAAATAGTATATTAATACGAGAACAGAGAGAAATTAATTCCAGTCGTTCAAAGGTAATAATTTGAAGGTGAGGTGTGGTTTTGGCAGGTAGAAAAATAGCAGAAGATAATTCTAGGTTGAAGGAACTATGTAAGCAAAGTCATAGCAAGAAATGACAAGATATTTGGAATGAGAACTACAGAAAGTAGCTCAACTAGAAAGTAGTGCGGTGGAGTGGCATTTCTGCATTTCTGTTTGCTTAATTCTTATGGTCACAAGATGGCTGCCCCACTGAATTGTAAAGAGGAAGAAAAAGAATGTGTTCCCTTGTTTTTTATTTACAAGGGAAGAAAACTCTCACTAGACATTTTCTAGATTCACTGATCAGGATTGGATCTCATGAACATCTTTTAGCTGCAAGGAAGACTGGGAATGTGGAGAATCTGACACTTTCTACCTTTCCAGTGGGAGGTGAGTTCTGCCTTTGAAAAGGAGGGGTGGGTTAGGAGTTACTGTTGGGTAGTAATATCCTCTAGTTGTAAAAAAGCAAAGGAAGAGATAGGTTGAATCCAGGTTTGGGTAATGAATGAAAAAATGGTGATGCCATTTTCCAAAATGAATTTTGCAATCTAAAATTGAATTGGGTCCTTACTCTATTAATGTCACTTACTTGAATCTAACTCTCAGTGTTTGGGACTCTATAACCTCACTTTCTAATCATGAAACCTAACGGAAAACAGAGGAGGCAGCTGGAAGTAGTACAGTGGTTTTTAAATGCTACTCTTAGGACTGGTGCTAACTTCCTGCATAAAAATCACCTAGGAGCTTGTTAAATAAATCAAAATCTCTGGGAATTGGTATTTTTAGGTCTGGGATTTGACCATTAGTTTTGTTAACAAGTTGCCCGGGTGGTTCTGATACACGTCTAGGGTTGGGTACTTTTGGTAGAAAAAGTATGGGCTATGGATTCTGGCAAATCTGAATTTGATTCCAACTCTTCACTTATTAACTGTGTAAACTTAGGCCAGGCATTTGATCTGTCAGAGCTCAGGTACCTCATTTGCTAAATGTGTAGGAATAATAATAATGATAATGCTTACTTTACACAGCTTTTGTGAAATGTAGATATATCTTATGTGTAATGCCACTAGTATAACGCCTGGCACGTAGTGAGCATTCATTAACTCTGGCTATTATTATGTGTTAGCTTACAGTAAGTATGTGCATTTGATTTAGCATAGAAACACAAATTTCTGTACAACTACAACAAAAAGAAAAGAAGCAGAATATAATAAATTGCTTCTATTGTTGCTTACTATCTGTTATTTTCTAGGCTATAACATATGAGTCTTAATTTTCTTAACTGCATTTTTGGCTATGTCTGTACTCTATTATCTATATAACTTAAAAATTGGCTAATATACCAAAAACTCTAATTTTTGTGAAATATGCTACTTAATATTTACTAGAGGCTATTTTTCACAGTGATCTCATGTAAAACCTTAAACTATACATGGTTCCTGCTCTTAAACAAAAAACAGACAATATAAATTCAGATAAAAATAATAAGTGCACATTAAGGATCATTTTGTTATTCTTAAAGATTTTATAGTTGCCTGGGTTAATAATTAGAATGTTATTTTTGATGGTTGTTTTGTATGATAAATAAATACCCACTGAGAGTGAATGCTTATTTTTCCTGCTTCCGTGCATAAAGAGGTCTTGGTGTACAGAAAGGAGAAAGATGCTAACATTGAGTACATACTTTCTGCTAGGAAATTAACTTAATTTGTTGTATTGGCAAGAGGCAGCATGTTGTAGTGTTACCTGCAGACTCTGAAGCCCTGTTGCCTGGGTTCTTATCCCATTTTCTGCACTTGAACTGCCTGACCTTGGGCAAGTTACTAACCTTTGTGTGCCTTGGTTTCTTCATTGGGGGTTATTGTATACCTACTTTATAGGGTTGTCATGAGGATTAAATAAGTTAAAATATATAATGTGTTTAGGAAGTACCTGGCACATAGATAGAAGTATATGTACTGTGTGCATGCACTACTGTTAGCTATTCTTTAAGTTTCACAAATTTGCAGTGCTCTATAATCTTCACAAAAATCCTATAAATTAGATCTCTCTCTCTTTTTTTTTTGGTCTTAAAATGTCTTTATTGTATTTTAAAAAGTAGATCTTCTTAATCTTTACAGGTAAGAAAATTGAGGTTTGATGAGGTTAATAACTTATCCATAATCACCCATCTATTAAGTGATACAAATACTAGTTTGCTTTTTCCTGCATCCTACTATGCCTTTAATATGTTAATTTTTTTTTTTTAAATCCTTAAAAATAGTAATCACCCGGCTGAGCGCGGTGGCTCATGCCTGTAATCCCAGCACGTTGGGAGGCCAAGGTGGGCAGATTACGAGGTCAGGAGTTCGAGACCAGCCTGGTCAGTATGGTGACACCCCTCTCTACTAAAAATACAAAAAAAAAATTAGCGGGGCGTGGTAGCATGCACTTGTAGTCCCAGCTGCTTGGGAGGTTGAGGCAGAAGAATTGCTTGAACCCAGGAGGTGGAGGTTGCAGTGAGCCAAGATCGTGCCACTCCAGCCTGGGCAACAGAGTGAGACTCCGTCTCAAAAAAAAAAAAAAAAATAGTAATTACCCATGTGATTCATATGGTACTAAGCAACATTTTCATTTATCAAAAAATTGTTACTACTTGGCAGTGGAATTAATAGATTAACTCTTTTTGAACTTTGAGTGAGATGTTAATATTTTTAAAAAGATCTGTTATTGACCCTTAATTTAAAATATTGCATCAAGGTGTAACAGATTAAAAAAAGTCATATTGTAATAACAATTTAAATGAAATTAATTCCATATATATTATTTACCTGGGCTTAGATGCTAACATTTTTATAGCATCATTTTCTAGGTAATAATAATTATGGTGCCTTGATAATTTTTCTTAGTTTTTGAACTTTATTTTTAATTTGATAGAGTTGTATAATAATGTCTATATGTGAATACAGTACAATTGTTTATTTCACTCATGATTTAGATGACATCTGTGATTGAGTAAGTTATCTAAATCCTCAAGTTTCATACATTTTATAGAAAATATAAGCAATTATGCTAATGGAAAACCTGTAATATATATTAACAGTATTAATTGATTTGAAACCTATGTGTCTACCTCTATGGTGTCTTTTATAAGAATAATTCAGTGTACAGAATAAGAAACTTAACATCACATATTAAAATGAAAGATGAAGTGTTTTTTTAAAAAATTAAATGTATAATAGAGGGGTGAAAGTGTATTAGATTAGCTCCTAAAGCCAATCTTCTATTAGGTATTTTTCCTTACCTGTTTTGCTCTTCCTCCTCCTCCACAAGCACACACACACCACATTCACCCTGATCTTCAGATAGGTAAAAATCACCAAACTGCTCCCCCGTCCAACCCCTGCCATATTTTCTGCATGGTTTTAGGCACATAGCATTAGGTACAACATGCTTTGAAATTTCCCATTAGAAGCAGTAGCAATATTGTTAGCAATAGCTCTAAGGAAGCTGTTGGCTGGATGTTTCCTCCTCAGTACTCTTTGGTCTACCTTTTAAAAATTTCTTTCAGTAAAGTGCAGCTTGCTGTCAGTAATTAATTCTCCTTACTTTGTTCAAGGAAGTTGCTGAATTTGCTTATGAGTTAGAATGACAAGCCTTATCCTCATTTTACATATAGTATATTCTACCTTAGTTTCCCTTTATGTGTAACATACAGGTGGCAAAACTACTCCACATCCTTTGAATTTCATTATCTGATTCTGTCTAATAAGAATTTATCCAAATCTTTCTCACAGAGCAATCCTTTTTTTTGAGTCAGAGTCTCACTCACTCTGTTGCCCAGGAAGAAGTGCAGTGGTGTGATCTCAGCTCACTGCAACCTCTGCCTCCCAGGTTCAGGCAGAACAATCCTTTTTTTAAAAAAATTATTTACCTTCTTTCTAACTTGGCTTTCACTAATTCATTTTTCCTCTCTCATTTTTTTTTTCTATCAGGAAATTATTTCCTCCCATCCCATCTCCTTGAGGAACAGGAAGGGCCTTTAATTCTCAGCGGAGCAGTGTTGGAAGGGTCATTGAGGGGAAGAGAGCAGAGCATATGGAACTGTGGGTTTCAAAACCAGCTGCTGGGCCGCTCTGATTTTGAGTCTGAAGGGTGGATCAAGTGCTCTGTTCATATCTGATCTTATAATTGCTTTTCTTTAGAAGAGCTGCTCTCAGAATTATAAATACTCTTCCCTTCATTGCAGTTTAGTTAAGGACATTCTTAAGGAATTGATGTTAGTTTTCCAGCATCTTTGCTGCAGTACTTTATTTGTTTGGGGAAAGGTTCTTGTTTAGTTAGGTTTCTAGGTCCCCAGGCTTTGATTCTGGCAACAAATGACTAGTTGATATCACAGATAACTATGATTTTTAGAGCTCAGTGTCTGTAAGCATCTTCTGCATTTTTATAAGCACTACATGGTGGTAGAAGGCGTTCTAATTTTCTCTGTATTTGAAGACTTTACTTACTAAGGGCATTAAAATCTTTTATTTTATTTTTTTAAAAATTATACAGACCAAGATTTAAAGTTTTTCTTCTCTTAATCTTAGGTGTTTTATTCCTGATTTACTTTTCCCTCCTTACTAAATGAAAATGTGGCACTTAAGGCAACTGTTTTCTTGTTAAAGAAGAAGTTGCTTCTCCAGTTCCGGAAAGAAAAACAAACCCAGATTTGCAGCTTTTTTATATTTGAAACCCTATTGTACTAAATCTTGCTAGTAAGCAGATAAAAAATTTTCTTCTTTTTGGTTAGCTTTTTCATACCATGTTGTGACTTTAGTTTTCAAAGATTTAGACAATGTACTTTATCACTCTGTCACCCAGGCTGGAATGCAATGGTGTAATCTCTGCTCACTGCAACCTCTGTCTTCCGGTTTTAAGCAATTCTCCTGCCTCAGCCTCCCAAGTAGCTAGGATTACAGGTGCCGCCACCATGCCTGGCTAATTTTTGTAGTTTTAGTAGAGACAGGGTTTCACCATGTTGGCCAGGCTGCTCTTGAACTCCTGACCTCAAATGATCCTCCCGCCTCAGCCTCCTAAAGTGCTGGGATTACAGGCATGAGCCACTGCGCCCAGCCATATTTTTTAATAAAGCCACCATAGAACCATAGCCATTCTTTGTAATAGATTTTCTTTCATGAAGTCTATTTTTTTTGGAGTTGAGGCCAGTAGAAAAAGGAAGATGATATTAGATTTTCTGGGGAGAAAATGGTTGTTAGGAATAGACTGCAAAGAAATTTATGACCCCTTTTAAACACCAGAATGTTTTTAAGCTATATATTATTGTATAATTATTATATAGTAATATTACTTAATTTTGAGCCCTATAACTTAAAGTATTAGTGTAGAAGTATTAGAAGAGAGACTTTCTTGAAATCATAGTATGTTAAAGCTTATAAGAGACTGTGGGGATCATATAGTAAGCAATACTGAAATTCTACAGAATAACAGATGGAGGTTTGTTCATTCATTTATTAGTTTATTTACTTACCCATTTATTCAACAAATATTGAGTTTTTACTGTTCAGAATACTTGGGGATATTCCTGCCCTTATGGAGCTTATAGTAAATAGATAACAAACATCCCAAGTAAGTTAAATAGTATGTTAGAAGGTGATACAAGTGAACCGAGATGGAGGAGGGGTAGTGCTTAAGGATTAGTGCTGGTTTGCAGTTTAAAATATGATAGTTTCCATTGAAAACATGACACTTGAGCAGAGAAGAGAAGAAAATGAGAGTAGACTGTGTGACTATCTGAGGGAAGAGTATCTCAGGGAGAAGGAAGAGCTGGGGCAAAGGCCAATAGGTGGGAGCATGCCTAGTATACCATGCAAGGAATAGTAATAAGGCCAATGTGATTTCTGGAGGAAGAAGTGGAATGGAGTAATAGGTGATGAAAATTACTAGGTTTGGGAGGCAGGAGGTGGGTGGGGAACTGACTGGGTTATGTGGGGTGAATGGTTGTAAGGACTTTGGCTTTTACAGGAATGAAATGGGAGGAGTGGTGGCAGTGAAGGGTTTTGAGCAGAGTAATAACACAATCTGACTTATGTTTCATCTGAATCATTCTTGCAGCCCTGTTGAGAAGAAAGGCTGGGGTGAGGTTGTCAGATTTAGCAAATAACAAATTTGAATTTCAGATAAACAATGAATAATTTTTTAATGCATATGTCCCGTGCAATATTTATTGATTATTCACACATAAGGCAGAATGTTTACTATGTTTTTTTAAAAAAAAATCATTTAAAAAAGGACCTCTTTAATGTTATTGTTGATTACTGTAGATTATTATTATTATGATCCTGCTGGTCCCAAGGCTTAGTAGCAAATTTTCATCTCTCTTTCCTGTATTATCTATATTTCTGTTTTTCACATTGTGGTCATCTTATACCCTGGAGTGCTACATATATAGGTTGTTGGATGGCAGCCCGGACCGAATGAATCAGAATTTCTGGGATGTAATAGGGAATCTCTGTAACTACCTACTCTTCTAGGTTCTGGGTATATAGTAGTGAACAAAGCATGCAAAAATCCTTACCCTCATGGGATTTACATTCTAGTAGAGGAGATAGTAAACAATAGGTAAATACATTTGCACTCCATATGTGCTGGTTTTGCATCTGTGGATTTAACCAACTGTGGATCAAAAATATTTTTAAAAACCCAATAAAAAGAACAATACAACAATAAAAAGTAATACAAATAAAAATACAGTATAATAACAATTTACATAAAATTTATATTATATTTGGTATTATAAGTAATCTAGAGATGATTTAAAGTATACGAGAGGATGTGTACAGGTTATATGCAAATACTATGCCATTTTATGTAAGAGTCTGAGGATTGGCCGGGAGCGGTGGCTCACGCCTGTAATCCCAGCATTTTGGGAGGCTGAGGCGGGCGGATCACGAGGTCAGGAGATTGAGACCATCCTGGCTAACACGGTGAAACCCCATCTCTACTAAAAATACCAAAAAATTAGCCGGGTGTGCTGGGGGGCGTCTGTAGTCCCGGTTACTCGGGAGGCTGAGGCAGGAGAATGGCGTGAACCCGGGAGGCGGAGCTTGCAGTGAGCTGAGATTGCGCCACTGCACTCCAGCCTGGGCGACAGAGCGAGCTTCCGTCTCAAAAAAAAAAAAAAAAAAAAAAAAGAGTGAGGGTTTTGGTATGGGGGCGGAGGTGTCCTGGAACCAATGCCCTGCAGATACCTAGAGACAACTGTATATAATATGTTGAATACTAATATAGATACTAAGAAGAAAGAAAAAGCAGGGTGGGGAATAGGAAATGTGTAGTGTTGTGGTAAGGGAGTTGCAATTTTAGATAGCCTGGCCAGTGAATGCCTTACTATATGGTTATGTTTAAATCAAGACTTAAAGGAAGTGAGTAAGAGACCAGGTGGATACTTGGGGGAATAGGATTTCTGGTTGAGGGAATAGCAACTGCAAAACTCCTAAGTCTGGAGTGTTCCTTGTGTGTTTAAGAAGCTGCAAGACAGTAATATGTATGGAATAGATTAGAAAAGGGGAGAGTAGGAGATGAGGTGAAAGAGGTATGGTAAGTGGCTGGTGATTGTTGATTAGTGTTTAGGCTTCATGATACACTGGAGAGAGACTTGGGATCCTAGGCCCAGGAATGGCATTATCTCTGGGCCTTAGTTTCTTTTATCACTAAAAATTAGAAGACTAAGATGATCTCTTAGGTTTCTTCCTACTCAAAAATAGAGTCTTTAATTTGAAATTGATTATTGGCCAGGTGTGGTGGCTTACACCTGTAATCCCAGCACTTTGGGAGGTCGAGGCAGGAGGATCACTTGAGCCCCAGAGTTTGAGACCAGCTGGGGCAACGTGGTGAAACCCTGTCCCTACAAAAAACGAAAAAAAATTAGCTAGGCATGGTGGCCAGTGCCTGTAGTCCTAGTTACTCAAGACACTGAGGCGGGAGGATTGTTGCTTGAGCCAGGAAGGTCAAGGCCCCTATTGCCCTACTGCACTCTAGCATGGGCGACAGAGCAAGACCGTCTGAAAAAACAACCAAAAAGAAATCTGCCATTTATCTTGCATTTCTATTTTGTACCTCTTTTGAGAGCAGTTATAAATATTTTATCATTTGGGATTCTTCTGTACTTTTCATGAGCTCCTCTCAGGTTGTGTTCCAACTAGCCAGGTGATTTTTTTTTTCTTTTATGCTGCTGTGTTTTCTCTTTTTTCCTGATTGAACTTGAAGATTTAGACAGTCCTTTGATAAACAGCAGGAAATTGTTCTCTTATCACCTTGTTAACCATTAGCTCTTCTGACAATCAGATTCTTATTTAATCTTAGCTAATAGAATTTGGAAACATATATTTTTCTCTACTAAGAGATTGAAATTCTTATGATTGGCAGCTTGACATAAAGCTAGGCAGAAAGAGAAGAAAGAAGAGGCTTGAATAATTTCTAAATTGAATAAACACCAACTGCCAGTCCGAGATTAAACTGAATATAATATACAGGGAATCATGGGAGTCTTAGCTGGGTACTTCTGTAGAAGTACAACTTTTAGGTAGGTCTTATTTAGAAATAATTGGGTGGGAACGTTCTAAGATGTTGTTTTGATGGGTTCTATTAGCAGAAGACATGGATAAAAGGAACATATCATGAAGCTTTACAATCTTATTTAGTATAAATTGCATTGGAAGAACAAAGCAGTATCAAAACTGTGGTTCGTGTCTTTGAAATCCAACACACAAAAATAAGACGTGTAGGCTCTCAAATTGCAGCTTTCTTGCAGTAGTAGTGAAACAGTATAATTACTCTTGAATAATTCTGCCACCTTTTACAACTTCCACAGGGTGTTACAAATTATAAACAAATCCAAAAAACTAATTGTTATCTTGGGGTTTGATCTATCTTGTTTTATGTCATCTGCTAGATTTTGAAATCTGTAGGAGAGTCAGAAAAAGAGTATATTGTTAGATACCAACATTAGGTTAAGTTTATGGTGACATTAAAGATGACAATCAGACTTTACAATAGTAAGTTTACAGTTATTTTTGCTAATAGTAATTTTTTTTATCTGTTGTGTATTTGGTAGCTTTTGTAGCAAATATTCGTTTGAATCTGGCTGAAATTGAAGAAAATCCTAAATGGAGCTTTCTTGAGTAAATAAAATTATTATAGAAGGAGTAAGTTGGAAAGGATTCATAAAACTTAGCTGGCTGGACACCCAGCTGCATACATTTATTTATAGGCTTTTACCTTGCTCATTTATTTTTCTAACAGTGTAAAACTGGAAGTTTAAAGTGAAAGACTATTTACATACTTAAAATAGGAGCCTATTTAAAAATAACGGAGTCAATTATGAAAAACAAATGAAGTTTATTTGGCACCTTTTGAACATTACTGAATTCTAGACTTGAAAATCTGTTTAAATTTATTTTTATAGCAATGGTAACTGTACTGGTCTGGTAGCTGTGCCAATTCTAAGTATAATATGCTTTAATTAATGTATGCTTTGGTGTTTCTGTTAATGGACACTGATTTTTTTTTTTTTTTTTTTAAGACAGAGTCTCACTCTGTTGCCCAGGCTGGAGTGCAGTGGCGCAATCTTGGCCCACTGCAAGCTCCACCTCCTGGGTTCATGCCATTCTCCTGCCTCAGCCTCCCGAGTAGCTGGGACCACAGGTGCCCGCCAGCACGCCTAGCTAATTTTTTGTATTTTTAGTAGAGACGGGGTTTCACCATGTTAGCCAGGATGATTTTGATCTCCTGACCTTGTGATCCGCCCACTTTGGCCCAAAGTGCTGGGATTACAGGCGTGAGCCACCGCGCCCGGCCTGGACACTGATTTTATTCATGATAAATAAAATCTAAGCAAGACATCCTAATTTAGTTCCAGTAAAATAGTCTGAAAAGAGTGCTTTTTAATTTTTAAAATCTAGCCAATTAAGGATGAGAGAGTAAATCTTTACTGAGATAGCTCCTCTGACGCTGAGATGACTGGCCTGCGTGCTCTTGGTGCTAACAAAATTACATTGTTGAATGACTGAATAGCTTCATCATGAAAAACTTTGCTCTCTAAATTGAATGTTGGCTAACTATGACATGTGGACCAAATCCTGCCGTTTTTTGTGAAGTTTTATTGGAACACAGCCATGTTAATTTATTTACATATTGTTTATGGCTGCCTTGATGCTACAATGGTAATGTTGAGTAGTTACCATAGAGATCATATGATCCTCAACGTCTGAAATATTTACTGTTAGCCCTTTAAGAATAAGTGTGCTCTGTATCTAAGTTTTTGGAGTTAGATCGTGTTAAAGTTCTGTTGGAGGTTTATGAGGTTAGCATTTTCATGTTTAATTTCCCATTCTACTTCATTTTAAGAAAGAATACTTTAAATGGTCATTTTGAGTGTAAGTTTCTGGCTTTCTCATTCATGAGTATGGATAATACCACCTTGCAGTGTTGCTGTGAGGATAAGTGAAAAAATGTAAATAAAATGCTTAGCTAACTGCCCAGTACCCAGAAGGAATTCAAAAAATGGGGAGATGCAATCAGGGAAAGTGTTGGTGTCTGGGTAATTTAAGATGGTATGTTTTTATAGGTTCTGATTTGTCCATAGGGCTGGCAGTGGAGGCCTAGTTTATCCGGCATCTTTATATAACTTTGCTGTCTAATGTCCCTTTATCCTGTTCTTCCTCCGTCCTTAATCCCTTTGCTCCTCTCTCTCTTTCCTCTCTTTCTCTTTTCCTCCTGATCTTTATATTTTCCTCCCTTTGTTTCCTTTTTGATATATGCAAGCATTGGTACTAAATTTAGGTCAGTCTCTTAGAGTACGTAGAGAGCCTAATATGTAGAATATTGTCAGTTAGTGTTATTTCTATTCTCTAGGAAGCAGAAGAATTCGAAAATCTTGTAATTTCCCCCTCCTCCTTAATTTTTACATAACGTTTATTGGAGCCATCTAGGCATATGTAAAATCTACTCTTACCGTAGCAAATGTTAGGAGAGATCTTCAGTTTTTTTGGAACATTATGCCAAGAGTTCATCTTTAGGCAAGCTTGGTATTCTTCTAGAAGCAGGATAGATGATAGATCTTTCCTAGCATTTTGAAGGAAACTTGAAAATCTAGTGATGATAAAATTGACCCTAGCAATCTTATATTAGTTAGAACACTTAGTTATGTTCTTGTTTCATGGAAACATAAACTTAAAAAGCTGTTATTTTACTTGACAGGTAATGTTAGAAGATCAATTTGAAACTTAGGACCTAACCCCCTTCATGTTATTGTAAAACCAGCATTGATATAAATAAGAGAACAAGGAAAGAGAATTTTAAAATAGCTTTTGTTTTTATTGGTATTTATTATTATTTGGCAGTAGTTTTTAGTTTTTGTAGGTGTCATAAAAATACAGAAAAGAGATAAAATTCTAGGATGATAGTTATAGCATTAGCAGAACTTTATGCAATAGAAGTTAACAATTAGCCATATTTCTAGATTTAGGTCCCCTCATTTGAAAATCTTGTTATCCATAGTAAATTTAATTGTTTTAATTTAGCTAAATTCTTCTGTTTGTGGTTTAAAAAATAGTTAAATTGGTCAAATTTCTCATTGACTGTTCCTCCCTTCTTAAATCTGATACCTAAATGCATTAAGCTTAAATTTTATATACCACCATTCTATGAAAAATCAAGTATCCTTCCTATTTTTCTCATTTATTTTACATAAAGCTGAGATTTTCATAGAGGCAGATATTAATCCCGTTTTTTCCTCTGAGGACACTGAGTCATACAGATATATATATGTATATTTAAACTGCAGTTTTAGTCAGTATAAAGTTGGAAACACAAATGTTAGATTTACCTTATTTTGTATGTTCATAGGAACCAGATAACAAAATTTAAAAAGTTTTTTTTTGTCTAGAAATAGGTAGGTAACATCGAAGATGAGTGATTGCTTCAGTTTTTCAAAAAATTTTGTCGAGGGGTTACGAGTTTTATTCTGTAGGATATGAAGAGAGTAGTAGGAAAGTTGTAAGACTTGATGAAACAACTCTAAGACATATCGTGTTAGGGTTCTGTTTACTTGTAGATGAGCAAAACCAGTAACAGATTGATTTCATCTATCAAAGGAGAAAGAAGAGAGGGGAAGAAGAAAAAAAAGAGACATATTTTTTAATAGCGGATTTTGTTTTCCTTTCCTTGGCTAAGCTGCTGATTAATTGACAGCCAGCGAAGAGCCCAGACAGGGTATCCTGTCCTTCAGCAGCTGGATGCATCATCAAAGAAAACAGTTTTAGTTGTTTCTGAATCCTCTAGAAGACGTTTTGTATTTAATTGTGACTTGCATATAAGAGGTTGTCTCTGTGTTAGGTGTGCCAGTATCCTTGTTAGTGCTTCCATCTCATTTATGCCAGATCTACATCAGAGTTTCTCACTTGCTTTATTATGGCCCTGTTTCCATGATCTTTTTTTATTTTGTCTTCTTTGGTGTGTTAGACAAGCTTTCCAAAAGTTAATGTTGTGTCTTTCTGGGGTTTTGCTTGCCATCACAAATCATTATTTTAAAATTGTTTACATGTAATTTGTTCTCAAACTCATGTTCAGATCAAAAAGGTCTTAGTCTGCTTGAGACTATATGAGAGACCTGAACTACAATATGTAAAGCATATAGGATGGATTTCTCTATCAGTTGTCTAGACGATATTAGTAAATCGTAAAAAGTATTGACCCTAAGCAATTTATGCTCTTTTACTTAACTGTTGCTTTGGAAGTTTAGGTTATGATTTGTAATATTTTGCCAATTTTATTTTCTGTACTCAGATTACTGTTGCTATATGCTTCACCTTTGAGAAGAGTGGGAACAATCTTATGGTAAAGTGTTTTTGTTTTGTTTTATATTTTTATTTATTTTTTTACAGTCCAAGGCCATTGGTTTGCTAGATGTGGATGTGTATGGACCTTCAGTTCCAAAGATGATGAATCTGAAAGGAAATCCGGAATTATCACAGAGTAAGTAAAGAAGGGATAAATATTATAATAATAGTTGCACTTTTATTAATACTTACTGGGTGTCAGACATTATGCTAGATGCAATGTATATTTTATGCACAATGTAGTGTAAGTCCTCACTTAAGTTAGTAGATTCTTGGAAACTGTTACTTTAAGTGAATAGATATGTTAATTGATATAAACAAGAGTTAAGTTCCTATGGCATATTTCTGGTCACAAAAACTTCACCAAACTTCTAAATAAAGACTCAAAACACTTCTAATATTAAACAAAGAAATAAATTTGGGCTATAAGTACATTTAAGAAAGATTAATAAAAACAATATAATTATTTACACAATTTTTAGTGAATCAGTGAGTGAAAGCAGTCATAGTGGTGGTGGGTTAAATCAAGGAATAGGTGTTTGCAAAGTGAAAATTGTAAGGAGCATCTCTTACCATCATGCAATTCAAGAGTAACCAATATGGCAGATCATTGAGCATTTTCTTACTGCATTGTTTATTGTGCATTTGTATGATTATCATATACTTTACTAGTTTTTTTTCTTTTTTTTTTTTTTTGAGACAGAGTCCCACCCTGCTGCCCAGGCTGGAATGCAGTGGTGTGATCTCGGCTCACTGCAACCTCTGCCTCCTGGGTTCAAGTGATTCTCCTGCCTCAGCCTCCCAAGTAGCTGGGACTACAGGTGCACGCCACCACGCCCAGCTAATTTTTGTATTTTTAGTACAGATGGGGTTTCGCCATGTTGGTCAGGCTAGTCTTGAACTCCTGACCTCAGGTGATCCACCCACCTCACCCTCAAAAAATGCTGGGATTACAGGTGTGAGCCACTACACCTGGCCCACTAATTTTTATTTGGCAATCATTTGTATCCATTCATTCATCTTCCAACCCACTTATTCTGGTTCAGGGTTGGGGGTGCCTGGAGCTATCCTGGCAGCTCAGGGCACAAGGCAGGAATCAACCCTGGAAAGGAGGCCATTCCATTGCAGGGTACACTCACACACCCACACTCATTCAGACTGGGACCATACAGACACGCCAGTTCATCTAATGTGCATAGCTTTGGGATGTGGAAGGAAACTAGAGTACCCGAATACCCACGCAGACCTGGGGAGAACATGCAAACTTTACACAAGACTGTGGTCGTGGCTTGAAATTGATTTTTTTCTTTATTAATGTTACAACAAAATGATGTTGAAAGAAAGCAATTTTATTGGAGGACCTGCTGTATAGTGATTCAGAAAGCAGACATGATAGATTCCGGATATTAGCCCTTTGTCAGATGAGTAGGTTGCAAAAATTTTCTCCCATTTTGTAGGTTGCCTGTTCACTCTGATGGTAGTTTCTTTTGCTGTGCAGAAGCTCTTTAGTTTAATTAGATCCCATTTGTCAATTTTGGCTTTTGTTGCCATTGCTTTTGGTGTTTTAGACATGAAGTCCTTGCCCATGCCTATGTCCTGAATGGTAATGCCTAGGTTTTCTTCTAGGGTTTTTATGGTTTTAGGTCTAATGTTTAAGTCTTTAATCCATCTTGAATTAATTTTTGTATAAGGTGTAAGGAAGGGATCCAGTTTCAGCTTTCTACATTTGGCTAGCCAGTTTTCCCAGCACCATTTATTAAATAGGGAATCCTTTCCCCATTGCTTGTTTTTCTCAGGTTTGTCAAAGATCAGATAGTCGTAGATATGCGGCGTTATTTCTGAGGGCTCTGTTCTGTTCCATTGATCTATATCTCTGTTTTGGTACCAGTACCATGCTGTTTTGGTTACTGTAACCTTGCAGTATAGTTTGAAGTCAGGTAGCGTGATGCCTCCAGCTTTGTTCTTTTGGCTCAGGATTGACTTGGTGATGCAGGCTCTTTTTTGGTTCCATATGAACTTTAAAGTAGTTTTTTCCAATTCTGTGAAGAAAGTCATTGGTAGCTTGATGGGGATGGCATTGAATCTATAAATTCCCTTTGGGAAGTATGGCCATTTTCATGATATTGATTCTTCCTACCCATGAGCACGGAATGTTCTTCCATTTGTTTGTATCCTCTTTTATTTCACTGAGCAGTGGTTTGCAGTTCTCCTTGAAGAGGTCCTTCACATCCCTTGTAAGTTGGATTCCTAGGTATTTTATTCTCCAGAATCTACAATGAACTCAAACAAATTTACAAGAAAAAAAACAAACAACCCCATCAAAAAGTGGGCGAAGGACATGAACAGACACTTCTCAAAAGAAGACATTTATGCAGCCAAAAAAACACATGAAAACTGCTCACCATCACTGGCCATCAGAGAAATGCAAATCAAAACCACAATGAGATACCATCTCACACCAATTAGAATGGCAGTCATTAAAAAGTCAGGAAACAACAGGTGCTGGAGAGGATGTGGAGAAATAGGAACACTTTGACACTGTTGGTGGGACTGTAAACTAGTTCAACCATTGTGGAAGTCAGTGTGGCGATTCCTCAGGGATCTAGAACTAGAAATACCATTTGACCCAGCCATCCCATTACTGGGTATATACCCAAAGGACTATAAATCATGCTGCTATAAAGACACGTGCACACGTATGTTTACTGTGGCCCTAATCACAATAGCAAAGACTTGGAACCAACCCAGATGTCCAACAATGATAGACTGGATTAAGAAAATGTGGCACATATACACCATGGAATACTATGCAGCCATAAAAAATGATGAGTTCATGTTCTTTGTAGGGACATGGATGAAACTGGAAATCATCATTCTCAGTAAACTATCGCAAGGACAAAAAACCAAACACTGCATGTTCTCACTCATAGGTGGGAATTGAACAATGAGAACACATGGACACAGGAAGGGGAAGATCACACTCTGGGGACTGTTGTGGGGTGGGAGGAGGGGGGAGGGATAGCATTGGGAGATATACCTAATGCTAAATGACAAGTCAATGGGTGCAGCACACCAGCATGGCACATGTATACATATGTAACTAACCTGCACATTGTGCACATGTACCCTAAAACTTAAAGTATAATAATAGAAAAAAAAAAGAAAAAAAAAGCAGACATGGAAGACTGTACTTTGAGGAATCATTTCTATAATTCGCTACTACAGAAGTTTCTCTGAACACGTAGAGCACCGAATTTTAATAAAATAAATAAAAAGTATATATATAAAAAGAAATCAGACATGGTACTGGACTGCCTGGGTTTGATTCTCAGCCCCATCCATTTACTAGCTATATGACTTGAGTAAATTGTTTTAATCTTTTTGTGCCTCAGACCCCCATATGTAAAATAGTTACAACTACTGTGAGGATTAATATAATGCATTTAGCAGAATTTCTGGCACATAGTAAGTGATCAAAAATGGTAGATCCTCATTATTGTCTCTTTATATTAAATGTGTGGATATATGGGATTATTTGAATAGGAAATATATTTGTGTTCAGAAAAGATGAAAATTATTTTCTCTGATCAGATTTCTTGGTCAGATTTGTTTTAAAGTGTTAAAAAAAACTCCCAAAACATTATTTTCTTTCCCTAGCCTCTTTACTAGAAAGAAGTAATTTTTAAATACCTCTTTAATGTTTACTGCTGTTGTTATTGCATTTAAAAAATAAAGCTATCAGAAGCTTTAAGAAGAAGGAAATGTTATTATCAAAAAATGAATTGGCTTGGCTTAGTGGCTCACATGGCTGTAATCCCAGCACTTTGGGAGACTGAGGTGGGAGGACAGCTTGAGCCCAGGAGTTCAAGACCAGCCTGGGCAACATAGTGAGACAAAAATAAAAAAATTAGCTGGGCATGGTGGCTCACACCTGTAGTCCCTGATATTCAGGGGACTGTGGTAAGAGGATCACTTGAGTCCTGGAAGTCAAGGCTGCAGTGAGCCATGACTGCACCACTGTACTCCAGCCTGGATGACAAAGCAAGATCCTGTCTGAAAAAAAAAAAAAAAAAAGAAAAAGAAAAGAAAAGAAAAAAAGGAATTGGAAAAACTGATAATTTTTTTAAAAGAATGGTTTTATGGGAAATTGGTTTATTGATTTGTAATGATAATGAGTATAAAATTGAATAATTTCTTTTTGTTCTTATTGGGCTTTTTATTTTCCATTGTTCTAGAGAAAATGACTATATTTACTCCTGTATATTTATTGGATTATCTCTGTAGGTAATAGAAGATTATTTTTGTTGTCATTAAAAGTTAATTCAGCATTGCTTACCATTTAAGAGGCTTTTGTTTGTGGTTTAGTTGTTGGAGCCAATTATAATGTTAAGTTTTGGATAATTCTTTATGAGACAGTAAAGATTCTCCCTAACATTTTGAAGAAAACTTAAAGATTTTAGTGATGTTAACATTGACCCTAGCAGTAGTATATTGCAAGTACCCACTTAATTATTTTCTTGTTTCATGAAACATAAACTTGAAAAGCTGTTATTCTGGTTTCTTTTTCTTGACTTTTTAGTGGAATACATACTTAGTTTGCAAATATATGACATGAGCCAAGGTGTCAAGCTTTCACAAAGAAGGAGTAATGAATTTGCATACTTTAAATGATAGATTCATTATGTTTGTCTCTTGATTAAAGTAATATGAAAACTAGTACATGCAGAACATGAGGAATGGCAAAATGGAGCCCTCAGTGTCATTCTTTTCTTAAGTAGTCTGCTTGGTATATGCCAACATAAACACTCGAAGTGAACTTTAATTTCTTTCTTCTTGTTTTACTGAAGCTATAATCTTAAATTTGATGTTTGCAAATTGGCTGCCAGTAAATAGGCTTTCGGGTAAAGACGAGGTACTGGAAATCTTGGAAAGGCTGAAAAAAAAAAAAAAAAACACTTTCTCTGTTGACAGGCTGATCTTAAGTCCCCCAAGAAATAAACTGAATGATTAAGGCGTTCACTTAAAAGAATGTGGAATCTTAAAAATGCAACTTATAAATTATTTTTGAATCTTAGAAAAACCTGCCACCATTCTACTAATTGGTATCATTCTGACATTTCTACATTTTTCATGTTAATTTATCCTATTCTGCTATTACAGAAAACACAATACAATACAAAATTACCTAATTAACAATAAAGAGAAACTATGAAAGGCTTGTTTCCAGCAGTTCAGGTTTTGGGGAGATAGACCAGTGAATTGAATCCCACCTTTATAGGTGTTCCTCTGTTCTGGGACTAAGCTGGACAGCCTTGCAAGCAGTGGGACTTCAGAATTACCTTTCTCCTTATTATTTAAATAGATGTATGGCAATGTAGTTTTTGACAATTTGTTCATTTTAAAATGATATGTTAGGGTTGGCAGATCATACGTTTATCCACATTCTCTTCATACCTTTTTTTGGGAGGGTGGGGGGAATTGTAGAAAAACAACACATTTTGCATTTAAGACATTTTAGCCTTCATTACCAAGAGAAAGTTTCTGTTCGATTTTAAAAAAGTGAATTCAGTAATTGAAGATTTTAAGTTTATAATAGTTTTGAGTTTCTTAGGCTGAGAATGTTTCCGTCAGCTTAAAATGACAATAGTGATTTTTCTATGTTATCATGCAAAATTATGGTAGTGGAAAATCTAGCCAGTTTGTAGAAAGGGCATTATGCAAAAGCATCAACAGGCTGACATTATAATGACTGAAGATGAGCAGTTACTTTGGGAAGCTAGTGGGATTTAGAATAAAACCTAAACGTCCTTGGAGAAACCAGCATCTAAGCATGAATATAACCTTTTTTAAAGAACAAATGCCAATTTTTTCCTTCATTTTAGCTTTCCAAATAGTGTCAAATTCAGATTTCATATTATAGTATAGCCAAATTATAGTCCTAGAAATTATTGTAGGTTTTCAATTGAAATGGCAAATGAATATTAAATGGCTGTTGCACAAGAGAGACAACACATCTCTCTCTTAGTAGATATTAGTAGAAATATCTGCTTTGTTTCATAGTTTTGTGATGAAAAATCACTTTCAGAATACTGGTGAATTTATTACTACTTAGTTTTACTGAAGAGTCTTTAAATGTAATGAGCTAATAAAGTAGGAAAATTTCAAGACCTGTGGAGAGAGTTTACTAAAATGGATATGTCAAGTATTTTATTGAGGATGACACAGTGTTTATTAGTGATTTTGAGTAGGATCCCCTTGTCTTTTCTATTGTGGGATAGTAATTTTGCACTCATGGCACAGTTTTCTGCTCTATTTGTTTAAAGTTAGTAAACTTTTTTCAAGTTTAGGAATTAATGTGTATGTAGGCTTCTGAGACAGAGAAGTGGAAAATCAGCTTGAGCAAATGACCTTTTATAATCTCTGATAAAAACTACAAAGAAGGGACTGAGATCTTCTGCTTCTTTCTTCTTTCTTCTTCTTTCTTCTTTCTTCTTCTTCTTCTTCCTTCCTTCCTCCTTCTCCTTCTCCTTCTTCTTCTTCTTTTCCTTCCTCCTCCTCCTCTTCCTCCTCCCTTCTCCTTTCTCGTCTCCTCCTTTCTTCCTCCTCCCTTCTCCTTCCTTGTCTCCTCCCTTCTTCCTCCTCCTTGTCTCCTCCCTTCTCCTTCCTTCTCTCCTCCTCCCTTCTCCCTCCTCCTCTTGTCCTCTCTTCTCCCTCCTCCTCTTCTCCCCTCTCCCTCCTCCTCTCGTCCTCCCTTCTCCTTCTTCCTTTTCTCCTCCCTCACTCCTTCTCCCTCCTCCTCCCTCCTCCTCCATTCTTCTTCTTCTTCCTCCTTCATCTTCCTTTTTCTTTTCTTTTCTTTTTTTTTTTTTTTTGAGAGTATCACTCTGTTGCCCAGGCTGGAGTAAAGTGGTGCCATCATAACTCACTGCAGCCTCAAACTCCTGGGCTCAAGTGACTGTCCCTCCTCAGCCTCCCAAGTAGCTGGGACTACAGGCGTGTGCCACCATACTGGCTAATTTTTAATTTTTTGTAGAGCTGGGGTCTCACTGTGTTGCCCAGGCTGGTCTTGAACTCCTGGACTCAAGCAATCCTCCTGCTTTGGCCACCCAAAGTGCTGCGATTACAGGGCTGAGCCACCACACCTGGCCTGGAACTGAGATTTCTTAAAGGTAACTTAAGTGCTTAAAGAATGAGAGTGAACTCTAGTTATTCCTTAAGTCACTCTGTTGTTTCCTTCCAGAGAAGAGATCTAGGGGTGTTGCTGAAGGTGTTAACATGCAAGATCACATTCCTATCCAAAGCATGGAGTTCCCAAAGGGTGTAACAGCTATTTGCTGCTCGGCTTGTGGATGTTAGCCCAGCCGGTTAGGGTGGTTCTGGGGATACTCACCAGATACCTCCAGTTTTAAGATGACTAGTACAGTAGCCTCATGGGCCACAGAGGGCAGGGCATATTGTTGGCTCCTCTTTGGGGTATCATAGATATGTGGACTGCAGGAGGCTCCTTCAGCTTGAGGTCTGTAGTTGTCCAAGGTTTTGATGGGGGTTGTTGGAATATTCTTGCTTACCTCTTCACTGTAGGGAAAATTTCCTCCTGATTCCCAGCTGATCCTGGTTGCTGGGATAGGGTTGTGGAGTTGGTGTATCCAAATGTAGTTATTTATTTGTTGTTCTGGCTGTCTTTGTGAGGAGGATGAGCACCAGGGGCTTAGTCAACTCTCTTGCTGACATCACTTTATTTTGTTCTTTAAAGGGGCAATCATTACAGAACTGGAAGAAAAGAGAATAGTGATGTTTCATTGGGAAACTTGGCTATTAACCTTCTCTAATTTTCAGTTTAGAAACTTAACTAGCTGGCTGGGCACAGTGGCTCACGACTGTAATCCTAGCACTTCGTGAGGCCGAGGCGGGCAGATTGCCTGAGCTCAGGAGTTCAAGACCAGCCTGGGCAACATGGTGAAACCCCATCTCTACTAAAATACAAAAAAATTTGGCTGGGCGTGGTGGTGTATGCCTGTAGTCCCAGCTACTCGGGAGGCTGAGGCAGGAAAATTGCTTGAACCTGGGAGGTGGAGGTTGCAGTGAGCCGAGATCGTGCCACTGCACTGCAGCCTGGGTGACAGAGTGAGACTTTGTCTCAAAAAAAAAAACAACAAAAAAACACCAGGGACCAGTCCCGGTATGTGACCTTTCAGACAAAGAATTCAAAATAGCTGTGTGAGGAAACTCAAAGAAAGTCAAGATACTACATAGAAAGAATTCAGAATTCTATCAGATAAATTTAACAAAGAGATTGAAATAATTAAAAAGATTCAAGCTGAAATTCTTGAGCTGAAAAATGAAGTTGGCATGCTGAAGAATGCATCAGTCTTTTAATAGAATTGATCAAGCAGAAGAAAGAATTAGTGAACTTGAAGACAGACTATTTGAAAATATATAGTCAGAGGAGACAAAAGAAAAAAGAATGAAAAACAGTGAAGCACAACAACAGGATCTAGGAAATAGTCTCAAAAGGGTAAATCTAAGGGTTATTGGCCTTAAAGAAGAGGGAAAAGAAAGAGCTAGAGGTAGAAAGTTCATTCAAAGGATAATAACAGATCACTTCCAAAACCTGGAGAAAGATATCAATATCCAAAAGTACAATAAGGTTATAAAACAAAACAGATTTAACCAAAAGAAAACTATCCAAAGGCATTTAATAATCAAACTCCCAAAGATCAAGGATAAAGAAACAATCCTAAAAGCAGCAAGAGAAAAGAAATAAATGACATACAATGGAGCTCCAGTACCTCTGGCAGCAGACTTTTCAGTGGAAACCTTACAGGCCAAGAGAGAATGGCATGACATATTTAAAATGCTGAGGGAAAACACTTTTACCCTAAAATAGTATATCTGGTGAAAATATCCTTCAAGCATCAAGAAGAAATAAAGACTTTCCCAGACAAACAAAAGCTGAGGGATTTTTAACACCAGACTTGAGCTACAGGAGATGTTAAAGGGAATACTTCATCAGAAAGAAAAGGACATAGGCTGAGTGTAGTGGCTCACTCCTATAATCCCAGCACTTTGGGAGGCTGAGGCGGGCGGATCACCTGAGGTCAGGAGTTCGAGGCCAGCCTGGCCAGCATGGTGAAACCCTGTCTCTACTAAACATACAAAAATTAGCTGGGCATGGTGGCGGGCGCCTGTAGTCCCAGCTACTTTGGAGGCTGAGGCAGGAGACTCACTTGAACCCAGGAGGCAGAGGTTGCAGTGAGCCGAGATCATGCCACTGCACTCCAGCCTGGGTGACAGAGTGAGACTGTCTCAAAAAAAAAGAAACAAAGAAAGATAAATAAAGAAAAAGACATTGATGAACAGTAGGTAATCACCTGAAGGTACAAAACTCACTCGTAATAGTAAGTATGCAGGGAAAAAAAGATTTTTGTAACATTGTAACTATGTGTGTAATCTACTCTTATCCTAAGTAGAAATCTAGACTTAGAATCTAATGCTGCCACTGATCTGACAGGAGGCGGAACTCAGACAGTAATGTTCCCTTGCCTGCTACTCACCTCCTGCTGTGTGGCCCAGTTTCTAACAGGCCACAGACTGGTACTGGTTTGCGGCCTGGGGGTTGGGGACCCCTGGGTTATCAGATAGAATTGCAAGCCTCATGGTAACCTCAAACCAAAAAACATTCAATGAATACACAACAAATAAAAAGCAAGAAAGTAAATTATATCACCAGAGAAAATCAGCTTCACTTAAGGAAGACAGGAAGGAAAGAAGGAAGGAAGAGAAGACCACAAAACAACCAGAAAACAAGTAACAATATGGCAGGAATAAGTCTTTATTTATTAGTAATAACAATGGACTAAACTCTCCAATCAAAAGATGGAGTGGCTAAATAGATAAAAAAAAACAAGACCCATTGATTTGTAGCCTACAAGAACTACATTTCACCTATAAAGACACACATAGACTGAAAATAAAGGGGTATAAAAGATACTCCATGCCAACAGAAACCAAAAAAGAGCAGGAGTTGCTATACTTACATCAGACAAAACAGATTTTAAGACAAAAATCTATAAGAAGAGACAAAGAAGGTCACTATATAATGATAAAGGGGTCAATGCAGCAAGAGGATATAACAATTTTAAATATATATGCACCCAACACTGGAGCACCTGGATATATAAAGCAAATATTATCAGAGCTAAAGAAAGAGATAAAGCTCAATACAATAATACCTGGAGACTTCAATACCCCACTTGCAGCATTGAACAAATCTTCCAGACAGAAAATCAACAAAGAAACATCAGACTTTATCTGTATAGACATAAGGGATCTAATAGATATTTACAGAGCATTTCATCCAGTGAATGCAGAATACACATTCTTTTCCTCAGCACATGGATCATTCTTAAGGATATACCACATGTTAGGTCACAAAACAAGTCTTAAAACATTCAAAAAATGGAAATAATATCAAGCATCTTCTCTGACCACAATGGAATAAAATTGGAAATCCATAACAAGAATTTTGGAAACTGTACAAATACATGGAAATTAAACAATATGCTCCTGAATGACCTGTGGGCCAATGAAGAAATTAAGAAGGAAATTGAAAAATTTCTTGAAAAAAATGATAATGGAGATATAACATACCAAACCCTGTGGGATACAACAAAAGCTGTACTAAGAGGGAAGTTTGTAGCTATAAGTGCCTATATCAAAAAGAGGTAAAATTTTCAATAAACAATTTAACGATGCATCTTAAAGAACTAGAAAAGCAAGAGCAAACTACACCCGAAATTAGTAGAAGAAAAGACATAATAAAGATCAGAGAAGAAGTAAATGAAATGAAGAAAACAATACAAAAGATCAATGAAACAAAAAGTTGCTTTTTAAAAAGATTGACAGAATTGACAAACCTCTAGCCAGACTAAGAAAAGAGGAAAGAAGATTAAAAATAAACAAAATCAGAAATGAAAAAGGAGATGTTACAACTGATACTGCAGAAATTCAAAGGATCATTAGTGGCTACTGTGAGTAAGTACATGCCAATAAATTGGAAAATCTAGAAGAAATGGATAAATTCATATACACGTACAACCTACCAAGATTGAATTAGGAAGAATTCAATCTTCCTAAACTTAAACAGACCAACAACAAGTAACAAGATCAATGCTGTAATAAAAAGTCTCCCAGTAAAGAAAAGTCCACGACCCAATAGCTTCACTGCTGAATTCTACCAAATATTTAAAGAACCAATACCAATCCTACTCAAACTGTTCTGAAAAACAGAGGAGGAGGGAATATTGCCACACTCATTCTGTGAGGCCAGTATTACCCTGATATCAAAACCAGAGAAAGATACATCAAAAAAAAAAAAAAAAAAAAAAGAAAGAAAACTGCAGGCCACCTTCTCTGATGAATACTGATGCATAAATCCTCAATAAAATACTAGGAAACCAAATTCAGTAATACATTAGACCATTCATCATGACCAACTGGGATTTATCCCTGGGATGCAAGGATGGTTCAGCACAAGCAAATCAATTAATGTGATGCAGTGTATCAACAGAATGAAGGACTGAAACCATATGATCATTTCACTTGATGGTGAAAAAGCATTTGATAAAATTCAACATCCCTTCAGGATACAAACCTTCAAAAAACTGGGTATAGAAGGAACATACCTCAACATAATAAACAGCATGTATGACAGACCCTCAGCTAGCATCATAATGAATGGAGAAAAACTGAAAGCCTTCCCTCTAATATCTGGAACATGACAAGGATGCCCACGTTCACCACTGTTATTCAACATAGTACTGGAAGTCATAGCTAGAGCAATCAGACAAGAGAATGAAATAAGGGACATCCAAATTGGAAGGGAAGATGTCAAATTATTCTTGTTTGCAGATGCTTTAATGTTATATTTGGAAAAACCTAAAGACTCCACAAAAAAACTATTAGAACTGATAAACAAGTTCAGTAAAGCTGCAGGATACAAAATCTACTTGCAGAAATTGGTAGCATTTTTATATGCCAACAGTGAACAATCTTAGAAAGAAAAACATAATCCCGTTTATAATAGCCACACATAAAATTAAATACTTAGGAATTAACCAAAAAAGCAAAATATGTCTATAATGAAAACTGTAAAACACTGATGCAAATAACTGAATGGGACACACAAAAAATGGAAAGATTTTCCATGTTCATGGATTGGAAGAATCAATATTGTTAAATTGTCCCTACTATTCAAAGCAATCTACAGATTCAATGCAATCCCTATCAAAATACCAATATCATTCTTCATGGAAATAGAAAAACAATTCTACTATTTATATGGAACCACAGAAGATCCAGAATAGCCAAAGCTAATCTAGGCAAAAAGAACAAAACTGGAGGGATCACATTACCTGACTTCAAATTATGCTACAGAGCTGTAGTAACCAAAACAGGATGGTACTGGCATAAAAACAGACACACAGACGAATAGAACCAAATAAAGAACCCAGAAACAAATATACACACCTGCAGTGAATTCATTTTCGACAAAGTTTCCAAGAGCATACAGTGGGGGAAAAGATGGTCTCTTTAATAAATTGTTTTGGGAAAACTGGATATTTGTATGCAAAAGAATGAAACTAGACCCCTATCTCTCACCATATGCAAAAATCAAATAAAAATGGATGAAAAACTTTGAGACCTTCAACTGTGAAGCTACTAAAAGAAAACATTGGGAAAGATCTCCAGGACATTGGCTTCAACAAACATTTCTTGAGCAATACCCAACAAGCACAGGCAACCAAAGCAAAAATGGGCAAATGGTATAGCATCAAGTTAAAAAGCTGCTGCAGAGCAAAGGAAACAATCAACAAAGTAAAGAACAACCCACAGAATGAGAGAAAATATTTGCAAACTACACATCTGACAAGACATTAATAATGAATATATTACTTTGTACATTAATTTTAATGGCAAAAACTGCAATTACTTTTGCACCAACCTGATATAAGGAGCTCAGACAAATCTATAGGAAAACAATCTAATAATCTGATAAAAAATGGACAACAGATTTGAATAGGCATTTCTCAAAAGAAGACATGCAAATAGCAAACAGGCATATGAAAAGGTGCTCAACAGGCTGGGCGCAGTGGCTCACGCCTGTAATCCCAGCACTTGGGAGGCCAAGGCGGGCGGATCATGAGGTCAAGAGATAGAGACCATCTGGCCAACATGGTGAAACCCCATCTCTACTAAAAATACAAAAATTAGCTGGGCGTGGTGGCATGTGCCTGTAATCCCAGCTACTTAGGAGGCTGAGGCAGGAGAATTGCTCGAACCCAGGAGGCGGAGGTTGCAGTGAGCCAAGATCGTGCCACTGCACTCCAGCCTGGCAACAGAGCAAGACTCTGTCTCAGAAAAAAAAAAGAAAAGAAAAGAAAAGAAAAAAAAAGGTGCTCAACATTACTGATCATCAGAGAAATGCAAATCAAAACTCCAGTGAGATATCATCTCCCTTTAGTTAAAATGGCTTATATCCAAAAGGCAGAAAATAACAAATGCAAGGATGTGGAGGAAAGGGAACCCTTGTATACTGTTGGTGTACATAGTGGTTGAACCACTATGGAGAACAATTTGGAAGTTCCTCAAAAAAACAAAAAATAGAGCTACCATATGACCCAGCAATCCCACTGTTGGGTATATACCCAAAAGGAAGGAAATCAGTATATTGAAGAGATACCTACACTCCCATGTTTGTTGCAGCACTGTTCACAATAGCTAAGATTTGAAGGCAACCTAAGTGTCCATCAACAGATGAATGGATACAGAAAATGTGGTACGTATACACAATGGGTACTAGTCAGCCATAAAAAGGAACGAGATCCTGTTATTTGCAACAACATGGATGGAACTGGAGATCATTATGTTAAATGAAATAAGCCAGGCACAGAAGGATAAACATTGCATATTCTCACCTCTTTGTGGGATCTAAAAATCAAAACAATTGAACTCATGGACAGAGAGAGTAGAAGGATCGTTACCAGAGGCTGGGAAGGGTAGTAGGGGAGTTGAGGGGATGTGGGGATGGTTAATGGATACAAAAAGATGGTTAGGAAGAATGAATAGATGAACTATTTGATAGCACAGCAAGGTAACTGTAGTCCGTAATAACTTATTGTACATTTAAAAATAACTAAGAGAGTGTAATTGGATTTTTTTTTTTTTGAGGTGGAGTCTCGCTCCTTAGCCCAGGCTGGAGTGCAGTGGTGCGATCTCAGGTCACAGCAACCTCTGCCTCCCAGGTTCCCGTTCAAGCAATTCTTCTGTTTCAGCCTCCTAAGTAGCCGGGATTATAGGCACGCACCACCATGCCCAGCTAATTTTTGTATTTTTAGTAGAGATGGGGTTTCACCATGTTGGCCAGGCTGGTCTTGAACTCCTGACCTTGTGATCCTCCTGCCTCAGCCTCCCAAAGTGCTGGGATTACAGGTGTGAGCCACTGCGCCCGGCCTAATTGGATTGTTTACAACACAAAGGATAAATGCTTGAGAGGATGGTACCCTATCTCCATGTTGTGATTATTACACATTGTATGCCTATATCAAAACGTCTCATGTACCCCATAAATATATACATACTATGTACTCACAAAAATTAAAAATAAAAAATTAAAAAAGAAGTCTTCAATAAGAGATATATATATATATAGAAAATAAAATGGCTTGTGTATGTTTGTATTCATTTTATTGCATCTATTTGATAATTTTTGATTTTTAAAATATAAAATTTGGTAGTATCAAAGTCCAGAACTGAAACGTTGACTTCTTTATGGATGGGGCTTATGGGGGATATGTAATGCTGGTCAGTTTTAAATACAGTAGTATTGTGGGGATTAGAACCCTAATATAGGGGCTAAGTTTTAACTGATAATCATTTGGTTCTTCTGTAAGCAAGTTTTTTTGTTTCAAACAAATAAATGATTGTATAATACATTTAACACAGAAGCCTCACAATAGCAGGATTATTCTTACTGTCAGATTACAACTACTATTGTTGGGCAAGAATAGCAACTAAAAATTGAGATACCAGTTTTAATAATCAGAAAGTACTGAGTTTAGACAGCTCTCTTTGAATATATTAGTAAGTAGCATAGCCTTTGGAGGAACATTTAGGGCTTTTTTCTTATAAATGTTTATCACAGTGGGTGAAAAAGGTTATACACACATACACACACATACACAGACACACATACATGTGTATATTTAAGTAGAACATATTTTTAATTTTTTTACATGCAACTTAACTAGCACTGGCTTGAAAACTTATGATTTTCTTAAAAAATTATGAAATTTGCTCTTAAAAACTTATGATTATTTTAAACCTAGTGTTAAAATTTTCAGTTGGGTCAAAAGTGATACATTAAAGGAGACATTATTTCTGTTTATTTAGTAGACCTTTATGACTGTCTTTTGTGTAGTTAGTCGGCATGAGAAATACTTGGTTATATGGTTATCAAATCAGATTTGGTCTTTCTCTGTGAACTTACAGTAGACATACTAGCCATTGATTATAAGCATCAGTACATGCTGTAATAGAAATATAAGTGTTTTTGTGTGTGTGTAAACCTAGAGATGGTAACTAAATGAAACTGGAGCTTTGAGATTTTTTGGAAGAGATGATTCTTGGGCTAAACTTTGCAAAGTAGATAAGCCAGGAGTCTGTTGTAAGAAGGTATTGAGGATTGACAATGAGGATGGTGATATAGTTTGGCTCTGTATCCCCACCCCAATGTCATGTTGAATTGTAATCCTCATGTGTTGAGGAATGGACCTGGTGGGAGGTGACTGGATCATGGGGGTGGTTTCTCCCATGCTGTTCTCATGATAGTGAGTGAGTTCTCATTAGATCTGAGGGTTTTAAAAGTATGGCACTTCCCCTCTCTCTCTCTCCTGCCACCAAGTAAGACGTGCCTTGCTTCCACTTTGCCTTCCACCATGATTGTAAGTTTTCTGAGGCATCCCCAGCCATGCAGAACTGTGAGTCAATTAAACCTTTTTTATTATTATTATACATTAAGTTCTGGGGTACATGTGCAGAACGTGCAGGTTTGTTACATAGGTATACACGTGCCATGGTGGATTGCTGCACCTATCAACCCATCATCTACATTAGGTATTTCTCCTAATGCTATCCCTACCCTAGCCCCCCCAACTCACTGACAGGCCCTAGTGTGTGATGTTCCCCTCCCTGTGTCCATATGTTCTCATTGTTCAACTCCCACTTATGAGTGAGAACATGTGGTGTTTGGTTTTCTATTCCTGTGTTAGTTTGCTGAGAATGATGATTTCCAGCTTCATCCATGTTCCTGCAAAGGACATGAACTCACCTTCTTTATGGCTGCATAATATTTCATGATATATACATGCCATATTTTCTTTATCCAGTCCATCATTGATGGGCATTTGGGTGGGTTCCAAGTCTTTGCTATTGTGAACAGTGCTGCAATAAACATACGTGTGCATGTGTCTTTATAGTAGAATGATCTATAATCCTTTGGGTATATACCCAGTAATGGGATTGCTGGGTCAAATGCTATTTCTGGTTCTAGATCCTTGAGGAATCACCACACTGTCTTCCACAATGGTTGAACTAATTTACACTCCTAGCAACAGTGTAAAAGCGTTCCTATTTCTCCACATCCTCTCCAGCATCTCGTTTCTTGACTTTTAAATGATCGCCATTCTAACTGGCGTGAGATGATATCTCATTGTGGTTTTGATTTGCTTTTCTCTAATGACCAGTGATGATGAGATTTTTTTCATATGTTTGTTGGCCACATGAATGTCTTCTTTTGAGAAGTGTCTCTTCATATCCTTTGCCCACTTTTTGATGGGGTTGTTTTTTTCTTTTTGTTTAAGTTCTTTTAGATTCTGCATATTAGCCCTTTGTCAGATGGATAGATTGCAAAAATTTTCTCCCATTCTGTAGGTTGCCTGTTCACTCTGATGATAGCTTCTTTTGCTGTGCAGAAGCTCTTTAGTTTAATTAGATGCCATTTATCAATTTTGGCTTTTGGTGTTTTAGTCATGAAGTCTTTGCCCATGCCTATGTCCTGAATGGTATTGCCTAGGTTTTCTTCTAGGGTTTTATGGTTTTAGGTCTTACGTTTAAGTCTTTAATCCATCTTGAGTTAATTTTTGTGTAAGGTGTAATGAAGGGATCCAGTTTCAGCTTTCTGCATATGGCTAGCCAGTTTTTTTTTAACACTGTTTATTAAATAGGGAATCCTTTCCCCATTGCTTGTTTTTGTCAGGTTTGTCAAAGATCAGATGGTTGTAGATGTGTGGCGTTATTTCTCAAGCCTCTGTTTTGTTCCAGTGGTGTATATATCTGTTTTGGTAGCAGTACCAAGCTGTTTTGGTAACTGTAGACTTGTAGTATAGTTTGAAGTCAGCTTGCATGACGCCTCCAGCTTTGTTCTTTTTGCTTAGGATTGTCTTGTCTATATGGGCTCTTTTTTTGTTCCATATGAAATGTAAAGTAGGTTTTTTCTAATTCTTTGAAGAAAGTCAATGGTAGCTGGATGGGAATAGCATTCAATCTATAAATTACTTTGGGTAGTATGGCCATTTTCACAATATTGAGTCTTCCTATCCATGAGCATGGAATTTTTTTTTCCATTTGTTTGTGTCCTCTCATTTTCTTGAGCAGTGGTTTGTAGTTCTCCTTGAAGAGGTCCTTCATGTCCCTTGTAAGTTGTATTCCTAGGTATTTTATGTTCTTTGTAGCAATTGTGAATGGGAGCTCACTCATGATTTGGCTCTCTGTTTGTCTGTTATTGGAGTATAGGAATGCTTGTGATTTTTGCACATTGGTTTTGTATCCTGAGACTTTGCTGAAGTTGCTTACCAGCTTAAGGAGATTTTGGGCTGAGATGATGGGGCTTTCTAAATATACAATCATGTCATCTGCAAACAGGGACAGTTTGACTTCCTCTCTTCCTAATTGAATACCCTTTATGTTTCTTTCTCTTGCCTTATTGCCCTGGCCAGAACTTCCAGTACTATGTGGAATAGGAGTGGTGAAAGAGAGCATCCTTGTCTTGTGTCAGTTTTCAAAGGGAATGCTTCCAGTTTTTGCCCATTCAGTATGATATTGGCTGTGGGTTTGTCATAAATAGCTCTTATTATTTTGAGATATGTTCCATCAATACCTAGTTTATTGAGAGTTTTTAGCAGGAAGGGGTGTTGAATTTTGTTGAAGGCCTTTTCTGCATCTATTGAGATAATCGTGTGGTTTTTGTCATTGGTTCTGTTTATGTGTTGGATCACGTTTATTGATTTGCATATGTTGAACCAGCCTTGCATCTCAGGGATGAAGCTGACTTGATCTTGGTAGATAAGTGTTTTGATGTGCTGCTGGATTCAGTTTGCCAGTATTTTACTGAGGAATTTCACATCGATGTTCATCGGGGATATAGGCTTGAAATTTTCTTTTTTTATTGTGTCTCTGCCAGGTTTTGGTATCAGGCTGATGCTGGCCTCATAAAATGAATTAGGGAGGAGTCCCTCTTTTTCTATTGATTGGAATAGTTTCAGAAGGAATGGTACCAGCTCCTCTTTGTACCTCTGGTAGAATTAGGCTGTGAATCCATCTGGGTCTGGACTTTTTTTTGTTGGTAGGCTATTAATTACTGCCTCAATTTCAGAACTTGTTTTTGGTCTATTCAGGGATTTGACTTCTTCCTGGTTTAGTCTTGGGAAGGTGTATGTCCAGGAATTTATCCATTTCTTCTAGATTTTCTAGTTTATTTCCGTAGAGGTGTTTATAGTATTCTCTCATGGTAGTTTGTATTTCTGTGGGATCAGTGGTGATATTTCCTTTATCTTTTTTAATTGCATCTATTTGATTCTTCTCTCTTTTCTTCTTTATTAGTCTGGCTAGCAGTCTATCTAGTTTGTTAATCTTTTCAAAATACCAGCTCCTGGATTCATTGATTTTTTGAAGGGTGTTTTGTGTCTCTATGTCCTTCAGTTCTGCTCTGATCTTAGTTATTTGTTGTGTTCTGCTGGCTTTTGAATTGGTTTGCTCTTGCTTCTCTAGTTCTTTTAATTGTGATGTTAGGGTGTCAATTTTAGATCTTTCCTGCTTTCTCTTTTGGGCATTTAGTGCCATAAATTTCCCTCTACACACTGCTTTAAATGTGTCCCAGAGATTCTGGTATGTTGTCTCTTTGTTCTCATTGGTTTCAAATAACAAACTTCTTTATTTCTGCCTTCATTTCATTATTTACCCAGTAGTCATTCAGGAGCAGGTTGTTCAGTTTCCATGTAGTTGTGCAGTTTTGAGTTTCTTAATCCTGAATTCTAATTTGATTGCACTGTGGTTGCAGAACCTGTTTGTTATGATTTCTGTTCTTTTGCATTTGTTGAGGAGTGTTTTACTTCAAATTATGTGATCAATTTTAGAAGCAGTGTGATGTGGTTCTGAGAAGAATGTATATTCTGTTGAGTTAGGGTGGAGAGTTCTGTAGATGTCTATTAGGTCTGCTTGGTCCTAACTTGAACTCAGAGCTGAGTTCAAGTCCTGGAAATCCTTGTGAATTTTCTGTCTCGTAGATCTGTCTAATATTGACAGTGGGGTGTTAAAGTGTCCCACTATTATTGTGTGGGAGTCCAAGTCTCTTTGTATGTCTCTAAGAACTTGCTTTACGAATCTGGGTGCTCCTGTATTGGGTGCATATATAGTTAGGATAGTTAGCTCTTCTTGTTGCATTGATGACTTCATCATTATGTAATGTCCTTGTTTCTTTTGATCTTTGTTGGTTTAAAGTCTGTTTTATCAGAGACTAGGATCGCAACCCATGCTATTTTTTTGCTTTCCATTTGCTTGGTAAATATTCCTCCCTCCCTTTATTTTGAGCCTATGTGTGTCTTTGCATGTGAGATGGGTCTCCTGAATACAGCACACCAATGGGTCTTGACTCTTTATCCAATTTGTCAGTCTGTGTGTTTTAATTGGGACATTTAGCCCATTTACATTTAAGGTTAATATTGTTATGTGTGAATTTGATCCTGTCATTAGGATGCTAGGTGGTTATTTTGCCCATTAGTTGATGCAGTTTCTTCATAGTGTCGATGGCCTTTACAATTTGGCATGTTTTTACAGTGGCTGTTACCAGTGATTCCTTTCCACGTTTTGTGCTTCCTTCAGAAGCTTTTGTAAGGCAGGCCTGGTGGTGACAAAATTTCTCAATATTTGCCTATTTGTAAAGGATTTTATTTCTGCTTTGCTTATGAATGTAGTTTGGTTGGATATGAAATTCTGGGTTGAAAATTCTTTTCTTTATGAATGTTGAACATTGGCCTCCACTTTCTTCTGGCTTGTAGGGTTTCTGCTGAGAGATCCGCTGTTAGTCTGATTGGCTTCCCTTTGTGGGTAACCCGGCCTTTCTCTCTGGCTGCCCTTAGCATTGTTTCCTTTATTTCAACCTTGGTGAATCCTACGATTATGTGCCTTAGGGTTGCTCTTTTCGAGGAGTGTGTTTTTGGTGTTTTTTGTATTTCCTGAATTTGAATGTTGGCCTGCCTTGCTCGGTTGGGGGAGTTCTCCTGGAAAACACTGAAGAGTGTTTTCCAACTTGGTTCCATTTTCCCTGTCATGTTCAAGTACGCCAATCACATGTAGATTTGGCCTATTTACATAGTCCCATATTTCTGGGAGGCTTTGTTTGCTTCTTTTAACTCTTTTTTCACTAATCTTCTCTTCTTGCTTTATTTCATTGAGTTGATCTTCAATCTGTGATATCCTTTCTTCTGCTTGATCAATTCAGCTATTGATACTTGTATATGCTTGATGAAGTTCTTGTGCTGTGTTTTTCAGCTCCATCATGTCATTTATGTTCTTTAAACCAGTTATTTTAGTTAGCAATTCATCTGACGTTTTTTCAAGGTTCTTAGCTTCCTGCCATTGGGTTAGAACATACTCCTGTAGCTCAGAGGAGTTTGTTATCCACCTTCTGAAGCCTACTACTGTCAATTTGTCAAACTCATTCTCTGTCTAGTTTTGTTCCCTTGCTTGCAAGGAGTTGTGATCCTTTGGAGGAGAAGAGGCATTCTGGTTTTTGGAATTTTCAGCCTTTTTGTACTGGTTTCTCCCCATCTTTGTGGATTTATCTACCTTTTGTCTTTTATGTTAGTGTCCTTTGCATGGGTTCTCTGAGTGGTTGTCCTTTTTGTTGATGTTGATACTATTCCTTTCTGTTTGTTACTTTATCTTCTAACAGTCAGGCCCCTGTGCTGCAGGTCTGCTGGAGTTTGCTGGAGGTCCACACCAGATCCTGTTTGCCTGGGTATCACCAGTAGAGGCTGCAGAGCAGCAAAGATTCCTGCATGTTTCTTCCTGTGGAAGCTTCATCCCAGAGAGGCACCCACCAGACGCCAGCCAGAGCTGTCCTGTATGAGGTGTCTGTTGGCCCCTACTGGGAGGTGTCTCCCAGTCAGGATACACAGGGGTCAGGGACCCCCTTGAGTAGGCAGTCTGCACCTTATCAGAGCTCGAACACTGTGCTGGGAGATCTGCTGCTCTCTTCAGAGCTGTTAGGCAGGGATGTTTAAGTCTGGTGAAGCTGCGCCCACAGCCGCACCTTCCCCCAGGGGCTCTGTCCCAGGGAGATGGGGGTTTTATCTATAAGTCCCTGACTGGGGCTGCTGCCTTTCTTTCAGAGATGCCCTGCCCAGAGAGGAGGAATCTAGAGGGGCAGTATGGCCGCACCAGCATTGCTGAGCTGCGGTGGGCTCCACCCACTTCAAACTTCCTGGCGGCTTTGTTTACACTGTGAGGGTAAAACCGCCTACTCAGGGCTCAGCAATGGCAGATGCTCCTCCCCCTACGAAGGTCGAGCGTCCCAGGTTGACCTCAGACTGCTGTGCTGGCATGAGAATTTCAAGCCAGTGGATCTTAGCTTGCTGGGCTCCGTGGGGTGGGACTTGCCGAGCCAGACCACTTGGCTTCCTGGCTTCAGCCCCCTTTCCAGGGGAGTGAACGGTTTTTTTTCTCACTGGCGTTCCAGGTGCCACTGAGGTATGAAAAATAAACTGCTCCAGGTAGCTCGGTGTCTGCCTAAGTGGCCTCCCAGTTTTGTGCTTGAAACCCAGGGCCCTGGTGGCATACATAGGTGCCAGAGGGAGTCTCATGGTCTGCCAGTTGCGAAGACCGTGGGAAATGTGCAGTATTTGGGCTGGAGTGCACAGTTCCTCTTGGTACAGTCTCTCACCACTTCCCTTGGCTGGGGGAGGGAAATCCCTTGATCCCTTGTGCTTCCCAGGTGAGGTGATGCCCCACCCTGCTTTGGCTCACCCTCCATGGGCCGTACCCACTGTCCAACCAGTCCCAATGAAATGAACTGGGTACCTCAGTTGGAAATGCAGAAATCACCCGCCTTCTGCGTCGATCTCGCTGGGAGCTGCAGACTGGAGCTGTTCTTATTCAGCCGTCTTGCCAGCAAATCCTAAACGTCTTTTTTAAAATAAAGTACCCAGTCTTAGGTAGTTCTTTATAGACGTGTGAAAATGGACTAATACAGGAAATTGGTACCGGTAGAGTGGGGTACTCCTCTAAAGATAACCTTAAAATGTGGAGGTGAGGTTGGAACTGGGTAACATGCAGAGGTTGGAATAGTTTGGAGGGCTCAGAAGAAGATAGGAAGATATGGGAAAGTTTAGAACTTCCTAGTGTCTGGTTGAATGGTTTTGACCAAGATGCTGATAGTGATATGCACAATGAAGTTTAGGCTGAGGTGGTCTTAGATGGAGATGAGGAACTTCTTGGGAATTGGAGTAAAGGTCACTCTTGCTATGCTTTAGCAAAGAGACTGGTGGCATTTTGCCCCTGCCCTAGAGAGTTGTGGAACTTTGAACTTGAGAGTGATGATTTAGGATATCTGGCAGAAGAAATCTCTAAGCAGCAAAGCATTCAAGATGTGACCTGGCCTTTTCTGAAAGCATACAGTCATATGCATTTACAAAGAGATGGTCTGAAATTTGAACTTAGTTTAAAGGGAAGCAGAGCATAAAAGTTTGGAAATATTGCAGCCTGACCATACGGTAGGAAAGCAAAACTCGTTTTTTTGGGGGGAGAAATTCAAGCTGGCTGCAGAAATTTGCGCAAGTAATGAGGAGCGAAATGTTCATCACCGAGACAATGGGGAGAATTTCTCCAGAGAATTTCAGGGATCTTCATGGCAGCCCCTCCCATCACGGGCTTAGGAGGGAAAAATGGTTTTATGATCCAGGCCCAGGACTCCACTGGTCTTTGCAGCCTTGGGACATGGCACCCTACATCCCAGACACTCTAGCTCCAGCTGTGGCTAAAAGACGCCAAGGTATGGCTCAGGCCATTCTTTCAGAGGGTGCACACTCCAAATCTTGGCAGCTTCCACATGCTGTTGGGCCTGCAAGTGCTCAGAAGACAAGAGTTCAGCTCTGGGAAGCTCTGCCTTGATTTCAGAGGATGTATGGAAATGCCTGGATGTCCAGGCAGAAGTCTGCTGCAGGGGCAGAGCCCCCATGGAGAACTTCTTTTAGGGCAATGCAGAGGGGGATATGTTAGATTGGAGCCCCCACAGAGTCCCTACTGGGGCACTTCCTAGAGGAGCTATGAGAAGAGGGCTACTGTCCTTCAGACCCCAGAATGGTAGATCCACCAACAGCTTGCACCGTGTGCTTGGGAAAGCCGTAGTCACTCAATGTCAGTTCATGAAAGCAGCCACAGGGGCTGTACTCTGCAGAGCCACAGGGGTGGAGCTGCCCAACTCCTCGGGAGCCCACCCCTTGCATCAGCATGTCCTGGATGTGAAACATGGAGTCAAAGGAGTTTATTCTGGAGCTCTAAAATTTAATGACTGCCCTACTGGATTTTGGACTTGCATGGGGCCTGTAGCCCCTTTGTTTTGGCCAATTTCTCCCATTTAGAATGGGATCATTTATGCAATGCCAGTACCCCCATTGTATCTTGCAAGTAGTTAACTTCTTTTTGATTTTACAGACTCATATGTGGAAGGGACTTGCCTTGGCTCAGATGAGACTTTGAACTTGGACTTCTGAGTTAATGCTGGAATGAGTTAAGACTTTGGGGGACTGTTAGGAAGGCATGATTGGTTTTGAAATATGAGAAGGACATAAGATTTGGGTGGGGCTGGGGGAATGATATTGTTTGGTTCAGTGTCCCCACCCAGATCTCATGTTGAATTGTAATCCCCATGTGTCAAGGGCAGGACCTGATGGAAGGTGATTGGATCATGCGGGATCCCCCCATGATAATGAGTGAGCCCCTGTCTCTTTCTTTCTTTTTTTGCTGCCATGTAGGACGTGCTTTGCTTCCACTTAGGCTTCTGCTATGATTGTAAGTTTCCTGAGGCCTGTCCAGTCACACAGAACTATGAGTCAATTAAACCTCTTTTCTTTATTACCCAGTCTTAGGTAGTTCTTTATAGTAGTATGAAAACGGACTAATACGTATGGCAATCAAGGGAGGGGGAATAGCAGGTGTTAAAAGTTGCACAATGTAAGCTTTTGGGCATGGTTAAAGTAAAAGTCTTTGAGGTTGAGTTGCAAGAGTGAGAGCAGGGCCAGAAAGGTAATTGAGAGTCCTGTCATAAATACCCTCTTGGGTTTGTTTGAAGAGTTGAAGTGTGTGATTCAGACACTATGAGATGCTATCATGGATTTTAGGTAAGGGAGTGACACTCAGTTTTGCATTCTGGGAGGAACATTTTGACAGCATTGTGAAGGAAACGTAATAGGACTAGATGCGATGTAGGGGCCAGTTGGGATGTTATGCAGTGATCCAGGTGAGATGTAATAAGTCCTGATTTAAGTCTGAAGTGATAGAAATGGAGAGGAGGAGACCTAATTGTGAGGTATTAAAGAGAATGGATGAATAGACCTTGGTAATTTATTGAGTATGACTGAGAAAAAGGTCTCTGAATGGCCCTTGATTTTCTGAGTTGGATGACTATGTAGATATATTATCCATCAGGATAGAGCAGATAGGAAAAAGGAATACATTTAAGAAATGTATTCTTAAATGATGAATTAGGTTATGATATGTTGAATTTGGTTGATGCCTAGACAGAATTAGTCAACAGATGGTTGGATATGTGTTTGGAATTAAGGAGAGAGGTTTGGGTTAAAGATACACATTTGTGAGTTAGCAGTATAGGTAATATTAAATAGTTGGAGTTGTTAGTTGAGATCAATGAATCTCAACCAGAGGTGATTTTGATGTGTAGAAGACATTTAGCAATGACTAAAGACTTTATTTATTTATTTATTTATTTGAGATGGAGTCTCACTCTGTTGCCCAGGCTGGAGTGCAGTGATGTAATCTCGGCTCACTGCAACCTCCGCCTCCTGAGTTTAAGCAATTCTTCTGCCTCAGCCTCCCGAGTAGCTTGGATTACAGGCGCCTGCCACCATGCCCAGCTAATTTTTGTATTTTTAGTAGAGACAGAGTTTCATCATGTTGGCCAGGCTGGTCTTGAACTCCTGACCTCAAGTGATCCGCCTGCCTTGGCCTCCCAAAGTGCCGGGATTACAGGTGTGAGCCACCGTGCCTGGCCAACTGAAGACATTATTGATTGTCAAATCTTGGGGATGCTACTGACATCTTATAGGTGGAGGCCAGAGATGCTGCTAATATCCTCCAATGCACAAGACACTCTCCCACAACAAATTATTATCCAGTCCAAAATGGCAGTTGTGTTCAGGTTGAGAAACCATGATTAGACAACATAACCCAAAAGAGTTTTAGAGGGAGTCAAGTATAGGATTGAGGGTAGAATTTTGGGAAATATTAGCCTAAGGTCATCAGAGAAAGGGTATGAAGAGGTGATCAGAGAAGTAGAAAGAAGACCAGGAAAGAACTGTACCCTAGAAGCCAAGGAAGCAGGGAGTTTTGGGAGGAAGTGGTTAACATTTTTAGCATGGCTAAATAGGATAATAATTGAAAATTACATTTTAGATTTGACAGTATGTTCAAAATTTCAGTTTATGAAACTGTTATGTTGAAGACATCTGAGCACAACTTAACATTGTGCTTCTCGAAGCAACATACTATGTGTGACCCTTAGGAAATCAATCATTTGGGAATCTATTGAGTATCTCTAGCCTAGTACATTGCTATGCTCTAGGGATAAGAAGTGGGTAAGATATAAATTCTATTTCTTTTCTTTCTTTTTTTTTTTTTTTGAGAGGGAGTCTTGCTCTTGTCGCCCAGGCTGGAGTGCAATGGCATGATCTCTGCTCACTGCAACCTCTGCTTCCCAGGCTCTAGTGATTCTCCTGCCTCAGCCTCCTGAGTAGCTGGGACTACAGGGGCATGCCACCACACCTGGCTCACTTTTGTATTTTTAGTAGAGACAGGGTTTCACCATATTGGCCAGGCTGGTCTCAAACTCCTGACTTCAAGTGATCTGCCAGCCTCAGCCTCCCAAAGTGCTGAAATTATAGGCATAAGCCACTGTGCCCGGCTGCTATGTCTGAGGGGTTCATAGTCCAGTGGGGGAGATGAAAAAATGTCAACACATTAAGTACCATAGTAAATAGTAGGGAATGAACAGAAGACCATGGAAACAGAGGAACTTCCAGTCTTTCTATGATGTAGTCCTGTCAACCCTGTACCCCGATAAGGCTTGCAATCAAAGAGCATAAAGAGAAACAAGAGAGTTGGGTATATTTTTAAAAAGGTAATGGAAAGATCATGTTTATCTTTTTAATTTTGATTAAAAAACTGACAGCAAAACTGTGGGCCATATATTCCATCTATTATGAACAAAATATGTGTGGGATATTTTATTTATAAATCACCTTTTATTACCTCCACACCAAAGTAGCCATTTACCTTTATCTTATTTTATTTTATTTTATTTTTTTATTTTGTTTTTTGCTCTGTCACCCAGGCTGGAGTGCAGTGGTGTGATCTCTGCTCACTGCAAACTCTGCCTCCTGGGTTCAAGCGATCCCCCTGCCTCAGCCTCCTTAGTAGTAGTCCCAGCGCCTGGCTAATTTTTGTATTTTTAGTAGAGACGGGTTCACCATGTTGATCAGGCTGGTCTCGAACTCCTGACCTCAGGTGATCCGCCTGCCTTGTCCTCCCAAAGTGCTGGGATTATAGGCATGAGCCACCGCACCTGGCCCACTGTTTAGCTTTAGAATGTGCCTCACAGACATATAATCTCTGTAACCTTCCTCTTTCCTTTTTATCTACTGCTGCTGCTTTGTAATTCCAGGCAGAGATTGGAAATGGCAGTAAGTAACCTAGGGTTGTGGCAATCTGAGAGTTGTTTAGAGAATATGTAAGATGGTCCTAGAGTTGGCTTTTTCTCTTGCCACTTCTTGCCAAAACGAGCTACACCTGTCTAATATCTAATCCCAGGTTTGACTCACAGGTGAGGAGTGAGACTTCTCACCAGTTTGTGTTCTTAAGGTTCCTAATTTAGATTATAAATAGAGCATAACAACATAAAATGTTAGAAATGGAAAGTCCTTTGGAGAGATTAATTCATATATGATTATTACCAGGGTTGAGTGATTTGCTTGTAATCATGTAATAGTTACTGACAGAATTGAAAGCCCAGAAGGGTGTCTTCATGGGAACCACATTTCAGGGACATTGGTTCCCAAACATCATGAAGGGAGTACATCAGAATCATCTACACTGCTTGTTAAATATACAGATTTCCAGGCTTACCGTAGACCCATGGAATAAAAAAAGGTCTGGGAGGAGCTATTGGTAGTTGTTACCTTATTAGTAGATAATTCAGAGTTATGAACAAAGTACTTTAAACTCTATCTAGCACATGGTAAGCACCAGTGCATATTGTTTTCATTAGTATTTTATCAGTATTATTGTACAATCTGAAATGTGGGAGGAAAAAAGGGAATTGAAATGATTTTTTTCCTTTTTAATTTCCCCGCTTTACTTTTTAAAAAAAAACTTTCTCATAAGGGAAACCTTATGAGAAACCAAGAAGTAATTAAAGTTCACAAGAAGGCATGTAGATGTCAAGAGTGTTGTATAATGATTTTTATTTGCTCAGGAAAAATTAGAAAGTGAAAGTGTAGAAATGCAATGCATTTCGGCTTACTCTGCTCATCTTCAGCTTGTACTGAGTATTTCATTATAGCATAATATAGTGCAGTGGTTCTAAGACTTTTTGGTCTCTGGAGTCTTTCATGATGTTAAAAATTATTGGCCGGGCACGGTGGCTCACGCCTGTAATCCCAGCACTTTAGGAGGCCGAGGCGGGCGGATCACGAGGTCAGGAGATCGAGACCACAGTGAAACCTTGTCTCTACTAACAATAGAAAAAATTAGCCAGACGTGGTGGCGGGCACCTGTAGTCCCAGCCACTCAGGAGGCTGAGGCAGGAGAATGGCATGAACCCGGGAGGCAGAGCTTGCAGTGAGCTGAGATCGTGCCACTGCACTCCAGCCTGGGTGACAGAGTGAGACTCTGTCTCAAAAAAAAAAAAAAAAAATTATTGAGGATCCCAAATAGATTTGTTAATGTAGATTATATTTATTTATATTTACCATATTAGAAATTGAAACAGAAATTTAAAAAGTTATTAATTCATTAAAATTAGGCCCATAAACTTGTTAATGTGAATAACATTTTAATGAAAAATAACTATTTTCTGAAAAAACAGTTGAGAAGAGTGGCATTGTTTATGTTTTTGTAAATTATTTTAACATCTTGCTTAATAGAAGACTGCCAGATTCTGTCTACTTTTGCATTTATTCTGTTGTAAGGTGTTGTTTTGGCTGAAGCATATGAAGAAAATCCAGCCCCATACAGACATGTAGTTGTAAAAAAGAAGAATATTTTAATAGCCTTTTAAATAAGTGTGGATTTTCTCCTCTTATACTACACCAAAATTTGGCAAGTGTTGGTTTCTTAAACATGAGTTAGAATGTTTAATTTGAGACCATATCTGTGAAGTTTATTCAGTCTTGTATATTGTAGACTTTGAAGTGGATCTTATAGCCATGCATGATTTTATAACATCATGTATTGCTCATTTAGAAAACATTAGTTCATTGATTTATGCTGGTCTTCTAAGTGTTTACACATTTCATTATATAAAATATATTTTAAAATCACATTTGTTAATACTGTATTATTACTGATCTCATCAGACAATTCTTTAAGTATTGGGAAGCTGCCAAACTCATAGTAGGCAGTTAAAGGTTTTCTAAAAAAGTCTAATTTACTTGAAAGTTTTAATTTTGTCATAGACAACAAGTATTTCCAACTGTGTTCTTTGAAGTCGTAGGTTTATTTTATTTTGTATGCTAAATACCCATGTCTGAATAGCCCTTTTTTTTCTGTTCATCCTTTTGTCTTCCAAGTAAAAATGATGTTCCATGAAAAATGCCTCTAGTTCAGCTTGCAACTCAAACAATTGCATAAGGGCTTTTCTTCGAGGTAGCTATTGTAATTCAGTATGTAGCAGGGATGCTTGCTGTGTACTTCCCATTTTGTCACACAGAATGTTAAACCTGTATACAACATTTGAGATGTGATAAATTGAATAATTTTTACTGTATTACCCAGGACATTCTTCAGTGAAACTGACCTTTAATTTTACTGTGATACATGGTGGTGAAGAATATGATGACTATAAGTACAGTTTGGTGCCACTGCCTTAATTTGTGCTAAGGTGCCAGCAGTTTTACCTACCATTGCTTTTGAACCATCAGTGGAAATGTCAGCCCAGTGAAAAAACAAATACTATATTCCCACCCCCCAAAATAATATCTTTGTAGAATTATAAAAATAGTTTTACCCTCTTGGATCATCTGAAAGATTCTTGGGGATCTCCAGAGAGAAAGGGCCAATAACCAACCATATTTGGAGAATTGCTTGTTTAATGGAAAGTTCTTTAATCAAAAGTCAGAATTCTTGGTTTCTAGGTTAGTAATCCTTGTTATAGATCTCAGGAAATTACTGACTTCATTTTTGTTTCTTCTCCTTTTATTAAAGTGATGTGGAAGTGAGTGCTGTAAAATAGTTTGTGTCTAATGTCAGGAAATACCTTATTAGGCACGGCACATTGTAAAAAAAGTTCTGGAGAGATTTGAACTAGGTCTTTCCTTTTCATTCATTTTATTTATTATAGTGATGTTAAGGTGGCTGGAATTGATAACCTATTTTTGTAAAACTTCTATTTTTACAAAAATGTACCAAGTGATAATTAACTAAGACAGTGGAGTCATGTTGGAATATAGTCTATAAGATACAAAAGTTGTCCTCAAGCTACTTGTAGCCTGATTAATAAACACACAGATATAGCAGTATAATGTATTTTATGCTATCACATAATTGCTTTAAATAATATATAGGAGATCAGAGAATGACAAGACTGACGAATGGGGAGGTAGAGAGTGGCTCCATGAAGATCATAGAATTAAATTAGACCTTTATAAAAATGGAGAAATGATATATGCCGAGGTACAAAGAGAACATGTCATACTTCTCAATTAATCTTTTCCCTTCCCAGACAAATACCTATCCTCAGTTTCCCTCTTCCTGTCATTCTGTGGTTTGTGACATCGTTTTTCTCGTACTTCTTTTCTTTGGACCATTCTAAGGCCCATGATTTGTGCTATTAAGATAGCATGGTGTACTGGAAAGATCTTGGGCTTTGGAGTCAGAGTGACCCAACCTGCAATTCTGAGAGCACATTTCATAGACAGTCTGAAAATTAAGTGAAATAATACATTTAAAGGTGCTCCATAAATGTTAACTGCCTTTCTCTATTATTACAAATAATGAACAGCAACAGAGAATGAGTTAATTAAGATGGTAGCATGCTGTGATGAAATTTATCCATTAGACTGGGAGAGCAAAAGACTTGTGAAAAGAGAGACAATAAGGTATTGTGGTTATCATGGACATTAGAGATGGAGAGAATTGTAGTAAAATCCTGATTGTAACCTGTACTATTACCTTTGTGTTTATTTTGGGCAAGTTGACTTAAACTCTCAAAGCCTTAGTTTATTTATCTAATAAATGGGAATGGTTTTGGGAAGATAGTCAATAGATCCCCCCACATATTTGTTTATTCTTTATTCGAATGTGATTTTGTTCAGTCCTGGGGGATATTGATTAGGCTAGGCTAATCAGTGAATGCCATTAGTTGGTGACCTAGTCTTTGGTGTAAGATGATTATGTGTTCTTGTTGACATTTATAGATCATGAATATCTTGACACACTCTGCCTAGTTCTAGAAGTCCCTCCATATACCTCTTTCAAAGCCTAAAATATTTATCATCTGCCCCTTTATAGAACAGTTTTCCAGTTTCTGTCGTATGCATTTAAGTTACCTGGAATCAGTTTGGTTATTTTGAGGCTTTTGAGCTTCCTTGGGTGGGTCCAGAGCAGCCTTTAGTGTCAAGGGCTAATTTACCCCTTTACTAAGGCAATATCTTTCTAATGACTCTCTACCCAATGCTCCATGTATTGTGAGATCTTTCCCCTTTGACTGATGGGAACATAAACTGTTCTCAGCTGTGTGCAATCTCTGGGAATTATACAGCTTGTATCTCCAGTGATTCTTTCCCCACCATTGGGTAATTTTTCTCATTCATGTGAAAACTCCACAGGACCCCTCTGCAGTTGTGGGGAGTTCTCTCTCTATGTCTCCTTTCTCCCCAGTATTCTGCTCCATAAATTCCAGCTGCCTTGGCTTCCCCTAACTCTCATTTTCTTTTCTCAACTCACCAAGATGAATGGGCTCTGTTTGGATTCTCCCTCCCTGTTTTTCAGCCTGGAAGCTGTCTCCAGGACAATAAACTGGGGCAGTCATAGAGCTCATCTCACTTGTTTTTCTTTTTTCAGGAGTTATAGTCTTCCCTGCTGTAATTCCATGTCTAAAACATAGTTTTTATGTTTTGTCCAGTTTTCTAGTTTTTTACAGGTGTCTGTGTGTGTGTGGGTTGGGGGGCTACTCAGGGGTTAAGTCCCATTTCTGTTGCTCTTTTATGGCCAGGAGCAAAGCTCCATTTATAGCTGTTACTTTTTTTTCCCTCTATGTATTCTCTACACCACTAAAAAGTCAGATGAATCCATCATCTGTATAATCACGTTTGTTTTTATAGCAATTAAGTGCCATAGCCACTTGTATTAGTATGGGTTCTCCAGGGAAATAGAACCAATAATACACACACACACACCCCCACCCCACCCCCCACACACAAAGAGATTTATTATAAGGAATTGGCTCACATAATTATGGAGGCTAAGTCCCAAGATCTACATTCAGCAAGCTGGAGACCCAGAAGGGCTAATGGTGTAGTTCCAGTATGAATCCAAAGGTCTAAGAACCAGTATAGCCAATGATATAAGTTTTAGGTGCTGTAAATTCCAGTCTGAGTCCAAGTCCACGTCCAAAGGCAGAAAACCGACATCCAAGCTCAAAGATAGGCAGAGAGTGAATTCTCCCTTATTCCACCCCCGTTTTTTTTTCTATTCAGGGCTTCAATGGATTGGATGATGCCCACCCACATGAAGGCGGGCAACCTGAATTACTTAGTTTACCAATTCAAATGTTAATCTCATCCAGAAACATCCTCACAGACACACCCAGAATAATATTTAACCAAATTTATGGGTATACGGTGGCCCAAAGTGACATAAAAATTAATCATCATACTCCTCAAACTCTTAGGGTTGCCCTTCATCTAAGTTGTATAATAATGAATCAGTACCTGTGTTCCCATTTCCTCCCAGCATGGAGATAATCCTGGAGTTTCTAGATTAATCTCAATCTCATTTTGACGGTTGTTTCCTGGGGCTACTTTCCAACCAAAACACATAGCATATTCAGAATAATTTGAGAGGGACTATTTACAAGATGTGGGAGAAGTGTAGGGAAACAACAACAGATAGGATAGTAACTGATGAGCAATACTGGAGCAGTTTACTGTCCCTACACCTGAAGAGTTGGGGGGAAGGAGTATCCAAATCTGAGAGAGAGTCTTGTAGAGATGTCTGCCTTCGGAGGAACAATGACACTTGGTGGAGGACCTAGCCAGCCTGGGGCTACCCTACAGAGAGGAAGCCAGGAAATTAAATTCCTTGACCACCCTCTCCTCCTTCTTTCTGATCTCCTGCTTTTGAGGCAGTCTGTATAGAAACCCCTGGGGCGGCAGCGGGCAGAGTGAACTGGAGGGGCAGTTGGAAATATTTGGCAAAGACAGCTAGGTTGGAGTAGCTGCCTGGCCCCTTTCCTTTAGAAACAGGTGTTTCAAGATACACAAAGTTTGAAATGAGAGAAAAAATAGTTTATAGATTATTATTTTCTTGCCTTTCTAATACTCCCAAAGTAGTCTTCCATGTATGTTCTGAAGAACTGATGAAAGCAAGAAGAAATAATGTTAAATTATCCAGAGTTGTTTAAACTCATCAGCAGATGCTGTTATTTTATTGATAAAGCTGGTGATATTAAAAATTAATCAAGTTTGCCCATTGTAGTAATAGGTCAGGATTTAGATACTCCATAATCCACACTGTATTTTAAGAAAAGTATCCATAGGGAAAGAAGAAAATATTCACGTCCATAAAAGTGGTTTATTTAACATTGAAGCATAGTAGTGGCAAATATTTATATGTTAATCTATATTTTACATATTTCTACTTTTAAATTATTAATAGACATGGATGGGTAATTTTAGGTTTAATTCAGACTTTCTGTAAGTCATTTAGAGGAAGCTCAGTGTGAGGCATTCTTTGCTATAAACAGAATGGGTGAACATTTACTGGGTGATATCTGGTAATTAGCAACAAATTTGGAGCATCCAGGAAAGATGCTGCTGCTTTGCATCTTTGGCTGTGTATGCCACTCAGTTTGTGGAAATTCAGTCCTGTTTTTAGGTGCATAGTGCATGGCCTTTGACCTACCTCTCTGCAGCAGTATCTTCAAACCACCTTCACCTCTTGCAACTGGCAGCCGAGGTGGGTTGCATGGTGCAGTGGTGCTGTTACCACACATAACCACAGATTATCACCAAACATATAACGTATTCTAAAAATAAAACACTTTTAAAAAATTTCAGAAACATATTTGAGCATTTTAATAACTGAGTAGAAATTAGTCGTAGTTTTATAACATTTTAGAGCTTGGAGAGATCTTTGCAAGTTTATTTTACTGATGAGATTTAGATACAGTCACATAGCTTATTTAATGATTGAGATTCAGTCACGCGCATTATTAGTGAAGTGCCAACATAAGAACCAGGATCTTCTGATTACCTTCAGTGATTTTATTATGCAAAGCTTTTGCTCGTTGTAGATATTCAGAGTTACAGAATCCACAAATGCATTATAAATAATGGTCTGGCATCAACACTGAGGGAGATTTTGTTGTTCCATGACAGCTCTATTTATTAACTGGTTTTTCCTTATTTTGGTCAAAAACTTGCTTCCTAATAACTTTCACATATTATTCCTAGTCCTGTCCTCATGAGAATCACCTAATTCTTTTTCCTTTGATAACCTCTGAAATATTTGCACACTGTGATGAGCTCAGAAAAACAACTTTAGGTCTTTAGCTTTTTCTTATATAATGCAATTTTCGATATAATTGCCGTTCTGGTTGCCTTTCTAGCCATGGATCACTTTGTCAGTATCCCACCTGCTTAGGGTTCCCAGGTTTGAACGTTGTGTCCAGGCATATTCTGAAGGGATATAGTGAATGCACTTTTAGTCACCCAATATAAAATGGTGGGCAATACAGTAAAAGAAGAAAAGCGACAAAATCAGTTCTTTTTTTTTAATTTAATTTTATTATTATTATACTTTAAGTTTTAGGGTACATGTACACAATGTGCAGGTTAGTTACATATGTATACATGTACCATGTTGAGTTTGCTGCACCCATTAACTCGTCATTTAGCATTAGGTATATCTCCTAATGCTATCCCTCCCCCCACCCCCCACCCCACAACAGTCCCGAGAGTGTGATCTTCCCCTTCCTGTGTCCATGTGTTCTCATTGTTCAATTCCCACCTATGAGTGAGAACATGCGGTGTTTGGTTTTTTGTCCTTGTGATAGTTTACTGAGAATAATGATTTCCAATTTCATCCATGTCCCTACAAAGGACATGAACTCATCATTTTTTATGGCTGCATAGTATTCCATGGTGTACATGTGCCACATTTTCTTAATCCAGTCTATCATTGTTGGACATTTGGGTTGGTTCCAAGTCTTTGCTATTGTGAATAGTGCTGCTATAAACATACGTGTTCATGTGTCTTTATAGCAGCATGATTTATAGTCCTTTGGGTATATACCCAGTAATGGGATGGCTGGGTCAAATGGTATTTCTAGTTCTAGATCCCTGAGGAATCGCCACACTGACTTCCACAATGGTTGAACCAGTTTACAGTCCCACCAACAATGTAAAAGTGTTCCTATTTCTCCACATCCTCTCCAGCACCTGTTGTTTCCTGACTTTTTAATGATTGCCATTCTAACTGGTGTGAGATGGTATCTCATTGTGGTTTTGATTTGCATTTCTCTGATGGCCAGTGATGATGAGCATTTTTTCATGTGTCTTTTGGCTGCATAAATGTCTTCTTTTGAGAAGTGTCTGTTCATATCCTTCGCCCACTTTTTGATGGGGTTGTTTGTTTTTTTCTTGTAAATTTGTTTGAGTTCATTGTAGATTCTGGATATTAGCCCTCTGTCAGATGAGTAGGTTGCGAAAATTTTCTCCCATTTTGTAGGTTGCCTGTTCACTCTGATGGTAGTTTCTTTTGCTGTGCAGAAGCTCTTTAGTTTAATTAGATCCCATTTGTCAATTTTGCCTTTTGTTGCCATTGCTTTTGGTGTTTTAGACATGAAGTCCTTGCCCATGCCTGTGTCCTGAATGGTAATGCCTAGGTTTTCTTCTAGGGTTTTTATGGTTTTAGGTCTAACGTTTAAGTCTTTAATCCATCTTGAATTAATTTTTGTGTAAGGTGTAAGGAGGGGATCCAGTTTCAGCTTTGTACATATGGCTAGCCAGTTTTCCCAGCACCATTTATTAAATAGGGAATCCTTTCCCCATTGCTTATTTTTCTCAGGTTTGTCAAAGATCAGATAGTTGTAGATATGCGACGTTATTTCTGAGGGCTCTGTTCTGTTCCATTGGTCTATATCTCTGTTTTGGTACCAGTACCATGCTGTTTTGGTTACTGTAGCCTTGTAGTATAGTTTGAAGTCAGGTAGTGTGATGCCTCCAGCTTTGTTCTTTTGGCTCAGGATTGACTTGGCGATGTGGGCTCTTTTTTGGTTCCATATGAACTTTAAAGTAGTTTTTTCCAATTCTGTGAAGAAAGTCATTCGTAGCTTGATGGGGATGGCATTGAATCTATAAATTCCCTTGGGCAGTATGGCGATTTTCATGATATTGATTCTTCCTACCCATGAGCATGGAATGTTCTTCCATTTGTTTGTATCCTCTTTTATTTCCTTGAGCAGTGGTTTGTAGTTCTCCTTGAAGAGGTCCTTCACATCCCTTGTAAGTTGGATTCCTAGGTATTTTATTCTCCTTGAAGCAATTGTGAATGGGCGTTCACTCATGATTTGGCTCTCTGTTTGTCTGTTATTGGTGTGTAAGAATGCTTGTGATTTTTGTACATTGATTTTGTATCCTGAGACTTTGCTGAAGTTACTTATCAGCTTAAGGAGATTTTGGGCTGAGACAATGGGGTTTTCTAAATATACAATCATGTCATCTGCAAACAGGGACAATTTGACTTCCTCTTTTCCTAATTGAATACCCTTTATTTCCTTCTCCTGCCTAATTGCCCTGGCCAGAACTTCCAACACTATGTTGAATAGGAGTGGTGAGAGAGGGCATCCCTGTCTTGTGTCCGTTTTCAAAGGGAATGCTTCCAGTTTTTGCCCATTCAGTATGATATTGGCTGTGGGTTTGTCATAGATAGCTCTTATTATTTTGAGATACGTCCCATCAATACCTAATTTATTGAGAGTTTTTAGCATGAAGCGTTGTTGAATTTTGTCAAAGGCCTTTTCTGCATCTATTGAGATAATCATGTGGTTTTTGTCTTTGGTTCTGTTTATATGCTGGATTACATTTATTGATTTGCGTATATTGAACCAGCTTTGCATCGCAGGGATGAAGCCCACTTGATCGTGGTAGATAAGCTTTTTGATGTGCTGCTGGATTGGTTTGCCAGTATTTTATTGAGGATTTTTGCATCAATGTTCATCAAGGATATTGGTCTAAAATTCTCTTTTTTGGTTGTGTCTCTGCCTGGCTTTGGTATCAGGATGATGCTGGCCTCATAAAATGAGTTAGGAAGGATTTCCTCTTTTTCTATTGATTGGAATAGTTTCAGAAGGAATGGTACCAGTTCCTTCTTGTACCTCTGGTAGAATTCGGCTGTGAATCCATCTGGTCCTGGAGTCTTTTTAGTTGGTAAGCTATTGATTATTGCCACAATTTCAGAGCCTGTTATTGGTCTATTCAGAGATTCAACTTCTTCCTGGTTTAGTCTTGGGAGAGTGTATGTGTCGAGGAATTTATCCATTTCTTCTAGATTTTCTAGTTTATTTGCATAGAGTTGTTTGTAGTATTCTCTGATGGTAGTTTGTATTTCTGTGGGATCAGTGGTGATATCCCATTTATCATTTTTTATTGTGTCTATTTGATTCTTCTCTCTTTTTTTCTGTATTAGTCTTGCTGGTGGTCTATCAATTTTGTTGATCCTTTCAGAAACCAGCTCCTGGATTCATTAATTTTTTGAAGGGATTTTGTGTCTCTATTTCCTTCAGTTCTGCTCCGATTTTAGTTATTTCTTGCCTTCTGCTAGCTTTTGAATGTGTTTGCTCTTGCTTTTCTAGTTCTTTTAATTGTGATGTTAGGGTGTCAATTTTGGATCTTTCCTGCTTTCTCTTGTGGGCATTTAGTGCTATAAATTTCCCTCTACATACTGCTTTGAATGTGTCCCAGAGATTCTGGTATGTTGTGTCTTTGTTCTTGTTGGTTTCAAAGAACATCTTTATTTCTACCTTCATTTCGTTATGCACCCAGTAGTCATTCAGGAGCAGGTTGTTCAGTTTCCATGTAGTTGAGTGGTTTTGAGTGAGATTCTTAATCCTGAGTTCTAGTTTGATTGCACTGTGGTCTGAGAGACAGTTTGTTATAATTTCTGTTCTTTTACATTTGCTGAGGAGAGCTTTACTTCCAAGTATGTGGTCAGTGTTGGAATAGGTGTGGTGTGGTGCTGAAAAAAATGTATATTCTGTTGATTTGTGGTGGAGAGTTCTGTAGATGTCTGTTAGGTCCACTTGGTGCAGAGCTGAGTTCAATTCCTGGGTATCTTTGTTAACTTTCTGTCTCATTGATCTGTCTAATGTTGACAGTGGGAAGTTAGAGTCTCCCATTATTATTGTGTGGGAGTCTAAGTCTCTTTGTAGGTCACTCAGGACTTGCTTTATGAATCTGGGTGCTCCTGTATTGGGTGCATATATATTAAGATAGTTAGCTCTTCTTGTTGAATTGATCCCTTTACCATTACGTAATGGCCTTCTTTGTCTCTTTTGATGTTTGTTGGTTTAAAGTCTGTTTTATCAGAGACTAGGATTGCAACGCCTGCCTTTTTTTATTTTCCATTTGCTTGGTAGATCTTCCTCCATCCTTTTATTTTGAGCCTATATGTGTCTCTGCACGTGAGATGGATTTCCTGAATACAGCACACGGATGGGTCTTGACTCTTTATCCAATTTGCCAGTCTGTGTCTTTTAATTGGAGCATTTAGGCCATTTACATTTAAAGTTAATATTGTTATGTGTGAATTTGATCCTGTCATTATGATGTTAGCTGCTTATTTTGCTTGTTAGTTGATGCAATTTCTTCCTAGTCTCGATGGTCTTTACATTTTGGCATGATTTTGCAGCAGCTAGTACCGGTTGTTCCTTTCCATGTTTAGTGCTTCCTTCAGGAGCTCTTTTAGGGCAGGCCTGGTGGTGACAAAATCTCTCAGCATTTGCTTGTCTGTAAAGGATTTTATTTCTCCTTCACTTATGAAGCTTAGTTTGGCTGGATATGAAATTCTGGGTTGAAAATTCTTTTCTTTAAGAATGTTGAATATTGGCCCCCACTCTCTTCTGGCTTGTAGAGTTTCTGCCGAGAGATCCGCTGTTAGTCTGATGGGCTTCCCTTTGTGGGTAACCCGACCTTTCTCTCTGGCTTCCCTTAACATTTTTTCCTTCATTTCAACTTTGGTGAATCTGACAGTTTTGTGTCTTGGAGTTGCTCTTCTCGAGGAGTATCTTTGTGGCGTTCTCTGTATTTCCTGAATGTGAATGTTGGCCTGCCTTGCTAGATTGGGGAAGTTCTCCAGGATAACATCCTGCAGAGTGTTTTCCAACTTGGTTCCATTCTCCCTGTCACTTTCAGGTACACCAATCAGACGTAGATTTGGTGTTTTCACATAGTCCCATATCTCTTGAAGGCTTTGTTCGTTTCTATTCTTTTTTCTCTAAACTTCCCTTCTCGCTTCATTTCATTCATTTCATCTTCCATCACTGATACCCTTTCTTCCAGTTGATCGGATCGGCTCCTGAGGCTTCTGCATTCTTCACGTAGTTCTTGAGCCTTGGCTTTCAGCTCCATCAGCTCCTTTAAGCACTTCTCTCTATTGGTTATTCTAGTTATACATTTGTCTAAATTTTTTTTCAAAGTTTTTCACTTCTTTGCCTTTGGTTTGAGTTTCCTCCCATAGCTCGGAGTAGTTTGGTTGTCTGAAGCCTTCTTCTCTCAGCTCGTCAAAGTCATTCTCCGTCCAGCTTTGTTCCATTGCTGGTGAGGAACTGCATTCCTTTGGAGGAGGAGAGGTGCTCTGGTTTTTAGAGTTTCCAGTTTTTCTGCTCCATTTTTTCCCCATCTTTGTGGTTTTGTCTACTTTTGGTCTTTGATGATGGTGATGTACAGATGGGTTTTTGGTGCGGATGTCCTTTCTGTTAGTTTTCCTTCTAACAGACAGGACCCTCAGCTGCAGGTCTGTTGGAGTTTGCTAGAGGTCCACTCCAGACTCTGTTTGCCTGGATATCAGCAGCGGTGGCTGCAGAACAGCGGATTTCGTGAACCGCAAATGCTGCTGTATGATCGTTCCTCTGGAAGTTTTGTGTCAGAGGAGTACCCGGCTGTGTGAGGTGTCAGTCTGCCCCTACTGGGGGGTGCCTCCCAGTTAGGCTGCTCGGGGGTTAGGGGTCAGGGACCCACTTGAGGAGGCAGTCTGCCCGTTCTTAGATCTCCAGCTGCATCCTGGGAGAACCACTGCTCTCTTCAAAGATATCAGACAGGGACATTTAAGTCTGCAGACGTTACTGCTGTCTTTTTGTTTGTCTGTGCCCTACCCCAGAGATGGAGCCTACAGAGGCAGGCAGGCCTCCTTGAGCTGTGGTGGGCTCCACCCAGTTCGAGCTTCCTGGCTGCTTTGTTTACCTAAGCAAGCCTGGGCAATGGCGGGCGCCCCTCCCCCAGCCTCGCTGCCACCTTGCAGTTTGATCTCAGACTGCTGTGCTAGCAATCAGAGAGACTCCGTGGACATAGGATGGGATTATATCCAGGTGCGGGATATAATCTCCTGATGCGCCGTTTTTTAAGCCCGTTGGAAAAGCGCAGTATTAGGGTGGGAGTGACCCGATTTTCCAGGTGCTGTCTGTCACCCTTTCTTTGACTAGGAAAGGGAACTCCCTGACCCGTTGTGCTTCCTGAGCGAGGCAGTGCCTCGCCCTGCTTCGGCTCCGGCACGGTGCACTGCACCCACTCTCCTGCGCCCACTGTCAGGCACTCCCTAGTGAGATGAACCCGGTACCTCAGATGGAAATGCAGAAATCACCTGTCTTCTGCATCGCTCATGCTGGGAGCTGTAGACCAGAGCTGTTCCTATTCGGCCATCTTGGCTGCCCTCCGACAAAATCAGTTCTTTACACTACTTTACTTCTTTAATCTTATGCTTACCTAACCACCATACTTATGAGACTTAAGAAACGCTTTGGGGCCAGGCTTGGTGGCTCACGCGCCCAGCACTTCGGGAGGCCAAGGTGGGTGGATCACTTGAGGGCAGGAGTTTGAAACCAGCCTGGCCAACATGGCAAAACCCTGTCTCTGCTAAAAATACAAAAATTAGTAAAAATACAAAAATTAGGGCATGGTGGTGAATACCTGTAATCCCAGCTACTCAGGAGGCTGAGGCAGGAGAATAACTTGAACCTGGGAGGTGGAGGTTGCAGTGAGTTAAGATCACACCACTGCACTCCAGCCTGGGCGACAGAGTGAGACTCTGTCTCAAAAAAAAAAAAAAAAAAGAAACACTAATTAGATTAATCATCAAATTCCCTTAATCTTTTCAAAAATTTATTTTAAAATTTTATCTGTTTATTAATTATTTTGTTGATACATAATACGTGTGCATATTTTCAGGGTACATGTGTTAATTTGATACACTCATGTAATGTGTAAAGACCAAATCAGGGTAATGGGGACATCGATCACCTTAAATCCATTTCTTTATGCTAATAAGAACATTAGAATTATTCTCTTCTAGCTATTGTACAATTGATTAATGTTAACTGTAGTCACCCTACTGATCTATTGAATACCAGGTCTTATTTCTTTTTGTTTTTTTGTTTTTCTTTTTGTTTTTGAGACAGAGTCCCACTCTGTCACCAGGCTGGAGTGCAGTGACACGATCTCAGCTCACTGCAACCTCTGCCTCCTGGGTTCAAGTGATTCTTCTGCCTCAGCCTCCCCTGTAGCTGGGACTACAGGTGTGCACCACCACGCCCAGCTAATTTTTGTATTTTTAGTGGAGACAGGGTTTCACCATGTTGGCCAGGATGGTCTTGATCTCTTGACCTTGTGATCCTCCTGCCTCACCCTCCCTAAGTGTTGGAATTACAGGCATGAGCCACCGCGCCTGGCCAATCTTATTTCTTTTATATAACTGTGTATTTATTTGTACTGATTAATGAACCTCTCTTCATCACTCCCTTACCCCCTTTTTTCATCCCTTCTTGGCCTCTGGTAACCACCAGTCTACTACTCTTTATCTTCAACAAATCCATATTTTTTAACTTCCACATATGAGTCTGAACATGTGATATTTGTCTTTCTAGGCCTGGCTTATTTCACTTAATGTAATGACCTCCAGCTTCACTCATGTTATTGAACATGACAGGATTCCATTCTTTTTTATGGCTGATTAATATTCCATTGTGTATATATGCATAATATTTTGTTTATCCATATGCCTATTGAGGAGTACTTAGGTTTATTCCATATTTTAGGTCTTGTGAATGATGCCCTGATAAACGTGGAAGTGCAGTATCTGTTTGATATATTGATTTTCTTTATTTTGGATATATACCCAGCAGTCAAATTGCTGGATCAAATGGTAGTTCTATTTTTAGTTTTTTAAGGAAGCTCCACACTAGTTTCCATAGTGGCTGTGCTAATTTACATTCCTACCAACACTGTAGGAGGGTTTCCCTTTATTTACATCCTCACCTGCATCTGTTACCTCATGTCCTTTTGACAAAAGCCATTTTAACTGGCCGTTTTATACTGTGTTATTGTGGTTTTGATTTGCATTTCTCTGATCATTAGTGATGTTGAACATTTTAAAAATATACTTGTTGGCCTTTGTATGTCTTCTTTTGAGAAACATCTATTCAAATCTTTTGCCTATTTAAAAATCAGGTTATTATTATTTTACTATTGAGTTGTTTGAACTCCTGCTATGTTCTCTTTATTAATCCCTTGTCAGATGGATAGTTTACAAATATTTTCTCTCATTCTGTGGGTGGTCTTTTCTCCTTGTTGATTGTTTCCTTAGCTGTGCAGAAGCTTTTTAGCTTGGTATGATCCCATTCATTTGTTTTTGCCTTGGTTGCCTGTACTTTTGAGTTCTTACATTTAAAGATCTTTGCCCAGACTAACGTTCTGGAGCATTTACTTAATGTTTTCTTCTAGTAGTTTCATAGTTTTAGGTCTTGCACTTAAATATTTAATCCGTTTTAATTTGATTTTTGTACATGGTGAGAAATAGGGGTCTAATTTCATTCTTCCTCATGTGGTTACCTAGTTTTCTGAGCGCTGTTTATTGAGGAGACTGTCCTTTCCACAGTGTATGTTCTTGGGATCTTTGTTGAAAATGAGTTGGCTGTAAAATGAGTGTGGATTTATTTATGTGTTCTCTATTCTGTTCCATTGGTCTATGTCTGTGTTTTTATGCCAGTACTATATTGTTTTGGTTACTGTAACTTTGTAGTATATTTTGAAGTTAGGTAGTGTGATGCATCCATCTTTGTTCTTTGTGCTCAGGGTTGTTTTGGCTATCCTGGGCCTTTTGTGGTTCTGTATACATTTTTGGATTATTATTGCTATTTTTATGAAGAATGTCATTGGTATTTGGTAGGGATTGCATTGAATCTGTAATATTAATTCTTCCAATTCATGAGCATGGAATATCTTCCCTTTGTAAAAATGTCCTCTTCAGTTTCTTTCATCAGTGTTTTATGGTTTTCCTTGAATAGATGTTTTACTTCTTTGGTGAAATTGATTTCTAAGTATTTTATATTCTTTGTAGCTCTTGCAGATGGACTGCTTTCTTGATTTCTTTTTTAGATTGTTTGCTGTTGGTGTATATAAGTGCTACTGGTTTTTATATGTTGATTTTGTGTAGTGCAACTTTACTCAATTCATTTATCTGTCCTAACAGTTTTTTGGTGGAGTTTTTAGGCTTTTCTATGTATAATATCATGTTATCTGTGAGCAAGACTAATTTGATTTCTTCCTTTCCAATTTGTATATGCTTTATCTCTTTCTCTTGCCTCATTGCTCTGGCCAAAACTTCCAGTATTATTGTTGAATACAAGTGGTGAAAGTGGGCATCTTGTCTTGTTCCAGATCTTAGATGAAAGGTTTTCATTTTTTTCTTTGTTCAACGTGATGTTAGCTGTGGGTTATACGGCCTTTATTATTTTGAAGTGTGTTCCTTCCATACCCAGTTTGTTGAGGATTTTTATCATAAAGGGATGTTGAATTTTATTGAATGCTTTTCAGCATGTATTGAAATGATCACATGATATTTCCTCTTAGTTCTGTTGATGTGATGTATTACATGTATTGATTTCCGAATGTTGAACCATTCTTGTATCCCTGGGATGAATCCCACTTATTCATGGTGAATGATATTTTTAATGTGTTGTTGAATTCAGTTCGCTGCTATTTTGTTGAGGATTTTTGCATCTATGTTCATTAGTGTTGTTGGGTCTATAGTTTTCTTTTTGTTGTGTTCTTGTTTTATTTTGGTATCAGGGTAATTCTGGCCTTATAGGATCCGTTTGGAAGTATTCCCTCTTATTTATTTTTTTTGAAGAGTTTGAATAGAATTGGCATTACTTCTTTAAATTTTTGGTAGAATTAAGCAGTGGAACCACCAGGTCCTGGGCTTTTCTTTGGTGGGAGACTCTTTATTATGGCATTGATCTCATTACTTATTGGTTAGTTGAAGTTTTCTGTTTCTCCCTGGTTCAATCTTGATAGGTTGTATGTGTCCAGCAATTTATCCGTTTCTTGTAGGTTTTCCAATTTGTTGGTGTATTGTTGTTTCTTATAATTTTAAATGATTCTTTGTATTTCTGTGGTTTGAGTTGTTATATCTCCTTTATAGTTTCTGATTTTATTTTTTTTGGGTCATCCCTCTTTTTTCTTAGTTAATCTAGCTAAAGATTTGTCAATTTTGCTTGTCTTGTTTAAAAAATCAACTTTTTGTTTCATTGATCTTCTGGGTTTCTTTCAGTATCAATTTCATTTATTTTTGCCCTGATCTTTATTATTTCTTCCCTTCTGTTAATTTTGGGTTGGCTTATTCTTTCTTTTTAGTTTCTTGAGATGCATTGATATGTTGTGTTAAGTTATTTATTTGAAGTCTTTCTTTTTTTAAAATGTAGGTGTTTATTGCTATAGACTTCCATCTTCATACTGTTTTTCCTGTACCGTAGATTTTGGTATGCTGTATTTTCCATTTTCAGTTGTTTCAGGAAATTTTTAAATTTTCTTCTTAATTTCTTCATTGACCCATTGGTCATTCTGGACATGTTGTTTAATTTCCATCTGTTTGTGTATTTTTTTGTGGTGTCTCCTATTAGTAGTTTCTAGTTTTATTCCACTGTAGTCCAGAAAGATACTTGATATGATTTCTACTTTTTTGTATTTGTTGAGACTTGTTTTGTGGCCTAAGATTTGGTATCTTCTGGATAATGTTTTATGTGGCAATAAAGAGAGTGTATGTTCTACAGTTGTTGGGTGAAATGTTCTGTAAATGTCAGTTAAGTGTATTTGGTCTAGTGTGCAGTTTAACTCTGATGTTTGTGAATTTTTTGTCTAGATGATCCATCCTTTACTGAGAGTAGGGTATTGAAATCCCCTACTATTACCATATTGCAGTCTGTCTCTTCCTTTAGATCTATTAATGTTTGCTTTATATGCTTGGGTACTGGGTATTGGATGCATAGATATATATAGTTATTATATCTTCTTGGTAATTGACCCCTTTATTATTATTGAATGACCTTGTTTGTTCTTTTTTGCACAGTATGATTTGTAGTCATCTTACCTGATACAAATATAGCTATTCCTGCTCTTTTTAAAGTTTCCGATTGCATGGAATATCTTCTCCAATCTCCTTACTTTCAGTTTATGTGTGTCTTTATATGTGAGGTGCATTTCTTTTTCTTTTCTTTTTTTTTTTTTTGAGATGGAGTCTCGCTTTGTCGCCCAGGCTGGAGTGCAGTGGCGCAATCTTGGCTCACTGCAAGCTCCGCCTCCCGGGTTCACGCCATTCTCCTGCCTCAGCCTCCCGAGTAACTGGGACTACAGGCGCCCGCCACCACACCCGGCTAATTTTTTGTATTTTTTAGTAGAGGCGGGGTTTCACTGTGTTAGCCAGGATGGTCTCGATCTCCTGACCTCGTGATCCGCCCATCTCAGCCTCCTAAAGTGTTGGGATTACAGGCGTGAGCCACTGCACCCAGCTGTGAGGTGCATTTCTAATAGGCAGCATATAGTTGGGTCTTATTTCTTTGTCTCTTCAGCCACTTTGTCTTTTAATTAGAGATTTGAGTCCATTTACATTCAGTGTTTTCATTGATAAGTAAAGACTTTACTACTGCCATTTTGTTTCTTATTTTTTGGTTGACTTGTAACTCCTCTCTTCCTTTGTTATTGTCTTCTTTTGTGGTTAACCCTGAGTTTTCTCTGGTAGTATGTTTTAATTTGTTGCTTTTTAATATTAGTTTATTTATTATAAGTTTTTGCAATGTGGTTAGTATGAGACTTGCAAAAAAACATAACAAGCTATTTTAGTGAGAGATTACAACCTGGGTCAGATCACAAAGAAATAATAGAAACAAATAAAGAATTTTTTAAAACTTCTATACTTTACACCCCCCCCCCCACATTTTGACTTTTGTTGTGTCATTTTACGTTTTTATTTTACCTGTCTCTTAACAGGTTCTTATAGCTATTACTGTTTTCGATAGATTTCTCTTTTAGACGTCATGCTAAAGTTATGAGTGGACTACATACCATAATTATAGCATTAGATAGAGTATCCTGGAGTTATCTGTGTACTAATCTTACCAGTGGGTTTTATACTTTTAAATGTTTTCTTTTGCACATTAGTGGTTTTTTCTTTCAGATTGAAGAACTCCCTTTAGGATTTCTTGTGTGATGGATCTGGTGGTGGTGAATTCTCTCATTCTTTGTCTGGGAAAGACTATCTTTTCTTCATATTTGAAGGATAGCTTTCCTGGATATACTATTCTTGGATGGCAAGTCCCCTTCCCTTCCCTGCCCTTCCCCCGCTTTTTTTTTGAGACTGAGTCTTGCTCTACTGCCCACGCTAGAGTGCAGTGGCATGATCTTGGCTAACTGCAACCTCCACTTCCCAGATTCAGGCGATTCTTGTACCTCGGCCTCCCAAGTAGCTGGGATTACAGGCACCCGCCCCCACGCCTGGCTAATTTTTGTATTTTTAGCAGAGATGGGGAGTCACCATTTTGGCCAGGCTGGTCTTGAACTCCTGACCTCATGTGATCCACTCAACCTTGGCCTCCCAAAGTGCTGGGATTACAGGCATGAGCCACCACGCTTGGCCATCAGGTTCTTTTTCTTTAATTTTGGCATTTTGAAAATGTTATTCTTTTCCCTTCTGGCCTGTATGGTTTCTGTTGAGAAGTGTGTTGCCAAATGAATTGGAGCTCCTTTATATGTTATTTATCTCTTTTCTCTTGCTGCTTTTAGTATCCTTTCTTTGTCGTTGATCTTTTTGAGTTTGATTATTATATGCCTTAGGGTAGTCTTTTTTGGGTTGAATCTATTTGGTGTTCTCTGATCTTCCTGAACATGGATATTTATATCTTTGTAGCATTTGGAATGTTTAATTTTTTAAAAAAATAAGCTTTGTATCCCTTTCTCTTGCTCAGCTCCCTCTTCAGCACCAACACTTCTCAAATTTGTTTTTTTTTTGAGATAATTTTCTATATCTTGTAGGCAATCTTTGTTCCTTTTCTTTCTTTTTTCTCCTTTGTGTGTTTTCAAATAGTCTTGTTTTTGAGCTTACTGATTCTTTCCTTTGCTTGATCCAGTCTGCTGCTGACTACTTCTAATGAATTTTTCACTTCAGCAAACATATTTCTCAGTTTCAAAATTTCTGCTTGATTTATTTTTAATATTTCAGTCTCTTTGTTAAATTTCTCTGTTAAATTTCTGACTTGTTTTTCTGTGTTATCTTGGAGATCACTGAGTTTCCTTAAAAGTGCTATTTTGAATTCTCGGTCAAAAACTCACATTTAGCCATCTTGTTAGGGCCAGTCATTGGTTCCTTGGCTTGTCCATTTGAGGAGGTCAGTTCCCTGTTTGCTGTTTCTTGTGGATGTACATCTATGTATTTGCAATGAAGGATTAGTTATTTATTCCAGTCTTCCGTCTCTGGCTTGCTTTGGTTTTTATTGGATATGTTTCTTTAGAGTTTGTATTTTTGAATTTCTTTTTTTTCTTGTTAGGTTGCTGCCCCCTTTTTGGCACTAAATGGCACCTTAAGCCCAGGTTTGCCTGAGCTCTAGTATTCAGTATTTGATCAGAGCACTGCCCATCTCAAATGGGGGAGGTCTCAAATGGAATATTCTGGCAATGTTGGAAGGCTGGCTAGGGGTTTGTGCACAGGGGACCTGTGTAACACACCTCCTACAATGTGGTGCTGCTGAACAGTCAGTCTGATTTGGCATTTCCTTTGACAGAGTTACAGATCAGAGTTTCCAGGGCTAGGGATGGTGGTCCCACCTCCCCTCATTGCCTTTGGCTGTCCTCAGGGATATTTCTCCCTTTAGGCGTTCATGATGCTTCCTGTGGGTTGAGGCTGGGACAGATCTTCTGCCAAGGAACCCAAGATGGTGGGGAAACTGATTGTCCACTTTGAACTCACTGTTTTCAGCCGTTTTGGCTATCTAGCTTATTTGTACCCATTGAAAATGTGGACTGTTTTCTTGGCCTTACCACGATATCTGGTCACCTTTTGGAAAAGGCTACTTTTAATTTCTTATGGTTAATAAGGTTGTACATGTAGCCATCCATTAAAGCCAAGTAATAAATAAAGGTGGACACAAAACAATCTGTTTTATAGCCATAAGTTATAGTATACCTAATTGTTGGTTGTCATTTTGTAAAAGTAATAACAATAAGCTAAAAACTGATTTTTCTGTTGTATCTTTTCTGTCAGCAAAATGAATTAGCTTTGTGATATTGAACAAGATGAAAAAGAGAAGAAAAGGAGGCAGAGTCCAATCAGTCAGTAAAAAGATTTAGTGGAATCTGACTATGGTGTACAGAATATCATCAATTCAAACCAGGCAATTAAAAGTTGTATTAAGAGGTTGCTTTAAAAAATTAAAAGTATGTATGATATATTGGGTTGTAAGAAAAGCCATGGACTGGAAAAATCCTAGTACCATAAGAAGGAAATTCACATGCTAGTCAGGTAGAACTCTCCTGGAAGAAGCGCCTAGGTCCTGTGTCTTGATGCACTGACTGATAATCCATATTCCTACACCATATCTTGGTAAGCATACTACCTATGTTTATGATGTAAAGTAAATCCATCAGTACTAACACTTTTAACATTATGTTTGGGAATAAGTTTTATAGTCGTGGTGATATTACATGTGTGTATTTGTGTTAAAGGTGTTTTGAAACCTTTCAGACATATCAGATAATCTGCCCTGTTAGCTTTGTTATTTTAACTTGAAATATTTAATTCAAATTAAACATAGACTATACATTAACTATGATCACATTTGGTTGTGAACGAAGGAAAACCCAATGAAATAGTAGGTTAAACAAGATAGTTTATTACTGTTTCACATGAGTGAGGCAGTCCATTCACTACTGATATGTTAGTTCTATTCTGCAAAGTCCTCAGGATCGAAGTCTTGTTTTTGTTTTGAGACAGTCTCGTGTTTTCGCCAGGCTGGAGCGCAGTGGTGCTATCTTGGCTCACTGCAACCTCCGCCTCCCGGGTTCAAGCAATTCTCTTGCCTCTGCCTCCCCAGTAGCTGGGATTACAGGTGCCCACCACTACACCTGGCTAATTTTTTTTATTTTTAGTAGAGACGGGGTTTCACCATGTTGGACAGGATGGTCTCGATTTCTTGACCTCAAGATCTGCCTGCCTCGGCCTCCCAAAGTGCTGGGATTTACAGGCATGAGCCAATGCTCCTGGCCCCAAGTTTTGTTTTTTTACTTCACTGTTACACAATACTTAGGAGGATTTTAATATGAAAGATGTAAAATAATTTGGTTAAATTTCTAAACAGTGTCAGAACCTTTAAGATAATTGGATTTATTCCACTTATTAGTTTGGCTTATTAAATTTACAAGAGTTGCTTATGTATTTTGGTTGTTAGATTTGCAAGGCTACCCTGTCGCTCATTTGAAAGGTTTGAGAAAATCAGATTTATTTGATTTGTAAATTTAGTTTTAAATGTTTTAGGCAACTTAATTTCACTGGTTTATAATTGAAGATAATTGTTTAGGGGAATTTAATCTGTAATGATTGAACATGAAGATAAAATGTGAAAGTAATTGTTTATATTTTTCTAGTAAAATTATAAATGATATACGCAACAAGATTTGTGAAATGAACTTTTAAGTTTTGCACTTTTAGAGTTTTGAAATTTTAACTTTTAAGGTTTGCAAAAAGTTTAAAAACATACAACTTTAAATATGTGATACAAGTAACCATTTTTGTATAATAAAGTCTCACCTAAGTTGACATTTCAGAAATTAAAAATATGAGGAGATAAGGTATTATGCACATGCTGTTGAGACTGCTGAAGTTATTTTTTAAAAATGTTAAGTATACATTTTATGTTGTCAAGAAGGAGCAAATACTCTTTTTAATATTTGCATAGTATCTTCCATTAGACTTTAACACCCTTAGCTCTTTGCCTTTAGGAGATTCAAATTAAAAATTCACTTTTTTTTTGTTTTGAGACGGAGTTTCACTCTTGTTGCCCAGGCTGGATTGCAATGGCGCAATCTCCGCTCACTGCAACCTCCGCCTCTCAGGTTCAAGTGATTCTCCTGCCTCAGCCTCCTGAGTAGCTGGGATTACAGACATGTGCCACCATGCCCGGCTAATTTTGTATTTTTAGTAGAGATGGGGTTTTGCCATGCTGGTCAGGCTGGTCACAAACTCCCGACCTCAGGTGATCTGCCTGCCTCAGCCTCCCAAGATTCACTTTTTCAGGGATAATCATGTTGTCAAAAATATTAGCCATGTATACAGAGAAAGTTGATAAGACATGAATTAGTTTGTATTGATATAAGTTCAAGTAATTGCATATGTGTGTAAAGATAGAGCCTAACTAAATAAGCTTCTTTTGGGAATGGCTTTCTTTCTTTTTTTTTTTTTTTTTTTTGAGACGGAGTCTTGCTGTGTCACCCAGGCTGCAGTGCAGTGGCACAGTCTCAGCTCACTGCAAGCTCCGCCTCCCAGGTTCACACCATTCTCCTGCCTCAGCCTCCGAGGTAGCTGGGACTACAGGCGCCCGCCACCACACCCGGCTAATTTTTTGTATTTTTAGTAGAGACAGGGTTTCACAGTGTTAGCCAGGATGGTCTCAATCTCCTGACCTCATGATCCACCCATGTCGGCCTCCCAAAGTGTTGGGATTACAGGCGTTAGTCACCGCACCTGGCCCCAGGAATGGCTTTCATTGAAAAAATACTGTCTCCATACTTAATGTCTATTAGCTACTTCTTTGAAGGAGAAATGTAATTAAAATGCCTGTGTTTAAAAGCGGCTTTAAATTATTAACACTGTCTTAGTCCATTTAAGTTGCTATAGAAGAATTCCTGAGGCTGGGTAATATATAAAGAAAAAAGGTGTATTTGGCTCATGATTTTTCTGGCTGGAAGATTGGGCATCTAGTGAAAGCCTTAGGCTGCTTCTACTCATGGTAAAGGAAGGGAAACTAGTATATGCAGAGATCACAACGTGAGGGTGGAATCAAGGAGGGCAGCAAGGTGCCAGGCTCTTTTTTAACAACCAGCACACATAGGAACTAATAGAGATAGAGCTTACTCATTACCATGAGGATAGCACCAAGCCATTCATGAGGGATCTGTCGCACAACCCAGACACCTCTCATTAATCCCTGCCTCTAATGATGGAGATCACATTTCAACATGAGATTTGGAGAGGCCAGTATCTAAACTATAGCAGATACTGTTCCACGTCTTTGGATTTTTTTTTGTTTTTTGAGACAGAGTCTTGCTATGTTGCCCATGCTGGAGTGCAGTGGCAGGATCTCAGCTCACTGCAACCTCTGCCGCCTGGGTTCAAGCAATTCTTGTGCCTCAGCCAACTGAGTAGCTGGGATTAAGGCTGGTCTCAAATTCCTGGCCTCTAGTGATCCACACTTCTTGGCCTCCCAAGGTGCTGGCATTACAGGAGTGAGCCACCACACCCTGCCCAGATCTTTGGATATTTTTTGAAATGTGAAATTACTTCTCAAATTTTATCTTAGGTTTTTTAGCATGAATCACATTTTTTTTAAGGATGGGTTATCTCAGGTATTGTGTAATACACATTTAAAGTTTCTTTCTTTTGTAACCTATGGAATGGTAGATGGTATTTTTAAACCACACATCTGATAAAGGGTTAATATCCAAAATATTTAAGAAACTTAATAGCAAGAAAACAAATAACTGTATTGAAAAATGTGTGGCCGGGCGTGGTGGCTCACGCCTGTAATCCCAGCACTTTTGGAGGCTGAGGCAGGTGGATCACAAGGTCAGGAGATCGAGACAATCCTGGCTAACATGGTGAAACCCCATCTCTACTAAAAATACAAAAAAATTAGCCAGGTGTGGTGGTGGGTGCCTATAGTCCCAGCTACTCAGGAGGCTGAGGTAGGAGAATGGCATGAACCTGGGAGGCAGAGCTTACAGTGAGCTGAGATAGTGCCACTGCACTCCAGCCTGGGCAACAGAGCGAGACTCTGTCTCAAAAAAAAAAAAAAAGAAAAAAAGAAAAATCTGCAAAGGATCTGAATAGACATTTCTCAAAAGAAGACATGCAAATGACCCATAGGTGCATGAAAAAATGCTCAACATCACTAAGTGTCCATCAATGAATGAATGGATAAAGAAAATGTGGTTGAATGAATGGATAAAGAAAATGTGATATATATACAGAATATATCATATATATACTACTCAGCCTCATAAAAGAAAGAAATTCTGTCATTTGCAACTATATGAGTAAAGCTGGAAGACATTAAGCTTAATGAAATAGCCAGGCATAGAAAGACAAATATCATGTGATCTCACTTATGTGCGGAATCTAAAAAAAGTGGAACTCAGAGAATTAGAGAGTTGAATGGTGGTTACCAGGGGTTCCAAATGGGAGAATGGGGAGATATTGGCCAAAGGACACAAAGTTTCAGTTAGGTAGGAGAAATAAGTTGAGGAGAGCCATTGTACAGCGTGGGGACTGTAGTTAAAATACTAATGCATTGTGCACTTGAAAATTGCTAAGAGAGTACATTTTAAGTGTTCTCACCACAAAAAATTGACAAGCTTATATTAATAAGCTTGATTGAATCACTCCATAGTATATACATATATGAGAACATTGCTTTGTATACCATAAATATATATAAATTTTGTCAATTAAAAATGATTAAAAAATAAAGTTGCTTTTTCTTTAAATGATGGCATTTATATAAAGTAATAACATTTCTAATATGTGTGCCCTGATTTTAAAGACATCAATATATAAAAACCAAAATTTATAAAACCATCAAGTTTGTGAGTTGCGTTTTTAAATTATGGAGAGGTTTTCCTTTGTACCAAAGACCCTGTGACAAGGCCAAATCCTATAATTTCCTTCATAGCACTAGTTTTGGTTACAAATTTACATTTATCTAGTGATTGTGTATCGGGGGAACTCACCCCCCATATTTTAACATAGGTTCTTTCTATTTTCCCTACGTGTCAGCCGGTCTGAGAAATAAAGAGAAAGAGTAAAAAAAGAGGAATTTTACAGCTGGGCCTCTGGGGGTGACATCACGTATCAGTAGGACTGTGATGCCCACCTGAGCCGCAAAACCAGCAGGTTTTTATCAAGGACTTCAAAAGGGAAGGGGGTGTACGAACGGGAAGTGGGTCACAAAGATTACATACTTCAAAGGGCAAAAAGAGAACAAAGATCACATGCTTCTGAGGAAACAGGGCAAGGACAAAAGCAAAGATCACAAGGCAAAGGGCAAAATTAGAATTACTGATGAGGTTCTATGGTCAGCTGTGCACGTATTGTCTTGATAAACATCTTAAACAACAGAAAACAGGCTTTGAGAGCAGAGAACTGTTCTGACCTTAAATTCACCAGGGTGGGGTTTTTCCCCACTCTAGTGAGCCTGAGAGTACTGCAGGAGACCAGGGCGTACTTTGGTCCTTATCTCAACTGCATAAGACAGACACTCCCAGAGCAGCCGTTTATAGACCTCCCCCGAGGAATGCAATTCTTTTCCTAGGGTCTTAATATTATATTCCTTGCTAGGAAAAGAATTTAGCGATATCTCTCCTACTTGCAGGTCTGTTTATAGGCTGTCTGCAAGAAGAAAAATATGGCTGTATTCTGCCCGACCCCGCAGGCAGTCAGACCTTATGGTTGTCTTTCCTTGTTCCCTGAAAATCGCTGTTATTCTGTTCTTTTTCAAGATGCACTGATTTCGTATTGTTCAAACGCACATGTTTTACAGTCAATTTGTACAATAGTGGTCCTGAGGTGACGTACATCCTCAGCTTATGAAGATAACAGGATTAAGAGATTAAAGTAAGACAGGCATAAGAAATTATAAGAGCATTATTTGGGAACTGATAAATGTCCAGGAAATCTTCACAATTTATGTTCAGAGGCTGAAGTAAAGACAGGCATAAGATATTATAAGAGTATTATTAGGGAAGTGATAAATGTCCATGAAATCTTCACAATTTGTGTTCCTCTGCTGCGGCTCCAGCTGGTTCCTCTGTTCAGGGTCCCTGACTTCCCACAACAATTGTGTGGTTAGTATCTGTCTCTCCTATTGACTTTGTATTTCATGGGGGAAGATATTATGTCTGTTTTTCTTTGCTACTATAGCACTAACACCAAACTTCATACTTGGTACATACAGGTATATCTCAGAGATGTTGCAGGTCTTGTTCCAGACCACCACAATAAAGCAAGTGTCTCAATAAAGTAAGCAACATGAATTTTTTGGTTTCCCATTGCATATAAAAGTTATGTTTACACTATACTGTAGTCCATGAAGTGTGAAATAGCATTATGTCTAAAAATATGTATGTACCTTAATTAAAAATATTTTATTACTTAAAAATGCTAATGATCATTAGCCTTCAGTGAATGGTAATCTTTTTGCCTTTGGATGGTGTTGCCTGCATGTGAATTGCTGCTGACTGATCAGGGTGGTAGTTGCTGAATGTTGGGTTGGGTATGGCAATTAACTTTTTTTTTTCTTTTTTTTTTTTTTGAGACAGAGTCTCGCTCTGTTGCCCAGGCTGGAGTGCAGTGGCATGATCTCAGCTCACTGCAAGCTCCGCCTCCTGGGTTCATGCCATTCTCCTGCCTCAGCCTCCAGAGTAGCTGGGACTGCAGGCACCCGCCACCACACCTGGCTAATTTTTTCTATTTTTTAGTAGACATGGGGTTTCACAGTGTTAGCCAGGATGGTCTCAATCTCCTGACCTCATGATCTACCCACCTCGGCCTCCCAAAGTGCTGGGATTACAGGTGTGAGCCACTGTGCCTGCCCCGGCTATGGCAATTTCTTCAGACAAAAATGATGTTTGTCACATTGATTGACTCTTCTTTTCATGAATGATTTGTCTATAGCATGTAATGCTGTTTGATAGCAGTTACCCACAGTAGAACTTCTTTCAAAATTGGAGTCAATTCTCTCAAGCCCTGTCACTGCTTTATCAATTAAGTTTATATAACATTCTAAACTTTTTGTTGTCATTTCAACAAAGTTCACAGCATCTTCACAGAGTAGATTCCATCTCAAGAAAGTACTTTCTTTGCTTATCATAAAAAGCAACTCCTTATCTGTTTGTTTTACCATGAGATTGCAGCAATTAAGTCCCATCTTCAGGCTCCATTTCTAATTCTAGTCTCAGTGTCATCCATGAGGGTTGGAATCAACTTCTTCCTAACTCCTGTTCATTTTGATACTTTGATCCCCTCCAATGAATCATGAATGTTCTTAATGACATCTAGAATAATGAATCCTTTCCAGGAGATTTTCAATTGATAGATCCGTTAGAGGAATTACTATCTATGGCAGCTTTAGCCTTATGAAGTGTATTTCTGTAATAATAAGACTTGAAAGTCAAAATTACTTCTTGATCCACAGGCTGCAGAATGGATGTTTTGTTAGCAGGCATGAAGACAACATTCATCTGATTGCACATCTCCATCAGAGCTCTTGGGTGTCCAGGTGCATTGTCAATGAGCAGTAATATTTTGAAAGGAATTGGCCGGGCATGGTGGCTCACACCTGTAATCCTAGCACTTTGGGAGGCTGATGCGGGTGGATTGCCTGAGTTCAGGAGTTTGAGACCAGCCTGGGCAACATGGCAAAACCCCGTCTCTACTGAAAATACAAAAATTAGCAAGGCATGGCAGAGAGCATCTGTAGTCTCAGCTACTTTGGGTGCTGAGGCAGGAGGATCACTTGAACCCAGGAGGTTGAGGCTGCAGTGAGCCGAGATGGTACCACTGCACTCTAGCCTGGGTGACAAAAAGGTTTCAACAGTGGGCTTAAAATATTAGTAAGCCATGCTGTGCTGTCAGCCAGGCTTTATTTTTCCATTTATAGAGCACAGGCAGAGTAGATTTAGCATAATTTTTGAGAGCCCTTGTATTTTCAAAATGGTCAGTGAATATTGGATTCAACTTAAAGTTACCAGCTGCATTAGCCCCTATTAAGAGAGTAAACCTATTATTTGAAGCCAAGCATTAACTTTTTTCCCCTAGCTGTGAAAGTCCTGGTATCTTCTTCCATTTCATCTACATTGAAGATCTGTTGTTTAGCTACTTCCTTCCATTATCTTAGCTAGATCTTCTGGATAACTTGCTACACCTTCTACATCAGCACTTGCTTCTTCACCTTGTACTTTTATGTTATAGAGATGGCTTTTTTTTTCTTAAACCTCATGAACCAATATCTGCTACCTTCCAACTTTTCTTCTGTATCTTCCTCACCTCTCTCAGCTTTAATAGAATTGAAGAGAGTTAGGGCCATATTCTAGATTACATTCTGGGTTAAGAGAATGTTGTGGCTGGTTTGATCTTCTATCCAGACCAATAAAGCTTTCTCTGTCTCAGTGATAGGGCTGTTTTGCTTTCTTTTTATTTATGTGTTCATGGGAGTAGCACTTTTAGTTTCTTACAAGAACTTTTCCTTTGCATTCACAACTTGGCTGTTTGGTTCAAGAGGCCTAGCTCTTGGCCTATCTTGGTTTTTGACACAATTTCCTTACCAAGCATAATCATGTGTATCTTTTCATTTAAAGTGAGAAACATATAACTTTTTATTTCACTTAAACACTTAGAAGCCATGATAGCATTATTAATTGGCCTGATTTCAATATTGTTGTCTGAAGGAATAGGGAGGCCTGAGGAGAGAGAGAGAGAGATAGGGGGATGGGCTGGTCAGTCGAGCAGTCAGAACACACACACAACATATATTGAATAGGTTTGCATCTTATGTGGGTGCAGTTCATGGTGCCCCACAACAATTACAGTAGTAACATCAAATATCACCATGATAGACATACTAATAATAAAAAAGTGTGAAATATTGTCAGAATTGCCAAAATGTGACATATAGAAATGAAGTGAGCACATGCTATTGGAAAAATGGCACCAATAGACTTGCTCAATGTAGGGTTGCACAAACCTTTGATTTGTAAAAAATGCAGTAACTGCAAAGTACAATAAGGCAAAGCAAAATAAAACAAAAGTATGCCTGTAGAAGGCACTCAATAAATATGTTGAATGAGTGAGTGAGGAGAAAGAATTGTCTTATGTAGTAAGCCTTTAAAATCAAATTCCTTTTTAAAGAAATGTAATTTTTATGCAGTCTTTTTTAGCGGTACAGCTATTATATAAATTGATAATTGCCTAAATATTAAATGGCACAGAATGAAATCTTTAATGTAGTCACTGTTCTAGAAATACTTCAAATGTAGCCAGTAACCAAAATCACCAGACCCCCAACATCCAAAGTTTTATTACCTGTGTGGGCAGCCTCCAATTTAATGTGGTATGGCAGTCATTGATGACTGTGCTTTTTATTACTTCTTTACTATGATTTCTTATCTATATACTCTGATATATGGGCCATTCATATAAGCTTTCAAATCTCTAGTGTAACTAAATGGGTAATATAGTAAGGCTTTTATTATCTAAACAATGTTTATTGAAAAGAGTTTGCCTCTAAGTATTTGTAAGTATATTATCTTTCAAAACAAATTCGGTTTATATAAGTCTTATAGCCACAATGTTATAAAGGCCACACCGAAGCCAGTGTCTTGTCTTTGGCTGTACCTCTATTTATTTTCTATTTTTGTCCTTCATTGGGTCTTTTTATGCAGGCAGTCATAATTTGGTCTTTTTAAAATGTTTAATACAGGTTAAAGCCTTAAACAGGTTTTTTCTTGCTTCATAATATACACATGAACAGGCATTTTGGTCACTATAACAAGTGTAATTTTGTGTTTAGCCCTTGTTATAGATATCTTTTTCTTATCTCAGTATGTCATTCATATTTTTCTAACTTGCTGCTCAACACTCTTCTTTTTTACTACTCATGGGTATGTATTGCTAGTGAGTTTTAAATTCCAGCTCTTGAATTCCTTGTACTTGTAGCTTACTATTGCTACTTAAAAATGCTACTTCAAAAACTTGAGAATTTGCTACTTCAAAAACTTGAGAATTTTAGAAGTCAGAACTAATAGAAGAAAAAGAGTCTTATACATCATATGAATTTGATAAGGCTGGAAATGTCCCCTATAAACAGAAAGATTGAGAATAACAGAAATCTACCTAAAAGATATGTCAGAACAAACAAAAAAATTCAACTACTGTTTAAAAGATGATTCATATTAATTACAGAGTAACTTGATATATCAGAACACTGTTAAATCATTCCAGGGAAATTGTCTGGGCATCTTCAAGCAATAGAAAGAAACCTGTTTTCATATTAGCTAACCTTTCAACTGTGTGTTATCTATTAATCTCATGTATGTTGGAGTAACTGTAAACCTCCTGCTTCTTGGATATGTATGTGAAAAGAATATGGCACTTAATGAAGAAACAGGCCTTAACTGAAATACTTAATGTTTCTGTTGCTAGCTTTTTAACTTTGGGCAGGTTAGTTTAATATTCTGATCTTCGGCTATTCCATATGCAGTATGTCATATAAAGACTTCATTTGCCATATGAAGACAGTTTGCCCAAGGTCACAGATAGTGACTAATTTATGATAATAAATAATATTTCACTGCACTAAAAATGGCTGATGATCAAATATAGGTTATGGAAGTTTTCTTTAATAGCTTTTTTTTTTTTTGAAAGGGAGTCTCACTCTGTCACCCAGGCTGGAGTGCAGTGACGTGATTTCAGCTCACTGCAGCCTCCACCTTCTGGGTTCAAGTGATTCTCCCACCTCAGCCTCCTGAGTAGCTGGGACTTCAGGCACGCGCTACCATGCCGGCTAATCTTTGTATTTTTAGTAGGGACGGGGTTTCACCATGTTGGCCAGGATGGTCTTAAACTCCTGACCTCAAGTGATCCACCTGCCTCGGCCTCCCAAAGTGCTGGGATTACAGGTGTGCGCCACTGTGCCTCCTTTAATAGCTATTTACTGTGGACTCTTTAGCTGTTTACAGAATTGTTTTGGACATTATATGAACATGTTTATGAGCACTTACTTTACTAATCAAGGGGAATATAGTATTTAGATGGTGAGGCAGGATAAAGGCATAAAAAGATAAATAATCATAGAGGATAACATTTATTAAGTGTCAGATGCTAAAGGAGATTAGAAGAGGGAATAGTTATGGAGAGCTGTTTTGGAGGCTGCCATGGAAGAAAGGGATTACATAAGCTGAGAGAAGGCTGAGGATAACCTTGACTTTCCCCAACTGTAAAATGGAGATATTACTTGCCCCATAAGGCTGTTGTAAGGATTCAGTGAAATAAAATATCTAAAGTGTCTAAAATAAATGTAGTGCTTTGTGACTATGTGATGTAACTGCTACTACTGGTTTTTGTTTTTTGGACTGAATATAAGTGGTTCTTTCTGTCATCTTTAAAATTTTTCTCTCCCAGATGCCTGACAACTTGGAGATGACATATAGTTTTCATCTTAAATACCAACTGACTACCTGGGACATAATGTTGAAAAGATTCTCAGACTCTACCTGGTTTTAGTAGGGAAGAATGCTATGATCAATTACTGGTGACAAGGCACATATAAAATAGGCTGGAGGCAGGAAATGGTTGTGTATGGGTTGCTGGAGTAACAGTATGTAAACTGTGTTTATTATCTTTACTTTAAGTCCTAGTATGTCTTATTTGTTTCTAGCCTTCCTTTTACTACATCCTGTAAAACTTTCTAATATAAGATGGCAAGTTTTAGAAGTGAGATACCAAGTTTATATCTGTACTCAGTGAATTAGCCCCGGAGTAGAAAAGAATCTGATGTATCACCCCTGCTCCAAAATATCCCTTATGCATTCTTTCCCATTTATATTCTAGTGAGCTAATAGTTTCTGTTTAAAAAATACTTAGATTTTCTGAAAAGCTGAAGTTCTCAATGTGATCTACTTGAGCCAGATGATTTTCCTAATGCAGTCTGTCCACATGAGAAAATGAGAGTTTTGATTGTGGAAAGGATGAATTGGAAAAGAGGGGCATTTTTTTAAAACTGAAAAATAGATTGGATTAAAGGAAAGATATGCCTGAATGGCTTTCAGCTTTTAGATGGTAGGATGCCTGAGATGGGCATAGTAGGGTTCCAAGATGGTACAAAAGAGAAAAGTATGCTGAAGATAAATGGAATTTTAATATTAAGAGTAATAGAAGCCATAACATTACAAAAACATGATTTTCTTCATAGTCTTATTTTCTGCTCCTTTCTCAAATTTTCTGCTTCCTCCCTCATTTCCACTTTTAGATACAGCATTATTTTATTGCCTTTTGGTTGTCCAGGTTGATGGCTCAAGTTTTGAGTTTTGACCCATTCCACTTTCTAGTCTTTACTTACCTTCTCTCTTTAAACCCCTCTTCTTTTCTTCTAGGTAAATAGGTAGAGCATTGTAAACCTCTCGTGGTACTAGTATTTTCTGGTGGAACCACTTTGTCTCACACAGCCACCTAAAGTTCTTCTGAGAGAACAATTATGCATGTGACTCCTTTTCTTGCGTCTGATTTCTCATTAGAAAGGACCTTGGTTTCAGAAAGGAAGGACTAGAGAAGTAGCTGGTGAGAAGTGAAATTGTAAAATTTGTACTGGATGCCCTTTCCTTTCTGAACATTCTTGTATCTTTGCATGTCTTTTCTTCAAGATACGAATACAGGTTTATTTTTTATAAAACTTTAAAAATAAATATTTTTTCTTTTACTTTACCCTGTGTTTGAATATTATTTAAAATTTATAAAATGAGGTTGTATATTCTTGATTATACTCTCTGTCCCCATTTTAAGAAATGGATTTAATGCTTCTAGTTAAATGATTTCAAGTGATAATGTTGTTTTAGACATATATTCCTGAACCATGGTGTTCAGCTACATTTCAAACTCTTTATTTTTGGAGCCAGGGAACAGAGTAGAAAGTACAAAGGTTTCTAAGGCTTATTGCTAATACCAAGTACATGGTGACATCTACTACATAGTTGATTCACGAACAATGGAATTCCTATAAAAAGAAGATCTGATTCTAGATCAGAGTTATCCCTGGAACATGTAAAGATGTCAACTTTAATAGGAAGATGTAAAGCAGCTGTTCTTGTGCCTATTTCCTTTTTACCTAGCTCTTTAGTTTGATGTGGTCACAGTGGCATTTATTCTAGTTTAACAATTAATTTATAATATAAAAGCAGTCCCTAGATTTGTTTGAAACCAACTGGTTACATACAAAAGATTAATTAAATTCACACCTATTAGAAAAGATAGAACTTTGTTGTAATAGAGTGAGAAGGATGCAGCATTGTGGCAACTGAAATAGTTTGACTTACAGTAAGAATCTTTTATGCTTCAGTGCATGAGCTCTCATGAAAATATGAGGAGGTAGGAAATAATGATCTGTATCATGATAAGTTCAGCTAATAATGGCCTCTTCAAAAAGCTATTATTCACAGGGCAGTGGATTCCAAAGTTTCTTTGTTAACTTTCACTTGTTAGTACGTTGTAAGTTTTTCTATTAAGTTTATGTGGAGGAGTTGCTGTACACATTTTTAAAAAATAAAATTCTAAGGCAAAGAAACTTATTTGTACCTGTAATCATGAGTTGTTGTGTAGAGTCTTTCTTAATTAACTAAAAAATATGGCTTCAGACTATGCCAACATTTCATTTCTGGTAATTTTTTGTTTTTCTCCGAGACGGAGTCTCGCACTGTCACCCAGGCTGGAGTGCAGTGGTGTGATCTTGGCTCACGGCAACCTCTGCCTCCTGGGTTCACACCACTCTCCTGCCTCACCTCCCGAGTAGCTGGGACTATAGGCGCTCACCACCACACCCAGCTAATTTTTTGTATTTTTAGTAGAGACGGGGTTTCACCATGTTGGCCAGGATGGTCTCAATCTCCTGACCTCGTGATCCACCTGCCTTGGCCTCTCAAAGTGCTGGGATTACAGGCGTGAGCCACTGCACCTGGCCCATTTCTGGTAATTTTTATAATTAAAGCAAAATGCTTTTAGGCAATTTTAATTTTGTTTACTGATACATAAGAAAAGATAACTATTTTAGTTGCCTCAATGCTGCATCCTTCTCACTTTATTACAACAAAGTTCTATCTTTTCTAATATCTTTGCTTATGACATTCTTTTTAATGTATATGCTATACATTTTTATTTCAATGTGCTTTTTTCTTTGTTAAATTTTCCGTATCATCCTTCTGCAGGGGCCATGCTAATCTTCTGTATCATTCCAATTTCAGTTTAGGTGCTGCCAAAGTGAGTACCTGTTAAATTTTAAAGAAACACATTTAACATGGTGATGAATCTGCTCACATTTCTGAGCTTTCAATTTATAATTTATCATATATTAACTATAGGAATTAAAATATGCATTAAAATTATTAATTTTTAATATTTATATTTATTTTATTTTATTTTACTTTATTTTATTTTATTATACTTTAAGTTCTGAGATACACGTGCAGAATGTGCAGATTTGTTACATACATATACAAGTGCCATGGCGGTTTGCTGCATCTGTCAACGTGTCATCTAGGCTTTTAAGCCCCACATGCTTTAGGTTATCTATCCTAATGTTATCCCTTCCCTCTGCCCCCCACCCACCGACAGGCCCTGGTATGTGATGTTTCCCTCCCTGTGTCCATCTGTTCTCATTGTTCAACTACCACTTATGATTGAGAACATGCGGTGTTTGGTGTTTTTGTTCCTGTGTTAGTTTGCTGAGAATGATGGTTTCCAGCTTTATCCATGTCCCTACAAAGGACATGAACTCATCCTTTTTATGGCTGCATAGTATTCTGTGGTGTATATTCTTTATCCAGTCCATCATTGATGGGCATTTGGGTTGGTTCCAAGTCTTTGCTATTGTCAATAGTGCTGCAATAAATATCCATGTGCATGTGTCTTTATAGTAGAATGATTTATAATCCTTTGGGTATATACCCAGTAATGGGATTGCTGGATCAAATGGTACACCAACAGTGTAAAAACATTTCTATGTCTCCACATCCTCTTCAGCATCTGCTGTTTCCTGACTTTTTAATGATCGCCATTCTAACTCACATGAGATGCTATCTCATTGTGGTTTTGATTTGCATTTCTTTAATGACCAGTGATGATGAGCATTTTTTCATATATTTGTTGGCTACATAAATATCTTCTTTTGAGAAGTGTCTGTTCATATCCTTCACCCACTTTTTGATGGGGTTGTTTTTTTCTTGTAAATTTGTTTAAGTTCCTTGTACATTCTGTTTATTAGACCTTTGTCAGATGGATAGATTGCAAAAATTTTCTACCATTCTGTAGGTTGCCTGTTCACTCTGATGATAGTTTTCTTTTGCTGTGTAGAAGCTCTTTAGTTTAATTAGATCCCATTTGTCAATTTTGGCTTTGGTTGCCATTGCTTTTGGTGTTTTAGTCATGAAGTCTTTGCCCATGCCTATGTCCTGAATGGTATTGCCTAGGTTTTTTCTAGGGCTTTTATGGTTTTAGGTCTTATATTTAAGTCTTCAATCCATCTTGAGTTAATTTTTGTATAAGGTGTAAGGAAGGGGTCTAGTTTCAGTTTTATGCATATGGCTAGCCAGTTTTCCCAACACTGTTTATTAAATAGGGAATCCTTTTCCTATTGCCTGTTTGTGTCAGGTTTGTCAAGGGTCAGATGGTCGTAGATGTGTGGTGTTATTTCTCAGGCCTCTGTTCTGTTCCATTGGTCCATATATCTGTTTTGGTACCAGTATCGTGCTGTTTTGGTTACTGTAGCCTTGTAGTATAGTTTGAAGTCAGGTAGCATGATGCCTCCAGCTTTGTTCTTTTTGCTTAGGATTGTCTTGGCTATGCAGGCTCTTTTTTTGTTCCATATGAAATATAAAGTAGTTTTTTCTAATTCTATGAAGAAAGTCAATGGTAGCTTGATGGGAATAGCATTCAATCTATAAATTACTTTGGGCAGTATGGCCATTTTCACAATATTGAATGTTCCTATCCATGAACACAGAATATTTTTCCATTTGTTTGTGTCCTCTCATTTCCTTGAACAGTGGTTTGTAGTTCTCCTTGAAGAGGTCCTTCACGTCCCTTGTAAGTTGTATTCCTGGGTATTTTATGTTCTTTATAGCAATTATGAATGGGAGTTCACTCATGATTTGGCTCTCTGTTTGTCTGTTATTGGTGTATAGGAATGCTTGTGATTTTTGCACATTAATTTTATATCCTGAGACTTTCCTGAAGTTGCTTATCAGCTTAAGGAGTTTTTGGACTCAGACAATGGGGGTTTTTTAAATAAACAATCATGTCATCTGCAGAGACAATTTGACTTCCTCTCTTCCTATTTGAATACACTTTATTTCTTTCTCTTGCTTGATTGCCGTGGCCAGAACTTCCAATACTGTGTTGAGTAGGAGTGGTGAGAGAGGGCATCCTTGTCTTGTGCTGGTTTTCAAAGGGAATGCTTCCAGCTTTTGCCCATTCAGTGTGATATTGGCTATGGATTTGTCATAAATCGCTTTTATTATTTTGAGATACGTTCCATCAATACCTAGTTTATTGAGTGATTTTAGCATAAAGGGCTGTTGAATTTTGTTGAAGGTCTTTTCTGCATCTATTGAGATAATCATGTGGTTTTTGTCATTGGTTCTGTTTATGTGATGGCTTACGTTTATTGATTTGTGTATGTTGAACCAGCCTTGCATCCCAGGGATGAAGCCAACTTGATCGTGGTGGATAAGCTTTTCGATGTGCTGCTGGATTTGGTGTGACAGCATTTTATTGAGGATTTTCACATCGATGTTCATCAGGGATGTAGGCCTAAAATTTCCTCTTTTTTTGTTGTGTCTTTGCCAGGTTTTGGTACCAGGCTGATGCTGGCCTCATAAAATGAATTAGGGAGGAGTCCCTCTTTTCTGTTGTTTGTAATAGTTTCAGAAGGAATGGTAGCAGCTCCTCTTTGTACCTCTGGTAGAGTTCGTCTGTGAATCTGTCTGGTCCTGGGCTTTTTTGGTTGTTAGGCTATTAATTACTGCCTTAATTTCAGAACTTGTTATTGGTCTATTCAGGTATTAGTTTAGTCTTGGGAGGGTGTATGTGTCCGGGAATTTATGCATTTCTTCTAGATTTTCTAGTTGATTTGCGTAGAGGTGTTTATAGTATTCTCTGATGGTATTCTGTATTTCTGTGGGTTCAGTGGTGATATCCCTTTCATCATTTTTCATTGTGTCTATTTGATTCCTCTCTCTTTTCTTCTTTATTAGTCTGCCTAGTGGTCTACCCATTTTGTTAATCTTTTCAAAAAAACCAGCTCCTGGATTCATTGATTTTTTGAAGGGTTTTTCGTGTCTATCTCTTTCAGTTCTTCTCTGATCTTAGTTATTTCTTGTCTTCTGCTAGCTTTTGAATTTGTTTGCTCTTGCTTCTCTAGTTCTTTTAATTGTGATGTTAAGGTGTCTATTTTAGATCTTTCCAGCTTTCTGATGTGGGCATTTAGTGCTATAAATTTCCCTCTAAACACTGCTTTAGTTGTGTCCCAGAGATTCTGGTACATTGTATCTTTGAACTCATTGGTTTCAAAGAACTGATTTATTTCTGTCTTAATTTCATTATTTACCCAGTAGTAGTCATTCAGGAGCAGGTTTTTCAGTTTCCACGTAGTTGTGCAGTTTTGATTGAGTTTCTTAATCCTGAGTTCTAACTTGATTGCACCATGGTGTGAGAGAGAGACTGTTTGTTATGATTTCCATTATTTTGCATTTGGCAAGGAGTGTTTTACTGCCAATTATGTGGTCAGTTTTAGAATAAGTGTGATGTGGTGCTAAGAAGAATGTGTATTCTCTTGATTTGGGGTGGAGAGTTCTGTAGATGTCTATTAGGTCTGTTTGGTCCAGAGCTGAGTTCAAGTCCTGAATCTCCTTGTTAATTTTCTGTCTTGTTGATCTGTCTAGTATTGACAGTGGGGTGTTAAAGTCTCCCACTATTACTGTGGGGGAGTCTAAGTCTCTTTGTAGGTCTCTAAGAACTAGCTTTGTGAATCCGGGTGCTCCTGTATTGGGTGCATATATATTTAAGATAATGCTTCTTGTTGCATTGATCCATTTACTATTATGTAATGCTCTTATTTGTCTTTTTTGATCTTTGTTGGTTTAAAGTCTGTTTTATCAGAGACTAGGATTGTACCCTGGTTTTTTTTTCTTTCCATTTGCCTGGTAAATATTCCTCCATCCCTTTATTTTGAGCCTATGTGTGTCTTTGCATGAGATGGGTCTCCTGAATACAGTACACTGATGGGTCTTGACTCTTTATCCAATTTGCCAGTCTGTGTCTTTTAATTGGGGCATTTAGCCCATTTATATTTAAGATATATATATATATATATATATATATATATATATAATTTTATTTTATTTTTTTTGAGACGGAATCTCCCTTTGTCTCCCAGGCTGGAGTGCAGTGGTGCAATCTCAGCTCACTGCAACCTCCGCCTCCCGGGTTCAAACAATTCTTCTGCTACAGCCTCCTGAGTAGCTGGGACTGCAGGTATGCACCACCATGCCTGGCTAATTTTTATATTCTTAGTAGAGACAGGGTTTGACCATATTGGTCAGGCTGGTCTCAAACTCATGACCTTGTGATCTGCTCGCCTCGGCCTCCCAAAGTGCTGGGATTACAGGCATGAGCCACCGTGCCCGGCCAAGGTTAATATTGTTATGTGTGAATTTGATCATAATGCTAGCTGGTTATTTTTCACATTAGTTGATGCGGTTTCTTCATAGTGTCATTGGTCTTTATATTTTGGTATGTTTTTGCAGTGGCTGGTACTGGTTTTTCCTTTCCATATTTAGTGCTTCCTTCAGGAGCTCTTGTACAGCAGGCCTGGTGGTGACAGAATCCCTCAGCTTTTGCTTGTCTCTAAAGGTTTTTATTTCTCCTTCACTTATGAAGCTTAGTTTGGCCGTATATGAAATTCTGGGTTGAAAATTCTTTTCTTTAAGAATGTTGAATGTTGGCCCCTACTCTCTTCTGGCTTGTAGGGTTTCTGTAGAGAGATCTACTGTTAGTCTGATGGGCTTCCCTTTGTAGGTAATCTGACCTTTCTCTCTGGCTGCCCTTAATATTTTTTCCTTCATTTCAACCTTGGTGAATCTGATGATTATGTGTCTTGGGGTTACTCTTCTCGAGGATTATCTTAGTAGTGTTTGTATTTCCTGAATTTGAATGTTGGCCTGTCTTGCTAGATTGGGGAAGTTCTCCTGGATGATATCCTGAAGAGTGTTTTCCAGCTCGGTTACATTCTCCTCATCACTTTCAGGTACACCAATCAATCGTAGGTTTGGTCTTTTCACATAGTCCCATATTTCTTGGAGGCTTTGTCCTTTCCTTATCATTCTTTTTTCTGTAATCTTGTCTTCAAGCTTTATTTCATTAAGTTGATCTTCAATCTCTGATATCCTTTCTTCCGCTTGATCAATTCGACTATTGATACTTGTGTATGCTTCATGAAGTTCTCGTGCTGTGTTTTTCAGCACCATCAGGTCATTTATCTTCTTCTCTAAACTGGTTATTCTAGTTAGCCCTTCCTGTAACCTTTTATCAAGGTTCTTAGCTTCCTTCCATTGGGTTAGAACATGCTCCTTTAGCTCAAAGGAGTTTGTTATTATTACCCACCTTCTGCCTACTTCTGTCAATTCGTCATACTCTTCTCTGTTCAGTTTTGTGCACTTGTTGGAGAGGAGTTGTGATTACTTGGAGGAGAAGAGGCATTCTGGTTTTTGGAATTTTCTGCATTTTTGCGCTGGGTTTTCCTCATCTTTGTGGATTTATCTACCTTTGATCTTTGATGCTGATGACCTTTGGATAGGTTTTTTGCATGGGCGTGCTTTTTGTTAATGTTGATGTTATTGCTTTCTGTTTGTTAGTTTTCCTTCTAACAGTCAGGCTCCTCTTCTGCAGGTCTGCTGGAGTTTGCTGGAGGTCCACTCCAGACCCTGTTTGCCTGGGTATCACCAGCAGAGGCTGCAGAACAGCAAAGATTGCTGCCTGTTCCTTCCTCTGGAAGCTTCGTCCTAGAGGGGCACCCACCAGATGCCAGCTGGAGCTGTCCTGTATGAGGTGTCTGTCAACTCCTGCTGGGAGGTGTCTCCCAGTCACGAGGCACAGGTGTCAGGGACCCACTTGAGGAGGCAGTCTGTCTCTTAGCAGAGCTTGAATGCAGTGCTAGGATAGGAGATCCCCTGCTCTCTTCAGAGTCGGCAGGCAGGAATGTTTAAGTCAGCTGAAGCTGCATCCACAGCTGCGCCTTCCTCCAGGTGCTCTGTCCCAGGGAGATGGGGGTTTTATCTTTACGTCCCTGACTGGGGCTGCTGCCTTTCTTTCAGAGATTCCCTGCCCAGTGAGGAGGAATCTAGAGAGGCAGTCTGCCCATAGCTGCTTTGCTGCACTGTGGTGGGTTTCACCCAGTCTGAACTTCCTGGTGGCTTCCTTAATACGGTGAGGGGAAAACCACCTACTCTAGCCTCAGTATTGGTTGACGCCCCTCTCCGTGCCAAGCTCTATTGTCCCAGGTTGACTTCAGACTGCCGTGCTGGCAGCAAGAATTTCAAGCCAGTGGATCTTAGCTTGCCGGGCTCTGTAGGGGTGGGACTCACTAAGACCACTTGGCTCCCTGGGTTCAGCCCCTTTTCAGGGGAGTGAACGGTTCTGTCACACTGGGGTTCCAGGTGCCATTGGGGTATGAAAAAACACTCCTGCAGCTAGCTCAGTGTCTGCCCAAGCAGCTGCCCAGTTTTGTGCTTGAAACCCAGGGCGCTGGTGGTGTAGGCACTTGAGGGAATCTCCTGGTCTGCAGGTTGCAAAAACCGTAGGAAAAGCCTAGTAGCTGAGCCGGATGGCACAGTCCCTCAGGGCTTCCCTTGGCTAAGGGAGGGAGGTCCCCAGCCCCTTGCACTTCCCAGATGAGGTGACACCCCACGCTGCTTCTGCCTACCCTCAGTGGGCTGCCCTTTCCCTCTAACCAGTTCCGGTGAGATGAACTGTGTATCTCAGTTGGAAATGCAGAAATATCCTGCCTTCTGCATTGGTCTCGCTGGGAGCTGCAGACCAGAACTGTTCCTATTTGCCCATCTTGCCCTGCTCCTTATTTATTAAATTTTAAAATGATTTTATTTATTTTATTTTTAGAGTTGGGGTCTCACTATGTTACTCAGGCTGGACTCAAACTCCTGGGCTCAATTGACTCTCGAACTTCAGCCTCCTGAGTAGCCAAGACTACAGGCATGCACCACTGTGCCTGGCTTTATTTTTATTTTTAATTGACACATAATTGCATATATTTATGGGACACAATTTGATGTGTCAGTATATGTATTGCATTGTATCATAATTAAATCAGGGTAATGAGCAGATTAATCACTTCAAACATTATTTCCTTGTTGTGGGAACATTTAAAATATTGTAAGCTATTTTGAGATACACAATACCTTATTGTTAATGCATGTAGTATTTGAATTTCTGTGTCTGGTTTATTTCACTTAATGTCCTCCAGGCTTATTTATGTTTGTGAAAATGACAGAATTTCCTTCCTTTTCTTTGCTTTTTTTTTTTTAAACTTTTATTTTATGTTTGTGAGTACATATGAAGGTTTGTTACTTAGCTAAACACATGTCACAGGGGTTTGTTGTACATATTTCATTTCCCAGATATTAAACCTAGTACTCAATAGTTATATTTTTTCCTCTCTTCCTCCTCCGATTTTCCCGTCAAGTAGACCCCACTGTCTGTTGTTTCCTTCTTTGTGTCCCTAAGTTCTTATCATTTAGTTCCCACTTGTAAGTGAGAACACGTGGTATTTGGGTTTCTGTTCCTGCATTAGTTTGCTAAGGATAATGGCCTCCAGCTCTATCCATCTTCCTGCAAAAGACATGATCTTGGTTTTTTTTTTTGTTTTTTTTTTTTTACGGCTGCCTAGTATTCCATGGTGTATATGTACCACATTTTCTTTAACCAGTCTGTCATTGATGGGTATTTAAGTTGATTTAATGTCTTTGGTATTGTGAATAGTGCTGCAGTGAACATTTGTGTGCATGTGTCTTTATGGTACAATGATTTATATTCCTCTGGGTATATGCCCAGTAATGGGATTGCTGGGTTGCATGGTAATTCTGTGTTTAGCTCTTTGAGGAATTGCCATATGCTTTCCAGAATGGTTGAGCTAATTTACACCTCCATCACCAGTGTGTAGGTGTTGCCTTTTCCCCGTAACATTGCCAACATCTGTTATTTTTTGATATTTTAATAATAGCCATTCTGACTGGTGTGAGTTGGTATCTCATTGTGGTCTTTATTTGCATTTCTCTCATGATCAGTGATATTGATCTTTTTTTCATATGTGTTTTGGCTGCATGTATGTCTTCTTTTGAGAAGTGTCTTTTCATGTCCTTTGCCCACTTTTAATGGGGTTGTTTTTCTCTTCTAAATTTAACTTCCTTATAGAGGCTTGATATCGGACCTTTGTCAGATGTATGGTTTACACATATTTTCTACCATTTTATAGGTTGTCTGTTTACTCTGTTGATAGTTCCTTTTGCTGTGCAGAATCTCTTAAGTTTAATTAGATCCCACTTGTCAATTTTTGCTTTTGTTGTGATTGCTTTTGCTTTCTTTGTCATGAAATCTTTGCCCATTCCTATGTCCAGGATGGTAATACCTAGGTTGTCTTCCAGGATTTTTATAGTTTTGGCTTTTACATTTAAGTCTTTAATCCATCTTGAGTTGATTTTTGTATATGGTGTAAGAAAGGGGTCCAGCTTCAATTTCTACTTATGACTAGCCAGTTATCCCAGCACCATTTATGGAATAGAGAATCCTTTCCCCATTGCTTGTTTTTGTCAGCTTTATTGAAGATCAGATGGTTGTAGTTGTGTGGCCTTATTTCTGGGCTCTTTATTCTGTTCCATTGGTCCATGTGCCTGTTTTTGTACCAGTACCATGCTGTTTTGGTTACGGTAGCCCTGTAGTGTAGTTTGAAGTTGGGTACCATGATTCCTCCAGCTTTGTTTTTCTTGCTTTGGATTACCTTGGCTGTTTGGGCTATTTTTTGGTTGCTTATGAATTTTAAAATAGTTTTTTCTAGTTCTGTGAAGAATGTCATTGGTAGATTGATAGGAATAGCATTGAATCTGTAAATTGCCTTGGGGAGTATAGCCATTTTAATGTTATTGATTCTTCCTATCCATGTGCATGGGATGTTTCTCCATTTATTTGTCTCATCTCTGTGTTCTTTGAGCAGTGTTTTGTAATTCTCATTGTAGAGATTTTTCACCTCCCTAGTTAGTTAGATTTCATTCTTTTTAATGGATGAATAGTATTCTATTGTGTCTATATACCAAATTTTCTTTATACGTTCATCTAATGTTGGACATTTAGGTTGATTTCATATCTTGACTATTGCGAATAGTGCTGCAGTAAACATAGGAGTGCAGATATCTCTTTGACATACTGATATCACATTAAGCAAATATTAGCAGACCAAATTCAGCATTCTATAAAACAACTGCATTATAATTAAATTGGGTTTAATCCAGGAAAGCAAGTTTGTTTCCAAATTAGGAAAAATCTCTTAGTGTAACTCACCGTTTTAGCAGATCAAAGGTGAAAAAGCATGTGATAGTTCAGATTCTTTAATCTGTATTCATATGGTAATTGAAGAAAATGGCCAAAAATATTGCCAACCGTGATAGCGAAAGGTTATAATTGGATGCTTTGGAAAGAATTGAGAAAATCACATAGAAGAAAAATAGTGCTTTCAAATTAGGTATGGGGAGATTGAGCTAGTTAGTTTAGCCAGAAATTAAAGAAGGAAACTATAAACATACACTCATTGAGTATTCCTTTAATGAAGGACCACGGCTTTTTCTTTGAGTAGGGATTCAATGAATGGAATATGGCAGAGGATTTCTTATATAATCCATGCATATATGCTTTACACAGTTTTCAGTCTCAGTCTCTTGACAAGAGGGGAAAAACCCTGAAGAACATATCTTGAAATCTGAAAACAGGATACTCCTAGGTTTTATGACTTTGTCCTAGACTTTTTGCCCAATACTTGTCCAAATCATATTTGTTATGGTAGAGAAGTAGGATATGAAAGCAAGAGTGAGTGGGAAGGTGATTGCATAGATAGTTTGATAAAACAAATTATATTTTATTGTAATCATTTGTTGACTATATAAAGGATTTTTTTACTTCACTATAAGCAATAGATTGCTTTTCTCTACAGATTAATGCAATTTTTCATCTCAGATTTCAAAATTGAGTTTTTCTACTTTTGTGGATTTTTATACTTTTTAAGCTAAGTAAAGGAACAAATAAGTAGTAACACTCCAGTGTAGGAAGGACTGATTAGATATGTGTGTGTGTGTGTGTGTGTGTGTGTGTGTGTGCATGCAAATATACACATACATGTATGCACATATTAGATTAGCATATATATAATTTATATGTTTATGTATCTTTGTATATGAATAAAATTGGACAAAATTAGTTATTGAGGCTATTTTTTAGAAACATTTTAAAATTGTAGTTGAGTTGTTTTATTGAGGTTATTTATTTTTTTTGAGACAGAGTCTTGTTCTGTCACCCAGCTGGAGTGCAGTGGCACAATGTGGGCTCACTGCAACGTCTGCCTCCCAGGTCCAAGCGATTCTTTCATGTTAGCCTCCTGAATAGCTGGGACTATAGGCGTGCACCACCATGCCCAGCTAATTTTTGTATTTTTAGTAGAGACAGCATTTTACCATGTTGGCCAGGCTGGTCTAGAACTCCTGACCTCAAGTAATCCACCCACCTTGGCCTCCCACTGTGCCTGGTATTGAGGCTGTTTTTTAGAAACATATTTAAAATTGTATTTGAAGTATTTCTTAATACAATTATGTCCCAACTATTTATCAATGTTGTGTCTATTGGAAATAGTATGCTTGGTATAATGTTTAAACTGTTGCAAATTGAGTTATATTTAGTTGAAAGTTAAATTGCACAATATGAGTAGCCTATTTGTATTTCCAGTTTGGTATTCTTTGATCCTGGAAGGATGGACGGGCAAAGGGGAGATGTTAGTCAAGTAGTGCGAAGTTTCAGTTAGACAGGGGGAATAAGTTCTAGTGATCTGTTGCGCAGCATGGTGACTATTGTTAACAATCATTTTTTGTATATTTCAACATTGTTAAAAGAGTAGACTTTAAATGTTTTTACTGCAAAGAAAGAATATGTGAGGTGATGTGGAATGCTAATTAGCATGGTTTATTATTTATTTACTTATTATTATTCTACTACAATGTAGACATGTATCATAACATTACGTTGTACCCCGTAAACATATGCAATTTTTGTTAATTAAAAAAATTTTTAAAAAGATGAAAAAAAAACCCAATTCAGAATGTTTATGTGTTGTGTTTTATTGTTCTAAAAGAGAGGATTTTTTTTTTTTCCAGGCAACCTAATGAGGCCTCTCTTGAATTATGGTATTGCTTGGTGAGCATATATATATTTTTAATGTTACTTTTCAGAATAATGTTGATTAATTTATACAAATTAGTTGTATTTTTATGTTACTGTTGCAGTATGTCTATGGGCTTTCTGGTTGAAGAAAGTGAACCAGTAGTTTGGAGAGGCCTTATGGTAATGTCGGCCATTGAGAAATTGTTGAGGCAGGTAAGAATATTGCTTTAAATATCATTTTATCATTGGCAAAGCTGTGGTTAATACATTTGCTGATTGGAGAATTGTTAAAATTTGCATTCAGGAATCAGTTGATGGGATGAATGTATAATGCGTAATATGGCACCTAATGAGTTAATGTGATGCCAAGACCAAACTTCACTGTTAACATGATTTAATCTTTCCCATTGCTTGTGAGTACTAAAAATTCTATTGTCTTACTTAATACTGTTTTCTTGCTTTGACTGTGTCTGCAGTAAGAAGACCAAATCAATTTTTATAAGTTATCTTCCTTCTTTAGATTTGTGATTAATCTCATTGTGGTCAATATTGAGTTATAAGGGCAGTGTAGAAATTCTACAGATGTAGAAAAAAATTATATAAACCAATGTACTTGTGATTTAAAATTGCTCCAGAAAAAAGTAAAATTTTGTTTTGAGTATATATGGTTATATATTTGCATGTGTAATATCTGTCCAATCAACTTTAATTTAGCCTTAAGAAAAGAAGAGAACATTTGATTGGATAATCTAAAAATATCAATTGGGCTATATGTTATTTATAGTTAGCTTGGAATAAGTTTTATTTTTTTCTCAGTAGATTTGAGTTTGTAATTGTCTTCTAGGTAAAAGTTAAAAGTAATTTGCATTTACTTCATCAACTTATAACAGTTACCTTTTATTTGTTCAGATTCTACTTTGGGTCAGGCACCATGCAATAGGTTGATAATTCTAATGGTAGATACTCCTATATTCATTTTCAGGTATACAATTAAGTAGATGAAATCTGTCTTGAACTCTGAAACTCTTCTTTTTTTCACTATAACATCTTGCCTTTCTACCACTTTTGCTGCTTGAATTGTGATAAATGTGCTGTTTGATTTTTGGTCCTAGTCATTTAAGTCTCTTGGTTTCATTTTCTCCTCTTTTACTGTCAGATCCCCTAGTTAGTGATTTCATTTAAAATCCCCAAACCACCCCATCCCCACCAATTCCTTTGTGACCTTGACCTTTATTTGTCTTGATTAACCCACCCTCTGTTTTCTGTACTTCTAAATACTATCAGAGAATATAGAATAGTTGTGTTAATTGCCTGCATTATATATTTTTGATTTTTGAATTTAGCTACCTTCACAACACTTCAGTCATCAGATTTTACATGTTGTTATTCTCAAAAAATATTCAGGGAATTTGGTAGTCTAGCAGAGGTCCAAATGAAGATTTGGCAAAAACAAGCTCTCTGACACATAAATTGTATAAAAGTTACAGTTTATTGGTTAGGTGTGGTGGCTCACGCCTGTAATCCCAGCACTTTGGGAGGCCGAGATGGGCGGATCACGAGGTCAGGAGATCGAGACCATCCTGGCTAACACGGTGAAACCCCATCTCTACTAAAAATACAAAAAAATTAGCCCTGCTTGGTGGCGGGTGCCTGTAGTCCCAGCTACTCGGGAGGCTGAGGCAGGAGAATGGCGTGAACCCGGGAGGCGGAGCTTGCAGTGAGCCGAGATCGTGCCACTGCACTCCAGCCTGGGTGACAGAGTAAGACTCCGTCTCAAAAAAAAAAAAAAAGTTACAGTTTATTTTGAGAAGTATGGTGGATACATTTTCAGCAAACATACTATAGAATATCAGGATAAAGATGGGGTAAGAAAATGGATTCATATTTTATTGGGATGCTTTGAGGTTACCTAGAGTATATCTATCTTACAGTCTTTCGTGAAGTCACTTTCATGTGTGCATTTTATTGGGAGCTGAAAAGCTGGTATTTTAGGCCTACACTGGGACTAATGCTGATCATCAGAGCTAAGGAGTGTTTTCACTTTTGTTTTGATTTAGAAACCAAACCATTATTTGGTAAATTTAACATCCTTAATGAAAATTCAGTAGCTAGATAGAACTTTTGTACCTGATTCATTGGCTCATTTTAAACAATTGAATATAACATATATACAGAAGAATGTACAAATCATGAGTATAATTAGATAAATTATCCCAAAGTTGAAACACCTATATAATCATCATTTAGAACAAGATAACTAGAACAAAACCAGTGATCCAGAACATCCTCTCATGTTCCCTCCTAGTACCCATTTATGGGGAGAAGAAAAATACTGTGGTCATTCTGATATCCTGAACTAGAAGTCTGGTTTAAAGTTGTTTTGTTTTTTTCTTTTTCTCCCTGACAATACTTTGTTGAGCTAAAATTATGCATACAATGAGATGCATAGATTTTCAGTATATAATTCAGTGATTTTTGATAAATATATATACCTATGTAATCATAACCCAATCAAACTAAATAGCATTTCCATCCTCCAAGAGAGTTTCCTTGGGTCCCCTTCTGTTTCATCCCATACCCATAGACAATCATTGTGATTTCTGTCACCGTAGTGAGTTTTACATGTTTTTAAATTTCAAATGAATAGGATTATACAGGATGTAGCTTTTTTTTTTTTTGAGACAGAGTTTAGCTCTTGTTGCCCAGTCTGGAGTGCAATAGTGCCATCTCAGCTCACTGCAACCTCCGCCTCCCAGGTTTAAGCAATTCTCCTGCCTCAGCCTTCTGAGTAGCTGGGACTACAAGGCATGCGCCACCACGCCTGGCTAATTTTGTATTTTTAGTAGGGACGGGGTTTCTCCATGTTGGTTAGGCTGGTCTTGAACTCCCAACTTCAGGTGATCTGCCCGTCTCGGTCTCCCAAAGTGCTGGGATTACAGGCGTGAGCCACTGCAACCGTCCAGGATGTAGCTTTTTTTTTATATGGTTTCACTTAGCCTAAGGCTTTTGAAATTCATGTTTATTGTTGCATATAATAGTAGTTGGGTCTTCTTTATTGCTAAGTAGGATTCCATTGTATGAATATAATAAAATGTTTTTTTTTTCTGTTGATGAATATTTGGGTGGTCTCCAGTTTTGGGCTATTGTGAATAATACCTCTATAATACTTTTACAGTTGTTCAGAAGTTTTCCAGTTGCTTCACATTTGTGTTAACATTTGGTGTTGTCAGTCTCGTTACTTTTAACCATTCTAATAGATATAAAATGTATCTTGTTATGGTTTTAATTTGTGTTTCCCTGATGATCAATAATATTGAGCCCTTTTCCACATGTGTATTAGATCTCATATTTTCTTTTGTGACGTGTCTGTTCAAGTCTTCTACTCATTTTTTATTTTTTATTTTTTATTTTTATTTATTTATTTTTTAGTAATTGAGTTGTAGGAATTTGTACGTATTTTGGCCATGAGTCCATTGTCAGGTAATAGATATTGGGAGTATTTATCCCAGTCTGTGGCTTGTCTTTTTATGCTGGAGTTTGAATTTTAATGAATTCCAATTTCTTATCTTTTTTATGCTTAGTGCTTTTTGTATCCTCTTTAAGAAATCTTTGCCTGTTTACCCCAAGGTTATAATGATAAGAATGTATTTATTTTTTTTTCTTTTTTAAAATTCTTAATTTAAAAATTTTATGGGTATATAGTAGATTAGTATATTTATGGGGTACATGAGATATTTTGATACAGACAGGCACTGAGTAATAATTGCATCAGAGTAAATGGGGTGTTCATCCCCTCAAGCATTTATCCTTTGTGTTTCAAACAATCGAATTATACTCTTTTAGCTATTTTAAAATGTACCATCAAATTATTTTTTACTATAACTACAGTCACCGTGTTGTGCTAGCAAATATTAGGTTTTATTCATTCTTTCTGTTTGTTTGTACCCATCAGCCATCCCCATTCCCTCCACCCCCACCACCCTTCACATCCTCAGGTAACCATCTTTCTATGCTCTATCTCCATGAGTTCGGTTGTTTTAATTTTTAGGTACCACAGATAAGTGAGAACATGTGATGTTTATCTTTCTATGTCTGGCTTATTTCAGATATTTGAGAGGACTTGAGTGTTGTGATCTAAGTTGTATCTGCTTTAGGGGGCACCCCAAACCTAGTAATGCTTGGTTCTTGCAGACGTGCAGAGGTACTGCCTTGATGGTCTTGGACAAGATGTGGGTGAATTCTCTGGATTACCATTCAGAGGCTCTTGTTCTCTTCCCTTACTTTCTCCCAAACAAACAGAATCTCTCTCTGTCTGTTCTGAGCTACCTAAAGCTGGGGATAGGGTGACACAAGCACCCCTGTGTCCTCTACCACTGTGACTGCACTAGTCAGACCTGAAGCCTGCACAGCACTGGGTCTTGTCCTGCTGTTACCACTATCCGGCTACTGACTATGTTTGCTCAAGGCCCTGTAGCTGTACGATCAGCAGGTGGCAAAGCGAGACAGGCTTGTGTCCTTTCCTCAGGGCAGTGAGTTCTCCCAGACCCCAGGTGGGTCCAGAGATGCCATCTGGGAGCCACAGACTGGAGTCAGAAACCTTAGAAGTCTACCTGGTGTTCTGTTATACTGCTGCTGAGTTGGCAGTCAAAGCATGAGGTGCAGTTCTTCCCATTCTTTCCTCTTCTTTCCACAGGCAGAGGAGCCTCACTCTGTGGCCACCAGCACTACAGACCCACAGGGCATACTTCTAGGCTTCCACTGATGTTCACTTAAGGCCCCAGGGCTCTTCAGTCAGCTCGTGGTGAAGGTTGTCAGGCCTGAGACTCACTCTTCAGGGCAGTGGGCTCCCCTCTGGCCCAGAGCAGGTCCAGAAATGCCATCCAAGAGCCAAGGGACCTAGGACCCCACATGGTGCTCCACCCCACTGTGGCTGAGCTGGCACCTAAGGTGCCAGGCAAAGTCTCCTTTACTTTTCCCTTTGCTTTTATCAAGTAGATGAAGTCTGTCATTGTAGCTACCACAGCAGGGAATGTGCTGTATCTTACCTTAAGCCAGCACATCTCAGAGTCTCACCCAAAGGACCGTGGCATAGTTCCCGGGCATTGCTGCTGGTTGTTCATGGCCCAGAGGCCCTTTATTCAGCAGGTGTTGGTCCTGCCATGACTGGATCCTTCTCTTCAAGGTATCGGGTTACCTTCTGGCCCAGGGTGTGTCTAGGAATGTCGTCCATGAGCCTGGAGTGGGGTCCTCACAGGTCTGCTCTGTGCCCTGTCCTACTGTGGCTAAGCTGGTATCCAAGATGCAAGACAAAGTTCTCTTTGTTCTTCCCTCTCCTGTCCTGAAGTGAAGAAAGGGTCTCTTGTGAAGCCACGACCTGTGCAGCCTGGGGTTGGGGGAGTGTTGGTGCATGCACTCCATTAGCTGCCCTGGCTGGTGTCTTAGTAGGTTGTGTGCTTCCCTGGTCCACTGGCTCTGAGCACAGCTCAGCTCTAGGACTCGCCTAGGAGCTGCAGTCCTTGTAGCCTAGACTCCCTTTGAAGTTTATTTAGAATCCCAGAGCACTCCAGCTCGTGGTGTTGAGGCTTGCTGGAACTCAGGTTCCGACCTCTGGGATGAGCGATTCCCCTCTGGTTAGGGCCAGTCCATATGCTTCCTCTGTGTGCAGGCATCAGGTAGGTGCAGCCTGGTTCTGCTTTTTGCTATGATGGGGCAGCACAAAGTTCAGTGCAAAGTCTCACAGTTGCTGCATTCTCCCTCCCCAAGCACACAGATTCTCTGTGCCACACAGCTCTTGGGTGATGGGGAAGGGTGGAGACCACAATTCAAGACTGTCTTTCCTGACCTTTTCAGTGTGTCTTTCAGTAATATAAAATTGAAACCAGGTATTCTGAGTGCTCATCTGATTTTTGGTTCTTATGTAGGTTTTGTGTATGTGTGTAGAGAGTTGTTAAATTTGGTGTTCCTGCGTTGGGGGCGGGGGGCAATTTTTTTGCAGCCTTCTATTCCACCATCTTGCTTTGCTGTCTCTCTCTTATGTTCTCAAAGCTTTATAGTTCTGTCTTGTACATCTTGAATTAATTTTTATGTGTGAAATAAGGGTCAATGTTTATAATTTTTTATAGTTTATACAGTTATGTTAGCATCATTTGTTTGAAAGACTTCCCTTTCCCTGAATTTATTTATATATTAGATAAAAATCAATTAACCGTATGTGTATCATCTATTCTGGATATGCAGTTGTGCTCCATTGATCTGTTTGTTTAATCCTTACTGTAAAACCACATTGTCTTGATTATTATAGCTTTATAGAAGGCTTAAAATTAGGAAATGTGCATTTTCCAACTGTGTTTTTTCAATTGTTTTGGCTGCTCTAGTTTCTTTTACTTTTCTATGTATTTTAGATTCAATTTGTGCAGAAAAGCATGTTGATACTTTTATTAGGATGATATTCAATATATAGAACAATTTTGGATGAATTGAGATTCTGACAACATTGAGTCTTCTAATCTGTGACCTTTTCCTACATTTTGTTAGAGATTCTTTAATTTCTTGGAGTAATGTTTTATAGTTTTTAGCATATAGGTCTTCTTTTGTTAGATATATCTTTTATGTAATTTATATTTTTTGATCATCTTGTAAATTGAATTGTTATTTAAGTATTGAATTTCAAATTGTTTGTTGCTAGTGTACAGAAACATATACTACTGATTTTTGTACATTAACCTTGAATCCTGTGACTTTGCTAAATTTTAATAATCTAGTAGTTGTTTAGTAACTGTATTAGTGTCTTGTGTGTACATTTATGTTGTCTGCAAATAAAACAGCTTAATTTCTTCCTTTTCAATCCATTCCTTAAATTTGATTTTCTGGTATTCTTATTGCCCTTACTTACTGCCAGTATAATGTTGAACACAGAATTAGAAGAGACATCCTGGCCTTTATCCTGATTTTGGTGGGGAAGAACATTAAGTATTTTGTTGCTATGAAAGATGATAGCTGTATCATGCCCTCTCTCAGGTTAGGAAGTTCCTTCCTGTTTCCTTGTTTCTTGAAAGTTTTTATTGTTAATCATAAATGTTGAATTTTTTCAAATGCTTTTCCCTTACCACTTATTGAAATGATCATATAATTTTTCTCCTTTATTCTTTTTAATTTGGTTATTTATTCTCACTGATTTTCTGATGTTAATGTTTTCTTGATCATATTTTAATTACAATGAGTAATATTGTAATTATAGTTGTCCCTCAATATCTGTGGGGGATTGGTTCCAGGAACTCTATAGGTACCAAAATCCATGAAGGCTCAAGTCTCTTACATAAAGTGGTGAATGTGGTATTCGCATACAATCTACACTCAGCCTCCCTTTAAATAATTGCTGTATTACTTATAATAACTAATACGGTGTAAATAGTTATTATACTGAATTGTTTAGAGAATAATGACAAGATAAGTCTGTACATATTCAGTACAGATGTAACCATCCAATTTTTTTTCTGAATATTTTTGATCTGCAGTTGGTTGAATTCATGAATGTGGAACCCGTGGATATGGTGGGCCAACTGTACTTTTACTGCATTGCTGGATTGAATTTGCTAGTGCAGATATTTTGTTAGACTTTTGCAATAGTGTTTGTGAATAATATTGGTTTGTAATTTATTTTTCTTGTAATATTTTTTTCAAGTGTTATATGAGAGTTAGCCTGGCCTCAAAAAGTAAGTTGGAAAGTACTTTCCTCTTCTGTTTTGTGAAATATCTTGTGTAAAAAATTTATTAGCTTTGGTTTAAATGTTGGTATTTGAAGGAATTTATCGGTGAAACCCAGGCTTGGCGTGCTTTGTTTTGTTTTGGGTTGGTAGAACATTTTTGATGACTAATTCTATTCAGATTTTAAATTTTATCTTGTTTTAATTATGTTAAATTGTGTTTTATAGGAATTTGTTTCTTTTACTTTAATTGTATAATGTACACATGAAATTTGTTCATAATATTTTCTTATGTTTTTAAATGGATATGGGATGTAGCAGTGTTCCCTCCTTATTTCTAATGTTAGTAATTTGTTTATTTTTCTCTTTTATTCTTGATTGTTCTTGCCAGATGTTTATAAACTTTACTGGTTTTTTTTTTCAAAAAAACCGACTTTTCACCCTTAGACGTTTTTCTGTCATATGTTTGTTTCTTATTTCATTGTTTCTGCTTTTATCATTATTATTTCCTTCCTTTCATTTGTATCAGGCTAATATACCCTTCTTTTTCTAGCTCTTAAGGTAGGCAGTTAAATAATTGATTTAAATTTTTTTTTAAATACAAGCAGTTAAGGCTATAAATTTATCTCTTAGGCGTTGCTTAAACTTTCACAAATTCTGATACGTTGGTGTTTTCATTGTCATTCAGTTAAAAGTAGTTTCTAATTTCCTTCTTTTGCCTACAAATATTTTTGGTATGTTGTTTAATATCTGAACATTGGAAGATCTTCTTAATAACTTAATGGCATTGATTTCTAGTGTAATTTTGTTTTGGCTAGAGAATACACTCTGTAATATTTCAGTGTTAAAATGTTTTGAGATTTTCTTTTTGTGGACCAGCACCAGCATGCGATCCATCTTTGTGAATATTTCATACGCTTTTGGAACGACTGCATTTTTAAATTATTTTGGTTAATGTTCTTTAAATATGATTTAGGTCAGGTTGGTTGACAGAGTTCACATTTTTTTGTAACTTTATTGATTTGTCTAGTTACTGTATAAATTAATGAGAGAGGAGTGTTAACATCTCCAGGTATGATTGTATATTTGCCCATTTCTCTCTCTATTTCAATTTTTACTTAATATATTTTGGAGTTCTGTTATACTCTCATATGTTTTGAATTGTTATGTATTCGTGGTGAATTTGCCCTTTTGTTGTTATGAAATACTCCTCTATATCTCTGGTAAATTCTTCATATTGAAGTCTACTTTATCTGATACTAATATAGCCACATTTGCTTTTCTTATGCATATAATTTCATGGAATGTTTTAATTCTTTTACTTTTAACCTTCTATTTCATTATATTTAAAGTGAGTCTCTTGATTTCAACATTTAGTTGTATCTTACTGTTTTATCCAGTTTGATAATCTTTGCCTTTTAATTGGAATGCTTAGTTTATTTACATTTAGTATAATTATTAATGGTTGGGTTTCAGTCTACCATTTTGATTTTTTCCTCATATGTTTCATCTGTTTTTTTCTTTTTTCTTACGTTCTTTGAATAAATGAAATATTTCTTGAATTCCATTTAAATTCTCCATTAGGTCCTTAGCTATCTATCCCTCTTGGTATTATTATTCTATGACTGCTTTAGGGATTATAATATGTTTTCTTATCACAGCCTTCTTAAAGAAAAGTTAATATTGTGCTATTTAATATGTAGTTAAGAATGCTGTGTCTCAGTCCATTTAGTGTTGCTATAAAGGAATACCTGAGGCTGGGTAATTTATAAAGAAAAGAGGTTTATTTGGCTCATGGTTCTACAGACTGTACAAGAAGCATGGCACCAACATCTGCTTCTGGTGAAGGTTTCAGGCTGCTCCCACTCATGGTGGAAGGCAAAGGAGAGCCAGTATATGCAGAGATCACCTGACAAGAGAGAGGAAGTGAGGCGGGGAGGAGGTGCTAGGTTCCTTTTTTTTTTTTTTTTTGACAACGAGCTCTTGTAGAAACTAATAGAGTGAGAACTCTCATTACTTTAAGGATGGCACCAAGCTGTTTATGAGGGATCCTCTTCCATGACCCAAGAACCTCCCACTAGATTCCACCTCCAACATTGGAGATACAATTTCAACATGAGGTTTAGAGAGACATCTATCCAAACTATAGCACCCTGTAACAATACAGTACCATTCACCATCTCCTATATTTTATTGTGATATATTTTAACTATACATCCATTATAAATCTCACATACAGTGCTATAAAACTTATTTAATCATCTTTTAAGCTAGTTAATAAAACAATCTTTTTTTTTTTTTTTTTTTTTTTGTGAGACAGGGTCTCACTCTGTCACTATGCTGTAGCTCAATGGCATAATCTAGGCTCACTGCAACTTCCGCCTCCTTGGTTCAAGCAGTTCTCCTGCCTCAGCCTCCCAAGTAGCTGGGATTACAGGCCACCACATCCAGCTAATTTTTGTATTTTTAGTAGAGACGGAGTTTCACCATTTTGGCTAGGATGGTCTCGATCTCCTGACCTCGTGATCTGCCCGCCTCAGCCCCCCAAAGTGCTGGGATTACAGGCGTGAGCCACCGCGCCCGGCTGCCAAAACAATCTTTTTTATTTACCTACACACTTGCTATTTCAGTACTTTTCAATTTTTCTTTAGATCTGAGTTTAATCTGGTACTGTTTTTCTTTATCTTAAAAATCTTCATTTTTTTTCTATGTTGTGGGTCTGCTGGTGATGAATTTTCTCAGTTTTTATTTATTGGAAATGTCTTTATTTTTCCCTCCTTATTTTCACTGCATATAGAATTTTGAGTTGACATTTTAAATTCAAGTCTTAAATGATGTTCCACTGTCCTCTGGCCTTCAACTGCTACTACCATAGTAGTAGTTTCTTTAGTTGTTCTGTGAGTAAGGTGGTTTTTTCTCTGGCAGTTTTCATAATTTCCTTGATATCTTTGGGTCATTTTTCTTGCCTATCCCTTAAATATTGATGCTTTCCAGAATTACATCCATAGCTCAATAGCTAAGGGCATGGACTCAGAAGTCACATCTGCCTGAGTTTATTCCATTTTCAATATCTAATAGCTGTGTGACCTTGGGCAGAAACTTCTCTGAGCTTTTGTTTTCTCATCTGTAAATGGGGTTGATGGTAGTTACCTCATCATGGGGATTAAATGAGTTAATATGTGTCATATGCTTAGGAAACCTAGTGTCATGTACATGGGTTTTGTAATTATTTTATTTTGTCTGGGTATACTTTTTTTTCACATTTTAACTTATCTTCAATTAAGATGTATTTTGCAATTGATGGCTTTTCAGCATTGCTTTATCCCTGTATTGAAGTGGGGTCCTTTCAGAAAGGTTTTGTATCGTTTTTGCAGTCACCTGGAATGCTTTAACCTGAGGCACTTTCAATTTAATTATCCGTTAGAAGTTTTGGGGACCACTCTGGTGGTATGAATACAGATCGGAAAGCTGCATGTATACCAACTGGTGGTTCATGTTGTTAAGGAGGTGTTTTCTCCCCTCTGCCATGGCCCAAGTTGAGAGATTTCTTTCTAAATTGTGGATTTATATATTATTTATCTTTGGTTTAAGATGATGTAGTCCTTTGGGATCCTAGCTTTATGTAGGATTCTCCTATTAGACCCCAATTTATCTTAGGTGTTTTTTTCGTTTAGTGCTACACAAAATAATGATGCATCTTATAATTAGTGGTGTATTAGATTTGTTGATGTTATAATGGGTATCAACATTGTTACCAGCATTATCCCTGAGACACCTCTTCTGTCATGGCTTGAATTAATGTTGATTATAGTAAGGGAAAGTAATGAATTGAGGACTTCTCTTTGGTTAACATTCATATTTGGAGGTGTGTGATTTAGTGGGAGGAAAAGGAGTTAGTAAACAGGAAAAGAAGTAGTTCAAAAGGTAGGAAAAAACTAAGGATACTAATGTCATGAAGATTAAAGGTTTGGAGCAATGGTTTTCCAACATATCTGTATATTAGAATCATCTAGGGATTTTAAACAATTTTCAAATTTCAGCTCACACCTCAGACCAATTAAATTACAAATCCTGGGCATGTGACCCAGGCATTATCACTTTTGGAACTGTCCACCTGATTCCAGTCTGTGGACAAGTTTGGGAATCACTGGTGTGGAGAGTTTTAAGAATGATAGGTCAGGGAGAACAAGGATTGAGATAGGGCAAGGGAATAATAGATGTTCGGTGGAAATTTGTAAACCTTAACTAGAACAGGGAATGAAAAAAGATTATAGGGGTTTAAGAATACATTTATAACAATACTATGTAGGTAGAGGTGTATTCTACCTATATAGAGAGTATTGTATTCTAAAATAGGCCATTCAAGAATTTGGGGGCTGGGTGAGGGAAAGGAAAGGAAAATAGGATGGTAGCTTAAGGAGGAGTGGTATATTAAATTAAAGCCTTTTTTTTTCTTAAAGAGGACAGCCATACCTTTTACAAGGTGAAAGGATTCAGTGAAGAGGCAGTGAAAATTATAGAAAATGAGAGGATTGTTTTAAAAAATTATGAAAAAGGCAAAAGGGAATAGGATTAAAGGTCAGAGAGGTAAGTTATTTTTGAAAAAGAAGTTCTTCCAAATTTGTGTTTGGAATAGAAAAAAAGGGCAGATAAAGTAATCCCATCCTACCTGACACTAAAAAGAAGTTAACAAAAGGTATTCTTCCCAGTAGACGGGAAAAGATGGTGCATTTATTCAATAGAGCAGTGATGCACAGTTTTTAGTGTTCATGAAAATTACATGGAGAACTGATTTAAAATTCAAATTTATAGGCTTTCTATTCCACTCTCCCACTTGAAGATTTTTATTCAGTAGGTCCCAGGTATGGCCAAGGAATTCACATTTTAATTAGATTATTCCAGGTGACTCTAATGCTGGTGGGTCTAAAATCAGGCTTAGGCATACAATGGTACAGAGGCAGTTCTTTTTAACTGCTTTCAGAGGAATTAAAAAAAAGAGAGATGAGGAGATGAATGATAAGACCCCTGTGTAGCAGCAAAGGCCTACTGGATGCTGAATATCAAAATTTTTACTTTTGCCAAGTTTTTATGACTGTTTTCAATAACTCTTTGAAGCCTGCAAGGTGACATGGGTAAACCTTTTGTTAGATCTAGGATTAGTAACTGGTGTGGCAGAAAGTCCAAAGGAGAAAAATATCCAGGGAATTAATGAGTGGAACACTGAAGTCCTGGTTTCAAGAAAGACAGGTAGTCAAGAGGGATCAGGAGACTGGGTAAAATTGGAGAGATCAAATATGAAACACCTGGAATGAGGAAGAAGCAATTCAGTAGCTGGTAGAAGAAAAGGTGTGAAAAGTGATGGATAAGTTGGTTGTGTTCAGAGGAGGGATATTAGAAACTTAGGCTTTTCTAAAAAATAAAAGAATTTGGAAATGAGGTTATGTGAGGAAAATCAGGTCTCTAGCAAAGCAATAAAAATGTCAAGGATCAAAGTATCACACACTGGGAGCAGGGTTGCCAGGTAATATGTTGGATGCCCAGTTAAGTTTGAGCATCAGACACGCAATGAATAATTTGGGATCTGCCTTTTCTCCATATCCTCGCCAGCATTTGCTATTGCTTTTCATAACAACATGGAATGCTTCACAAATTTATGTGTCATCCTTGTGCAGGGGCCATGCTAATTTTCCCTGTATCATTTCAATTTTAGTATATGTGCTGCTGAAGTGAGCACTTGGGATCTGTCCATACTAAAATATTATTCAGTATGGCTGGGCACTGTGGCTCACACCTGTAATCCCAGTGCTTTGGAAGACCAAGGTAGGAAGATCACTTGAGGCCAGGCGTTTGAGACCAACACGTGCGACATCGCAAGACTCTATCTCTACAAAAAATAAAAAACAGCTGGGCATGGTTGCATGTACCAGTAGTCTTGCTATTTGGGAGGCTGAGATGGGAGGACTGGTTGAGCCTAGGAATTTGAGATTGAAGTGAGCTGTGATCATGCTGCTGCACTCCAGCCTGGGCAACAGAGTGAGACCCTGTTTCAAAAAAAAAATTCATTGTGTATCTCATATTCAGGCATAAATGACTTTGAGTTTCCTGTATAACTGTGTTTGAACTGTTTGAGTCCACTTATATGAGGATTTTTTTCAGTTAACCACATTGGAAAATTTTTTGCAGATTTGGAACAACTTGAAAAAACTTGCAGATGAACCATGTATCTTAGAAATATCAAAAAATTAATAAAACATCACATATGTCATGAATGCCTAAAATATATGTTGATACTAGTGTATTTTATCATGTACTACCTAAAGTATACACAAATCTATTATAAAAGTTAAAATTTATCAAAACTTATGCATACAAAACTTACACACTGTGCATGGTGCCATTAGCAGTCAAGAGAAATGTAAACAAATGTACAGATGTAGTACTACGTTATAACTGCATAAAATTCACTGTACTACATACTATACTGCTGTGATAATTTTGTTAGCTACCTCCTGTTGCTATTGTGGTGAGCTCAAGTGTTGTGAGTATCCACTTAAAATGCTGTGTGCTAATGATCTCTGCGTGAGCAGTTCATTTCTCCAATCAATTATTACAGTAAAAAGTTATGTCTTAGAGTTTTCATGTATTTTTCATTGTGTTTAACATAATACCGTGAACCTTGAATAACACCATGGGACCATGTGAAGTGCCACTAGTGATGCTGGAAGTCTCTGAAGAAGTAGAGGAAAATCACAACATTACAAAAAAAAGTTGAATTGCTTGATATGTACCATAGAATGAAGTCTGCAGCTGCAGTTGCTTGCCATTTCAAGATAAATGAATCCAACCTAAGGACCATTGTGAGAAAAGATAAGAAAATTTGTGAAGTTGTTGCTGCAGCTACATTATCAGGCATGAAAACCTTGCACATTTTGCCAAATACCTTTTTACTTTGTATTGAAAATGCAGCTTATATATGAGTGCAGGATTGCTATAGTAAAGCATGCCTGTAGACTCTAATATTATTCAAGAAAAAAATGAAGTCATTATATAACAACTTAAAGCAAAAGATAGCTGAAGAATCTAAAGGTGGAGAATTTAATGCCAGCAAAGTATGGTTTGATAATTTTAGGAAGAGGTTTCCCTTAAAAAAATATCAATGTAACAGGAGAGGCAGTTTCTGCCAGCCAAGAGGCAGCAGATGAGTTCGTGGACATCATTAAGTAAATCACTGGGCCAGGCGCGGTGGTTCACGCCTGTAATCCCAGCACTTTGGCAGGCCGAAGTGGGCAGATCATGAAGTCAGGAGTTTGAGACCAGCCTGGCCAACATAGCAAAACCCCGTCTCTACTAAAAATACAAAAAGTTAGCCAGGCGTGGTGGTGGGCGCCTGTAATCCCAGCTACTCGGGTGGCTGAGGCAGGAGAATCGCTCGAACCTAGAAGGCCGAGGAGGTTGCAGTGAGCTGAGATTGCGCCATTGCACTCCAGCCCGGGCAACAGTGTGAGACTCCATCTCAAAGAAAAAAAAGAAAAAAAAAAAAAAAAGAAAATCTTTGAGGAGAAAGGCTATCTGCCTGAACAGGTTTTTGTTGTTGTTTTTTTTTTTTTTTAACTTTTAGGTTCAGGGGTTCAGATAAGGGTTTGTTATATAGGTAAACTCATTTCAGGGGGGTTTGTTGTACAGATTATTTCATCACCCAGGTACTAAGCCTAGTACCCAATAATTATTTTTCTTTTCCTCTCCCTCCTCCCGCCCTCCACCCTCAAGTAGGCCCCAGTGTCTGTTGTTCCTCTCTTTGTGTCCATGTGTTCTCATCATTTAGCTCCTACTTAAAAGTGAAAACACGTGGTATTTGGTTTTCTGTTCCGGCATTAGGTTGCTAAGGATAGTGGCCTACAGCTCCATCCATGTTCCTGCAAGAGACCTGATCTCATTTTTTTTTTTTGTGGCTGCATTGTATTCCATGGTGTATATGTACCATCTTTTCTTTATTCAGTCTACCATTGATAGGCATTTAGGTTGATTCCGTGCCTTTGCTATTGTGAATAGTGCTGCAGGGAACATACAAGTGCATGTGTCTTTATGGTAGAATGATTTATATTCTTTAGGGTATATACCCAGTAATGGGATTGTTGGGTTGAATGGTAGTTTTGTTTAGCTCTTTGAAGAATCACCATACTGCTTTCCACAATGGTTGAGCTAATTTACACTCCCATCAACAGTGTATATATAAGTGTTCCCTTTTCCCCCCACCCTTGCCAGCATCAGTTATTTTTTGACATTTTAATAATAGCCATTCTGACTGGTGTGAGATACTGTCTCATTGTGGTTTTGATTTGCATTTCCTTAATGATCAGTGATGTTGAGCTTTTATTCATATGCTTGTTGGCTACACATATGTCTTCTTTTGATAAGTGTTCATGTCCTTTGCCCACTTTTTAATGGAGTTTTTTTTTCTTGTAAATTTGTTTAAGTTCCTTACAGATGCTGGATATTAGACCTTTGTCAGATGCATAGTTTGTGAATATTTTCTCTCATTCTGTAGGTTGTCTGTCTAGTCTGTTGATAGTTTCTTTTGCTGTGCAGAAGCTTTTAAGTTTAATTAGATCCGCCTGTCAATTTTTGCTTTTGTTGCGATTGCTGTTGACATCTTCGTCATGAAATCTTTGCCATTCCTATGTCCAGGATGGTATTGCCTAGGTTATCTTCCAGGGTTTTGATAGTTCTGGGTTTTACATTTAAGTCTTTAATCCATCTTGAGTTGATTTTTACATATCATATAAAGAAGGGATCCAGTCTGAATCTTCTGCATATGGCTAGCCAGTTATCTCAGCACCACTTATTGAATAGGGAGTCCTTTCCCCATTGTTTTTTTTTTTTGTCAGCATTGTTAAAGATCAGATGGTTGTAGGTGTGTGGCCTTATTTCTGGGCTCTCTATTCTGTTTCATTGGTCTATGTGTCTATTTTTGTACCAGTGCCATGCCTTGAACAGGTTTTTAATGCAGGTGGAATTGACTCATTCTGGAAAAAAAAAATGCCACAGAGGACACTTATTAGTAAGGAAGAGAAGTGAGCACCAGGATTTAAGACAGGAAGGGCTAGGCTAACCCTATTATTTTGTGCCAGTGCAGTTAGGTTTATGATCAGGGCTGCCCTTATCTATAAAGCTGCTAACCTCTGAGCCTCAAAAGGAAAAGATAAACACCAGCTGCCAGTCTTTGGGTTGGACAACAATAAAATTTAGTGATAACCCCTTTTCTGGATTGGGTCCACTGACGTGTTTTCCTTGAAGTCAGGAAGTACCTTACCAATAAGGTACTGCCTTTCAAAATTCTTTCGATATTGGACAATGCCCCTGGCCACCCAGAACCATATGAGTTCGACATGAAAGGTGCTGAACTGGTCTTCTTGCCCTCAAACACAACATCTTTAATGTATCCTCTAGATCAGGGGGTTGTGAGGACCTTTAAGGCTCATTATGCAGGATACTCTATGGAAAGGATTGTCAGTGCTATGGAAGAGAACCCTGGTAGAGAAAAAATCATGAAAAAGCTGTTAAAGCTATCAAGCCCAAAAGAAATTCCTGCTGGAGAAAAGCTGTGTCCAAATGTTGTTCATGACTTCACGGAATTTATGACAGAGTCAATCAGGAAAATCATGAAAGAGATTGTGGATATGGCATAAAAGATGAGGGATGAAGGGTTTCAGATATGCACCTCAGAGAAATTCAAGACCTTGTAGACGCCACACCAGAGGAATTAACAGGAGACAACTTGTTGGAGATGAGTGCTTCTGAACCAGTGCCAGACGATGAGGAAGAATTAGTAGAAGAAACTGTGCCAGGAAACAAATTGACATTAGACAACATGGCATAAGGATTTTGATTATTCAAGACTGCTTTTGGCTTTTATGACATGGACACTTCTATGATGCGGGCACTGAAACTAAAGCAAACAGAGGAAGAAGGATTGGTACCATATGGAAACATTTTTAGAGAAAAAAAAATCAGAAATTACGATGTATTTCCATACACTAATACTGAGCCCCCTAAGTACTTCTCATGGGAAGAGCCAAAGAAGTTTGTCACTGCCACCCCTAAGACAGCAAGACCATTCCCACCTCTTCCTCCTTTTCCTCAGCCTACTCAATGTGAAGATCACGAGGATGAAGACTTTTCTGGTGATCCACTTCCACTTAATGAATAGTAAATATATTTTCTCTTCCTTAATAACATTTTCTTTTCTCTAGCTTACTTTATTGTAAGAATACAGAATATACTATAACACAAAATATGTGGTAATGACTGACTATGCTATTGGTAAGGCTTCTGATCAACAGCAGGGTATTAGTAAAGTTTTTTGGGAGTCAAAAGTTATATGCATATTTTTGACTGTGAGGGGATCAGTATTTCTAAGCTCTGTGTTGTTCAAAGGTCAATTGTACTATTATTTGCTAAATCTGGTAACCCTAGATGGAAGTGATGTTTCTTAAAAAAGACAGGAAGGTGGGTAATAGTCAGGTTGGGAGAAGGCAGACATAATGATGCAGTGGAGCTGAATTGCTTGAGAATAAGAGTTTGAGGTAATATTAAGGGAATATGTTTAGCCCAGAGTGGCAGGCTCGTGAGTAGTGGAAATGAGGCGAACATTAGAGTAGGAGGTGGGGTGAAGAATTATACCAGGACGGGGCAGTCTTGCCAGGATTGTTCCTTGTAATTTCATTAAGGAAGATGGTTTGTCAATGCCTTTACCAACCTCTGCAGCTTCTTCTGAAGGATAACTTATTTTTTAGGATACATGAAGTCTCTTGGTTTCAACTGGCCACTGTTTGGTAATCTGCATAATTTCACCATATGTCCTTCTAACCTCATCTGCTAGAAGGAAGGGAAAAGATTGATGGATAAATATGGTGTATGTTCATGAATGCATTTTGTGATGCCTTGGGAAAAAAGCATGTCAGGATATATATATTTTTTTAAAGTTAACTTTAGGATCTATTAGGAAAAATAGGCAGATATATGCTAGGATGTTATTTTGAGTATTAGATTTATCAGTATGTGTTGCTTTTTATTCTCTTGATATTTGAAACAATTTCCTTTTATTTTCTATTTTGACTTTAATAATTATAGGTGTAAACATCTAATACATTTCACTCAATGAATAACTGATAATTTAAAATTTTTCTGTTGTTAAGATTCCTGATTAGTATTTTTTTTCCTCCTGAATTGTGCTCCTGAACATAGATATAATTAGTTTAATGCAAATGAGAAAAGTCTTTTCTTAGAATCTTTGTGTTTTAAACTATGTGATATTGAAAAAACCAACTTTAGTTATTAGAAAAAAGCCACAGAAAGAAAAACTTCAAAGGCTACTGTGATGTCAGCACCTGCTGTGGTCATAGTGTAAACCCTGGAGACCAGGGATTTTGGCAGCAGTTTTAGTGCTTTTAGTTCAATCTTCAGTATCCCCAAATGTGAAGCAGATGCCAGTTTTCTTCTCTAGGCTTCTGATAATGGCATATAATGAGTTGGTTGTTTCCTAGCAACTAAAGAAGCAGTTTCACTTTAGCTGATCCTGCAATAGAAATGAGACATTTTCCCTTGATAGTTGTTATTAGTGATTTCCCTGACAATGGAATTTCACTTTTGAATAAGGAATATTCTCAGCTTTTGGTTTCCTAAAGAATTTTGATTCTGAGTTGCGCTAAGCTCTGCTTAATCCTGTATAAAATGAAAAAAAGAAATTGAGTCCCCTAAGTACCTCTCATGGGAAGAGCCAAAGGAGTTTGATACATAGTTTCTTAAATGGCAAGTGATTATACAAGAAGCTGTAATAGGTGTATTTTCTCAGTGTTTAACAGAATAATTAATGACCACATTCTTTTTTTTTTCCCTGCTTAATATTTGCAGCAGTAGAGGTTTCTTAGGTAATGGCCAATGTATGTCGAAATAAATATTGTAAGTTTTTATTACAAGTGCCATTTTGATATAAAGTCAGTATAAGGAAAACATATTTTAAAATCTATAACCCATTTGATTTCAAACAGTATTCTGTATTAGAAATTATTATTATACCCAATGATTTTAAAGGCTCTTAAAATAGTTCACTTTAAGGTGAATTGTGAAACAATTCAGTGTTTAAATATTAGTAGTTGTAAGGCATCCATAATTGACTGAATCATATCTAAATCCTTCTAATTTGAAAGTAGTAATAGATCTGGATATATTCAGCCTCTTAAGATATATGGAGGCATGAGAAAAATACTTCAGACGACCTTCTTTGTAGTCATTCATAGTTTAAATAGTTTCTAAGGAAATGATCCATTTTTCTTCCTTTGACATTATAAAACTAATATAAGTTACCATCCTCATCCACCTCATCCAAATTTATGGTATGATATATTAAGTTATGCCTAAGTGTCAGAGAGATAAAATATTAAATTATGTTCTTAAGATATTAAGTTAGCCATATCTAAATATACCAAAGAAATTTATTACCTTGCATGGAAAAGATTCATAGACTATGCATTAACTATAGGTGAAGTCATTGAATATTGTTATTGTCAGTTTGGGGCATGTGACCTTATTAATTTCTTTTTATGATTTTTGCATCATCAGGTACTCTAGCAGGCCTCATATTTTAAAAATGCTTTAAACATTAAGGAATGAGGAACATTAATTAATTCAGTTTTCAGTTGGACAGGGCGGTAGCCTTTTAGGCACCTAAGACAAAATTAAAAAAAAAAAAAAAAAAAAAAACCTTTAAACATGAGGTAGATTTTCTTTTCTTTTCTTTTTTTTTTTTTTTTGAGACGGAGTCTCGCTCTGTTGCCCAGGCTGGAGTGCAGTGGCGTGATCTGGGCTCACTGTAAGCTCCGCCTCCTGGGTTCACACCATTCTCCTGCCTCAGCCTCCTGAGTGGCTGGGATTACAGGCACCCGCCACCATGCCTGGCTAATTTTTTGTATTTTTAGTAGAGACAGGGTTTCACCGTGTTAGCCAGGGTGGTCTTGATCTCCTGACCTCGTGATCTGCCCACCTCGGCCTCCCAGAGTGCTGGGATTACAGGCGTGAGCCACCGTGCCTGGCCAACATGAGGTAGACTTTCTATATAATATAGTTCAGTTATTGTTTTTAGATTTATTTGGGAGCTTAATGTGAAGCTAAGGAATCAGGTACATTAATCCTGATTTTGAATTCTCCTTTCCATTTTAAAATTATAGATTAGTGAACAAGGAAATAGATACATAACTAAAGTCCAGTTCTTTGAAACATTTGTATAAGGCAGTATTATTTGGTGAGTAGCTTAGTTTGATTAATCTAACAGAAGTTCTTTTTGGGCATTTTTTCACTCATTTAGTAATTATTTATTGAGCTGACAGCAGATACTTATTGCTGTACTTTAAAAATGTCATTGGGCTTTTTGTCATCTTACAGCAACATACATACATACATACATTTATTTATTTATGATGGAGTATTGCTCTGTCGCCCAGGCAGGAGTGCAGTGGCGTGATCTCAGCTCACTGCAACCTCCGCCTCCTGGGTTCAAGCGATTCTCCTGCCTCAACCTCCTGAGTAGCTGGGATTACAGGTGTGCGCCATGACGTCTGGCTAATTTTTGTATTTTTAGTAGAGACGGGGTTTCACCATGTTGGTCAGGCTGGTCTGGAACTCCTGACCTCATGATCTGCCCGCCTCGGCCTTTCAAAGTGTTGGGATTACAGGCGTGAGCCTCTGCACGCAGCCAGCAACAGACATTTATTGGCTATTTACTATGTTTGGGCCATTGGTTAGATGTTGAGGTTACACAGTTGTATAAGACATAGATCCAGAGTTCAAAATGTTAAATAAAGCCTTTAGTTACAGATCTACTTTTGACTTGTAATAATAAGCAAGAAATATAGATATGCTAGAAGTTTTGATGATTTAAAAAATACTGTTGTGCAATGTTTTATTTAAGGCAATCAAAGTTGGAATTTAGAGAACAAGGCTGAGTGTTACATAGTGTTGACCATCAGGTTGGTAATAGTGTTACACAGTATAAAAGTTTGCAGTCTCATTTAAGGTCCATGTCATAGCGCAAACCCTGTTAGTCAGCATTGAAAGAGAACAAGTTGTTAGAAGGAGTTAGAAACAGCCTATGAATATTAATTGCTGGTTATTTCCTTCTACTTAAAATGTCCTTCTTTTTCTGTTGTCAGATGACTTACATGTGTACCTACAACTCACTGTGATGATGAGTACTTATATATGCAGTTTTTGAGTATTGTAGTGTTCCTTTTTTTTTTTTTTTTAAATGTTGCTACTGGAGCTATCTAAGACCAAAAATTACTGCAACTTTTTAGATTGGCACCAACTGTTCCCAGTTTCCCACTCACTATGGTTTGGGTGTTGGTCACCTCCAAATCTCATGTTGAAACTTGGTCCTCAACCAGGCAGTGTTGGGAGGTGGGGCCTAATGACAGGTGTTGGGGTCGTGAAGGGCTGAGTCCTCATGAATGAATTAATGTTATCATGGGAATGGGTTAGTTATTACAAGAGTGTATTGTTGTATAGTGAGCCTGGCCGCTTGTGCTTTCTCTTTTGCATTGCTTACTCGTCCTTTCTTAATGGAATCATGCAGCACAAAGGCCCTCACAAGATGCTGGTATCTTGACCTTGGACTTCCTAGCCTCCAGAACCATGAGGTAAATAAAACTCTATTCTTTATAAATTACCCAGTCTGTGGTATTCAGTTATAGCAACAGAAAACAGACTAAAACACCGCCTGAGTCATTTGTGCCAAATTTCTCAAGTGCTGTAGTAGATTTGGTCACTGTTATTACTTCACTAATTTACTTTTATTTTTTGGTTTCTAGTAATGCAGGTATAGAGACACTTTTCACTTGATAAAATTACGTAGTGATCTGATGCTTTAAATGGGTAATTTTATCAAGAAAGCAATATAAATAAAGTAACCAAAGTATAAAATAAGGAGGGGAGTTACTGTTTTAAAGTATCAGCCACTGATATTTCACTGCTTGTGCTGTGTAGTTTTGAATTGTAGCAATTTGAAAAGCTGGGAGGGACCTGGCTCTTGGAGTATTTTTCTAACCCAACACCCAGGGAAGATCTCCTGCTGCAGCCTTCTGGTTATATATAGCTGAGCTAGATTATATTCTGCTCTATATTATTGATCAGTCTTCTTGGGTCAACTCTAGTTCTGTCATCTTTGGAAGAGGAAGGTACTTTACTGTTCTTGGCCATGAATTCCTTCTTTAGGCTTTAGGTCTTGCAGACACATCTTGCACTGTTCTGGATGCTAGCATGTCATCTCTTGTTCTCCCATTCGTTATATCACTAGCTATTTCCTCACAGTGGCTCTCTCCTTTGTCAAGGTTATGCTTCTTTATCTCGTTACATGGCCTTCTTCCTTAGAACTTTTCAATATGGTATTAACTTCCTCATCCCTGATCTTGCCCTTAATTCCCAGTTTAAAGTCTTTGTTTACTTTGGAAATGACTTTTCGCCTGAGTGAAAAAAAAACGTGTTCTCAACCCATTTGTAGACTAACTCAGGCTCTGAAAATGATTGAAGCTGTGGGCTCAGGTTACCAATTTTACTTTCCTGTCATTGATTCAAATGCTCCCTAAAGAGAGAGGTAGACCTTTCCCTGATTCTGTCCATTCATATTAATTTCTCATTCTCACTAAGTGAACATTAGAGAATTAGAAACCTTCAGAACATAGAATTGGGGGTATAATTTGACTGTTTAAATACAAACATAAAAGTTTAACAACAGATTTCATTTCTGATTTTTCTGGCTTCTAACTAAAGAAGTAAAAATATAAGAGAAAAACGGAGTGTCTTGTCTAACTCCAGGCCTGAATCTGAAAAGAGAACAGGAAAGGAAGTAACAAGAAAGAGAAAGGACATAAAGGTACTATGAAATTGAAGCCATCATTGTAGTTTAAATTTGACCAGTGTTTCAAATATAAAGCAAAGATGTTTGGGTCGTCTTTTGTTCTGACCAGACAGATAAACTTTTCTCATTTCCTTCTTTGTGTATCTACCAGAGGAAAGTAATGAAATAGAGGTCCTGGAACAGTTCATGTTAAGGGTAGGCTCTAACTGTAGCTCTGACAAAAGTAGGAAGCATGCAGAAAGCTGGCTTGTTTATAAGAGATAAAATGGCACAGTCTTATTCAATTGAAAGCCAACAATCAAAATTAGAGCAAAAGGAAGCACTATTAGAAAAATGTGCCAAGCCAGTGAAATATATTGATCAAAGGGGAATGAAAGATATCAGACACAGTTTATTAGCAACAAAAAATAGTGAGGCTGAAGTAATTTGCTTTTGAAAATAAATAAATTAAAAGGAGGCTAATTACCACCTTTACAATGTCCTATTTCTACCTTAAACACTTCCAGAAGCATGCCTTTTTTACTCTATCTGTTGTTCAATGCAGACTTAAAATTTTGTGTTAATCAATATTTATTCTGCAATGCCAAGGTGACAAACAAAAATATGAAAAGGCTGTTAGGGCTTAACATTTTTGTTGCAGATTAAATATACAGCATTGAAAACTGGAAAGGCATGACTTCATCTCTGACCAGCAGAGTTAAAGAGAAAAATCTCTCCATTTTCCATGATGCAGACTTTGAAGAATAACCTACAGTGATTTGAACTGAGTTAGGATGAGGGTAATTATAAAACATAAGAGTCTTGTCTTCTGCAGTGATAATTAAGAAGCCTTAATAAAGGTCACATGAGATGACTTGCTGAGCCTTTAGGAGAGCTTCTTAGAGTAGTGGCCCCTGTTGAACAGGTAAGGACTTACCCTATCTCTTTTGGTGCAGTCGGGGATCATGGGATCAGAGTCAGATGTCAAAAGCCTACTGGGGCTATTTAAGCTCCAGGAAGACTTGAACAGATCCCAAGCAGGCGATGAGAAGAGTAATAAATATTATTGGGGACTTCCAGTACTGGAGATTATGACCTCTTTTTACTATTTAGGTATATACTGTATTTCATTGACTTTAAGTTACGTATTTTTCAAATTTTAATATCTCTGAAATTGGAGAGTATTTTATAATCAGTAACATCTTGGCATTGTGTCAGTTTAATATTTAGCATTGTTTTCTTTCTTGGTTGTATATAAAATAATGGTGTATCTTCCAATCTATGGTGTTTTAGATATGACGAGATATAGTCAATGTTTTCCTTATAATTATTTTAATACTGATTGAATTGTATTCCCATCTTTGCCGTCATTGCTGCAGAGCGATTCTACGTCATTCATTTTGGTCTTTTTTTTTTTTTAAGTGTTGAAAGACTATTTTAAACTGATGGCGGCAGTTTTGGTAACTTGTTTTAGTAACATCCTCTTTTATGCCCTCATCACTGACTTTATTTTCCCCCCATCACTTACCAGAGATTGCCAGATGATTCTTCCCAAAGCATAACTCTCATGTCAGTAATTTCAGAGACCATCAGTGTCTCCTTGCTACTTTTTAAAGCAAGCTACCCTCTGGCTTTATTCATTTTTTCAGTAGTTAGATGTTAGGGATATTGTTATAAATAAAAAAGGCACGAAACCTGTCCTATAGATTCTTTTGGCTACTGCGAACATTTACTTACTGATTTTTTTTAAGCCAGTGCTATGTGATCATTCATAGTTTGAAAAAAATTTCTATACTATTTGCCTTCATAGGCATGTGTCTGTGTTCACTACTTATTTTTCGTATTATTATTAATGTGGTGTTGATGGAAAGTCCACCAAAAGAAGTGACTCAATAGTGACTTACACTTTTTTTTTTTTTTTTAAGACAGAGTCTCGCTTTGTCACCCAGGCTGGAGTGCAGTGGCACGATCTCGGCTCACTGCAACCTCCGCCTCCTGGGTTCAAGCAATTCTCCTGCCTCAGCCTCCCGAGTAGCTGAGACTACAGGCATGCACCACCATGCCTGGCTAATTTCTGTATTTTTAGTAGAGATGGCATTTCGCCATGTTGGTCAGGCTTGTCTTGAACTCTTGATCTCAAGGAATCCACCTGCCTTGGCCTCCCAAAGTGCTGGGATTACAGGCATGAGCCACTGTGCCTGGCCCATAATGACTTAAATATCTTTTAAAAATATTTTTTGTTTAGGGTAGGCCTATATGTCTGTAGCAACAAATATATTAGACTTTTATAGTTAGTTTATTTTGGTAGCATCTAAATGTGGTGTATTAATTATCTGAATGCAGAAAGCATCAAATTAAATAGGTTGAATTGATATATTATCCCTAGACAATAATATTTTACTAAAAGTAGCTACCTATTATTAGGTATTTATTATCTGCTAAGACTTATACTGTTTATCTGCATTCACATTTAAATCACACAATTCTATATAATGTACTATTACTATTATTTTTACAAATGATGAAACTGAGGCACAATGAGGTTAAATAACTTGGGCAGGGTCCTACTTGTAATCTCTCTGATTCTCTTGGCTCAGCTTTTAACTAAACTGTACAACTGAAGTTTTAAAATTTTAAATTTTTGCTTGAAAGATTGAAAACACTCTTTTTAATGTCATCCCTGAAACGCTAATTGACAAAATATTAAGAGTATTCTTTTGTTTCCCAAGTTCTCATTCAGCTACAAGTTTTGTATTTTATACGTTGTATTTTATAAGACATTTCTGAGTGAATGTATCTGTAAATATCTTTACTCTGAAATATATTTTTGTGAAGTTTATATGGAGACCTGTTATAAAGTCTTTTTAGTAGTGTTTGGCAATGAGAAGTTTGATACTCTTCTATGTTGTGATGTCAATAACTGCAGTAATATAATTCATTTATTAAGTATAGTAACTGTAGGATTAGATTTTAAATGTTCTTACCATAATGAAATTTTAAAATGTTAAGTATGTGAGGTGATGAGTATGTTAGTTGCTTGATTTCATCATTCTGCCATGTCAGCATGTATCCAAACATCACATTGCACCACATAAATATACTGTGCAGTTATTATTTGTCAATTAAAATAAGGTAAAACTTAAAAATTGAATTAAAATTGTTATACAGTATTCATTATTTGGGCTTAATTACATTTCACTGAGGTACAATGGCATTTCCCAGTTACCCAGAACAAGTTATTATTCAGTAAAGGGAAATAAGTTTCTGTCCAGCGACACAGTAAATGTCTGTATTATCCAGATTAAAACCCAACAGCTCTTTTCTTAGTGGTTAATTGTTGATACTTCTACACTGTTAAGAGGGATTTGTGGAAGCAGATGGCCATTAGTAGTTCAGTAGACTAGTTACTCTTCAGTAGTAGTGAGAGGTGACAGCGTGCTGGCAGCCCTCGCTTGCTCTCGGTGCCTTCTCGGCCTCAGCGCCTACTCTGGCCATGCTTGAGGAGCCCTTCAGCCCACTGCTGCACTGTGGGAGCCCCTCTCTGGGCTGGCCAAGGCTGCAGCCGGCTCCCTCTGCTTGCGGGGAGGTGTGGAGGGAGAGGTGTGGGTGGGAACCGAGGTTGCATGTGGCCCTTGCAGGCCAGCGCGAGTTCCGGGTGGGCGCAGGCTCGGCGGGCCCTGCACTTCGAGCGGCCGGCCAGTGCCACTGGCCCCGGGCAGTGAGGGGCTTAGCACCTGGGCCAGCAGCTGTGGAGGGTGCGCTGGGTCCTCCAGCACTGCCGGCCTGCCTGCACTGCACTTGAATTCTTGCCGGGCCTCAGCCGCCCCTCCACAGGGCAGGGCTCAGGACCTGCAGCCTGCCATGCCCCAGCCCCCTCCCCCCCACCACCGTGGGTTCCCTCACGGCCTGAGCCTCCCCGACGGGTGCTGCCCCCTGCTCCAGGGCTCCCGGTCCCATCGACCGCCCAAGGGCTGAGGAGTGCAGGTGCGCGGCGCGGGACTGGCGGGCAGCTCCATCTATGGCCCCAGCACAGGATCCACTAGACAAAGCCAGCTGGGCTCCTGAGCCGGCTGGGGACTTGGAGAACTTTTATGTCTAGCTGGAGGATTGTATGTGCACCAGTCAGCACTCTGTGTCTAGCTCGGGGTTTGTGGATGCACCAGTCAGCACTCTGTATCTAGCTAATCTGGTGGGGACTTGGAGAACTTTTATGTCTAGCTAGAGGATTGTAAATGCACCAGTCAGCACTCTGTGTCTAGCTGAAGGTTTGTAAATGCACCAGTCAGTGCTCTGTATCTAGCTCATCTAGTGGGGACTTGGAGAACTTTTATGTCTAGCTAGAGAATTGTAAATGCACCAGTCAGCACTCTGTGTCTAGCTCAGGGATCGTAAACGCACCAGTCAGCACCCTGTCAAAATGGACCAATCAGCTGTCTGTAAAATGGACCAATCAGCAGGATGTGGGTGGGGTCAGATAAGGGAATAAAAGCAGGCTGCCCAAGCCAGCAGCGGCAACCCACTTGGGTCCCCTTCCGCATGTGGAAGCTTTGTTCTTTCGCTCTTCGCAATAAATCTTGCTGCTGTTCACTCTTTGGGTCCGCGCCGCCTTTATGAGCTGTAACACTCACTGCGAAGGTCTGCAGCTTCACTCCTGAAGCCAGCGAGACCACAAACCCACTGGAAGGAATGAACAACTCCAGGTGTGCCACCTTTAAGAGCTGTAACACTCACTGTGAAGGTCTGTAGCTTCACTCCTGAAGTCAGCGAGACCACGAACCCACCAGTAAGAAGAAACTTTGGACACACCATCTTTAAGAACTTTAACACTCACTGCGAGGGTCCGCGGCTTCATTCTTGAAGTCAGTGAGACCGAGAACCCACCAATTCCAGACACAATAGTTTCACCTAATGTCAAGTATTGGATTACTTTCAAATCATTTTTATTCCCTGTGAACAAATAGATTTAGAGAGAACCCTTTGCAATATGTGAATAGTTTAGGTCAAATAATGGTGTTAAAGAGCATAGTCCCCATGAGACTGCCCTTACTTTTGACATTGACTGCAAGTGTAGGGGTTCCCAAGATCACCCTTAAGTTCAATAATTTGTTAGAAGGACTCAACTCACTGAAAGATGTTATACTCACACTTATAGTTTATTACAGGAAAAGAGTACATATTAAAATCAGCCAAGGGAAGAAGTGCATAAGGTGGAGTCTGGGGAGTTATCAAATGCAGAGCCTCTGTTGTCTTTTCCCCTCAGAATCAGTCTGTTAGTCTCCTGGCATTGATGTATGATAATACGGGTGTAGCATTGCCAACCAGGGAAGCTCATGTGAGCCTTGATGTTCAGAGTTTTTATTGGGGCTCCGTGATAGGGGCATGATTGATTGTCCATATGGCTGATCTCATTCTTTTGTCTCCTGTCCCTCCAGTCATGACCCAAAGCCCCCACTCTAAATCACATTATTACTACATGGCTAGCTCAAGGCCCATGAGCAGAGACCTTAGAGATTACATCCTAGAAGCTGAGGTCAAAGACAAATTATCTTGGGGCCTTTTGGGGCAAGGTTAAATTCTTTACAGAAATAATGTGAATAATACTGGTTTCCAAAATGAATGTATGTGTAAAGCTAAATTTGGATATTAACCTAGTAGCTATGACATACTGCAACTGAAACTTTCTAGTAATTAAAACTCAGAATTCCTTGAAAGTACAATTGACTCTGACTATAATATTCTCCAGCCAGAGAGGCTACTAGGATGGTTTTTTAAAAAATACTTTGAGGTCTACTAATTCTGTTATACCCCACATTCCTGTCACTCTTGGTAAGTGCCCAAATATTAGCCTCTCTGGTCATTAAAAAGAAAAAATTTTCATCTTTATGCTGTTTAGGACTTCCATTCTCCTAAACCTAAACATTTCTTCCTTTTCTTCCCCAATTTTTGTTTGGTGCTTCTGGTGCCCAATTTTGTACTACATAAATTCTCTTTAATATCTTTAACTAAAAACTGTGATTCCCTGCAGACAGTGCTTTTAATGAAGTCTTAAGTAGAGCTTGTTTTTTGACTCACTGTCTACTAGAGATTTAGGGTAAGATTTGGCATATTCCTTATTTGCTAGGGCAGCTTCTACTCTAATACTTATATTCTTATATTCTTTTTGCAGGAGGAGAAGTTTGTTAAAAAGCTTTAGAGCAGGAGGAAAGAAAGGAAAGTGCATTTGGAAGAGAGCCAAGTGAGCAACTTGAAGAATAAGTGCCCTGTTTAACCATGATCCTAGGACTTTATAAACTGGCATCTCGTGCCCCTTTCTCGTGATTCTTCCCTTAGGGTGGGCTGCCTGCATCCATAGTGCCCTTCTTACCCTTGGGAATTGAGCACACACAGTGTGTTTGGGAAATTGTACACATGCCCATCTGAGGCTTTCTTTCCTTTTCTGGTGGAGTGCCCCAGTAAGGTCATAATCCACCATTTTGCCTCTTAATGTGTGTATTAGTCTGTTTTCACACTGCTGATAAAGATGTACCTGAGACTGGGGAGAAACTTACAGATCCACATGCCTGGGGAGGCCTCACAATCATGGCAGAAGGCAAGGAGGAGCAAGTTACCTCTTACATGGATGGCCGCAGACAGAGAGCTTGTGCAGGGAAACTCCCAATTTTAAAACCATCAGATCTTGTGAGACTTATTCACTGTCTTGAGAACAGCATGGGAAAGACCCACTCCCGTGATTCAGTTATCTCCCACTGGGTCTCTCCCACAACATATGGGAATTATGGGAGCTACAAGATGAGATTTGGGCGGGGACACAGAGCCAAGCCATATCAATTTGCATGCCTGGGCTCAATCGCCCAATACCTGAGATTTTATTGGAAGCCTTTTTTGCTTCTCCTTGGTGCCTGCATTTAATTAACACTTTAACAGCTGTGGATCAACAGGAGATTGTCTCTGCCTGGCACAGCTGCCAAATTATCATTTTTAGAGAAGCAGTATGATAATTGTCCAGCCACCACCTGACATTCCTACTGGGTCGGCGAGAAGAGCCCTCTCCTGCCTTGCTCATGCCGGTCTAACTACCTGTAACATTTCCCTCCTCAAGAGCCCAAGACCACAAATCTTTGAGGAAAAATGGATGAAGATCAGTCTTCTGTAACTGCTTTCTGCTGACAGAGGGGTGGTGTTGGTTCTGTGAGTATTGGCCTCTTGCTAGCTCTCAGGGCAGGAGGGTGACTCTTTGGGTGGTAAAAGCAGTATCTATCCAGGTCCAAGGGAGACAGGGGCAGGATTTTGCCTTCTTCCTGTCCCACTGATGGACATTCTAGGGGTCCCCTTTAGAAGCCTGCCTCTTGGGTATTGAGAGAACAGTATCTCTCACTGAGGATTTTTATACTTATATTCTTTCTGATAGTCATAGTTACTGAAAGTATAATTGGCCAGGCATGGTGGCCCACGCCTGTAATCCCAGCACATTGGGAGGCCAAGGTGGGCAGATCACCTGAGGTCGGGAGTTTGAGACCAGCCTGAGCAACATGGAGAGACCCCGTCTCTACTAAAAATACAAAATTAGCCAGGCATGGTGGTGCATGCCTGTAATCCCAGCTACTCAGGAGGCTGAGACAGGAGAATCGCTTGAACCTGGGAGGCGGAGGTTGCTGTGAGCCAAGATCATGCCACTGCACTCCAGCTCTAGGCAACAAGAGCAAAACTCCATCTTAAAAAAAAAAAAGTGTAATCCTTCTCTCATTCTCTTCTTTGTTCACTTTTTTTCTCACTTGTTAAAGATGTTGGCACTTCCTGTTCCCTCTAGTTCTACCCACCACCTTGGATAACTTCAGAGTTCACATAGACAATAAACTTTAACATCCCAGTGTGTCTGGAATTGGTGGGTTCTTGGTCTCGCTGACTTCAAGAATGAAGCCGCGGACCCTTGTGCTGAGTGTTACAGTTCTTAAAGATGGTATGTCCGGAGTTTGTTCCTTCAGATGTTCAGATGTGTCCGGAGTTTCTTCCTTCTGGTGGGTTTGTGGTCTCGCTGACTTCAGGAGTGAAACTGCAGACCTTCGCGGTGAGTGTTACAGCTCTTAAAGGCAGTGTGTCTGGAGCTGTTTATTCCTTCCAGTGGGTTCGTGGTCTCACTGGCCTCAGGAGTGAAGCTGCAGACCTTTGTGGTGAGTGTTACAGTTCATAAAGGTGGCGCGTCCGGAGTTGTTTGTTACTCTCATCCGGAGTTGTTCGTCCCTCCTGGTGGGTTCATGGTCTCACTGCCTTCAGGAGTGAAGCTGCAGACCTTCATGGTGAGTGTTACAGCTCATAAAGGCGGTGCAGACCCAGAGTGAGCATCAGCAAGATTTATTGTGAAGAGTGAAAGAACAAAGCTTCCACAGCGTGGAAGGGGAACCGAGCGGGTCGCCGGCTGCTGGCTGGGGTGGCCTGCTTTTAATCCCTTATCTAGCCTCACCCACATCCTACTGATTGGTCCATTTTACAGAGAGCTGATTGGTCCATTTTATAGAGAGCTGATTGGTCCGTTTTGACAGAGTGCTGATTGGTGCATTTACAAACCTTTGGCTAGACACAGAGTGCTGATTGGTGCATTTACAATCCTTTAGCAAGACACAAAAGTTCTCCAAGTCCCCTACCCAATTAGCTAGACACAGAGTGCTGATTGGTGCGTTTACAAACCTTTAGCTAGACACAGAGTGCTGATTGGTGCATTTACAAACCTCTAGCTAGACACAGAGTGCTGATTGGTGCATTTACAAACCTTTAGCTAGACAGAAAAATTCTCCAGGTCCCCACCTGACCCAGAAGCCCAGACGGCTTCACCTCTCAATGGCAGTCGCCGTGGGACTTTGCACCACCTAGCCCGGGCACTCTGGCAGCCCAGAAGGAGCACATCCCCCGATCAAGCCCAGCAGGTGCTGGCTGGCCATGCCCAGTGCAGGGCCTGCCGAGCCTGTGCTCACCTGGAACCCGCACTGGCCTGCGAGTGCTGCACGAAGCCCCAGCTCCCACCCGTGCCTCTCCCTCCACACCTCCCCACAAGCAGAGGGAGTCAGCTCTGGTCTTGGCCAGCCCCAGGTAGGGGCCCCCATAGCGCATCGGCAGGCTGAAGGGCTCCTCGAGCACAGCCAGAGTGGACACCGAGGCTGAGGAGATGCCAAGAGTGAGCAAGGGCTGCTAGCACATTGTCACCTCTCAATCCCCCCTCTAAACAGGACACCCCAACTGCTGTTGGGAATTTGGCCGATGACCACTCTAGCTACTTCCTGCTGGATAGGGGCAAAGAAGGGGCCCTGCAGTTATAGTGTCCTCCAGAGGGGAGCTCTTTAGGCCAGTGGAAGGGCCAGCGGATCGGTCCAGGGGTCCTCGGTAGAAGTTGTTAGTTGAGCTCATTTGGGGTTCCATTTGTAAGATCATCAGTTGAGCTTGATGGCCTCAATTCTAGAGGAAACAAATTTGACAAGAAGGTTAAAAATACAGGGTCCAAAGGTGAGTAACAGCAAGATGGCTGCCATGGGACCTAGAAAGGGGAGAAGCCATGTTGCCCAACTCCAGAGGTTGGTATAAGAGTTTGAAAGGCGTTGTCTGATTTCAGAAGCCTTTTCCTGTAAATGCCGGGTGGCATCTTCTACTATCCCTTACTGGTTAGTGTAAAAACAACACTCTTCCCCTAAGAAGGTGCAGAGTCCTCTTTTCTCAGCAGCGAGGAGGTCTAGGCCTTGGTGGTTTTGGAGAGTCACTGCTGCCAAAGAGTCTATTTGGGATTGTAGAGTAAGGATAGATTTCATCACTTCCTGCAAATTGTCTGAGAAATCCTTTGAGAGTGTGTGGCAGTAGGATAATACATGTTACACTGTTAATTTTTAGTAAACCTTACTTTAGTTGAAAACCTTGTAAGTTTGGGATTTTAGTTTTTCTTTGCTGTTAATAAGACCTCATTCAGTCCATATTAACTTAAAATTGGTATAGATGGCTCCTTCCTGATTCTGTAAGTACTTTAAGGTTTGGCTGAGTGCAAACAGCTCACACGTTTGAGGAGACCAATTATTAGGCAATTTTCTTAACTCTGCTTCTATAAGAGTTTCATTTTCTCTTAGTGAATACCCATTGTGTCTTTTTTTCCTTAATCGCCTGGGAGGAACCATCTATCATCCTGTCCTGTAGGGAGTTCCTCCTAGATCTGGTCGGACCTTTGTATGGTAATTAAGATTTAGATGTCCTGTTAGGAAACCTGCTGGGTTAAGAATTTTTGATAGGAAGGCTACGGATTGTCAGTGGCCTCAGTGCTTTCGGGCTATGCCCTTGTTTACACTGACAACAAGGTGGTATTGGATTGTTATAGGGTTACAGGGAAGACCTTCAATTATCAATTGTGGGTTTTAAATTTACCCTGGCTTTTAAAGGAATAGGGTACACTGTTTTTTCTTTACTACTTCCATCTCTCTTTCTTTCTCTTTGACTTCTCCTTTGTCTCTCTCTTTCTCTCTTTCTGACTCCCTCTTTGTCTGTCTCTTCCTCTCTTTGTACTTCTTTCTTTGACTTTTTGTCTCTCTGGTTCTCTCCTTGATTAGAGTATAGAGGGGCCTGGCTATCTCGCTGTGTCCGGGGATCCATAGTCAGCAAACGCTGATGATTCCAGGGAACCCTTGCAACTGTTTTAATGTCTTAGGGTGAGGATAAGCCAGTATAGGCTGTATATGTTCCTTGCTGAGGGCCCTGGTCCCTCTAGCTAAGATTAGACCTAGATATTTGACCTGCTATAGGAAAAGCTGGGCCTTCGGCCTAAACACCTTGTACCCTTGATTAGCTAGAAAGTTCAAGAGATCTAGAGTAGCTTGCTGGCACGAGGCTTCTGAACTGGTAGCCAAAAGTAAATCATCCACGTACTGAAGGACCAGAGTGCCTGGACTTGAGAAGTAACCTAGATCTTGGGCCAGTGCCTGACCAAACAGATGAGGGCTATCCTTAAACCCTTGGGGCAAGACTGTCCACATAAGTTGGGACATGTGGTCTGTGGGATCCTCAAAGGCAAAAAGAAACTGGGAGTCAGAGTGCGGGGGAATACAGAAGAAGGCATCCTTGAGGTCCAGAACAGTGAACCATTCTGCTTCCTCTGGTATTTGAGAGAGCAGGATATAGGGGTTGGGTACAACTGGATATAGAGGAATTACTGCCTCATTGATGAGTCTAAGATCTTGGACTAGTCTCCACTGACTGTTTGGTTTTTGTACTCCTAGAATTGGGCTGTTGCAGGGACTGCTGCATTTCTTTACTAAGGCTTGAGCTTTTAAATATTTAACAATATCCTTTAATCCTTTATGAGCTTCAGGCCTTAAGGGATATTGCCTTTGATAAGGAAAAGTGGTGGGGTCTTTTAGCCTGATTTGGACTGGGTGGGCATTTTTTGCTTTTCCAAATTGTCCTTCCAATGCCCAGACTTCAGGGTTTATTCCCTCTTCAGGTAGGGGACAACAAATGGGTAACTTGTTCCCCATATTCATGTAGATAATAGCTCCAGCTTTGGCTAATGTATCCCTCTCTAATAAGGGTGTGGGACTTTCAGGCATAACAAGAAAGGCATGTGAAAAGAGAAAGTCTCCCAATTACGACTGAGGAGTTGGGAGAAATACCTGGTTACAGGCTGTCCCAGGATTCCTCAGATGGTAATGGACCTTGAGGACAGTCGTCCAGGACAGGAGATTAACAATGAGAAGGCTGCGCCAGTGTCTAGGAGGAAGTCAATTTCCTGGCCCTCAATGGTTAAAGGTACCTGGGGCTGAGTGAGGGTGATGACATGAGCTGGCGCTTGTTCCGGGCACCCTCAGTCCTGTTGTTGGATCATCTGGTTGGGGGCCTCTGACCCAGAGAACCTTTGTTCTCTGGGGCAGTGCACCTTCCAGTGATTGCCTTGGCATAGCAGACATGGACGAGGGGGCGGCTTGTTTCTCATTGGACAATCTTTTTTAAAGTGTCCTAGTAAACCACACTGATAAGCCCTACCGGGTGATTGGCCTGCTCCATTTTCTGTCCTCTCTGAACCACCAAGGTTTGTTTGTCTGAGGGCCATGACTAAGGCTGCGGTCTTTCTCTGATCTTGCTTTTCCTTTTGGGCCTGTTCCTCTTGGTCCCTGTTATAGAATACTGAGGTTGCCAGGTTTAATAATGTCTCCAAATTTTGTTTAGGGCCCAGGGCTTGCTTTTGGAACTTTCTCCTGATATCTGTGGCTGATTGGGTAATAAACTTATCTTTTAGAATCAATTGACCCTCAAGTGATTTGGTTGACAGGGGAGTATATTTTCTTAAGGCCTCCCATAGCCGCTCGAGGGAGGCAGAAGGATTTTCTTCCTTTCCCTGAGTTATGGTGGACATCATTGAATAATTCATGTACTTTTTCCTAATTCTCCTTAGTCCTTCTAGAACACAGGTCAACAGATGTTTGCAACTGCAGTCCCCATGATCTGAGTCAAGGTCCCAGTGGGGATCCATACTGGGGACAGCTTGCTGACCGTTAGGGATTTTGCCCCTTTCTTCAGCTGTCATTCTGTCATTTACTTGACTAAGATACCAAGTATCTCCAAACTCTTGGGCTGCAGCTAAAGCTGCATTCTTTTCATTAAAGGCCAGGGTTTGATCTAACAATAGCATGACATCTCTCCAAATGAGATAGAAGATTTGTCCTAGACCCTGTAGGACATTTATGTACCTATCAGGATCATCTGAAAAATTCCCCAGGTCTGCCTTGATCTGCTTTAAATCAGAGAGGGAGAAGGGGACATGTACCCAGGTTGGGCCAAATTCCCCTCCCCCTACAGCTTGAAGGGGACATAACCGATAGCCCAGGGGTTTTTGTTGTCCTTTGGAGATTTCTTCGCATATTTCCTTCTGGGCAGGGGAGATTAGAGGAGGATTATCGTTAATAGGACGGGGAGCTATAGGGAGGCTAGGATATGGGGGTAAGCTGATAGGTCCTCCTGTGGGATGTAAATGGCAAGCTTTGCATAGTTGTGTATTCTCCTTCAATGAAAAGAAAGCTTGGACATAACTTATTTCACTCCATTTGCCTTCCCTCTTACAGAAAAGGTCAAGCTGCAGGATAGTATTGTAATTTGTACTTCCCTCAGGTGGCCATTTTTCCCCATCAGAGAGAGAGTATTGGGGTCAGGCTGTAGCACAGAAAAAAAATGTGTCACCTCTTTTTCAGGGTTTATGGGTCAAATTGGTCCCAATGGCTTAGGATGCATTTCAAGGGTGAGCCTGTTGATGCCTGAGTGTTTCCTATCTGAATGACAAAACCGCCCGCAGATTTGGTTTGTTTGTTTCTCCCCCTGCCCAAGAACCTGCAATGGTCCCTGGACCCTGCTGATTGGAATAGTTGCACTCACCGATGCAGCAGCAGAAACAACCCCTGCCCAAGAACCCACAACAATCCCTGGACCCTGCTGATCGGAATAGTTGCGCTCACCAACGCAGCAGCAGAAACACTAGCTTTTCTCCCAGACCACAAGGAGGACTAAGGAAGGTCGGATTTAGTGACCCTTACTGACGCATTCTCGAAAACCTGCACCCTTTCCTGTCCTCCTAGACCACAAGGAGGACAGAGAAAAATCAGATTTAGTGGCTGTTACAGACGCATTCTCGAAAACCTGTTAGAGTCCTAAACATTCTCCTGTTAGTACTGGAACCTTACCCGTGTCCTATAAAGATGTTATGCCCCCAGAATGAAGTGGAGGGCCATACCCTGATGGAGGGAAGGGATCTCCAGGGTTGGAAGAGTGACACCTTTTGTCTTCACTTATATGAATAGGAAGGATACAATTTCTGAGGCTCCCCATATCCTAGCTTCAGGAATAGCTTTTGTTAGGCCTGCTTGTCTGAGGAGGGATCCTAAAATTCCGGATAGTTCCCCCTACAATGGGGCTTTGGGAAAAATTATGTCTTTCTGATTGGTGAGCCTGGGTGCCTAAAGAAGGAAATAGAGTCCTGGAGTTTATACTAGAAATCATTCTTATAGGAGAAACTAGAAAAGCACCAGAGACAGGGAGTGATTTTTAGAAGCAGGACTAACCTCGGAGAAGAGAGGTGAGGGGAAGTTTGTCTGACAGGCATTAGGACCCAGGAGGCAAGGGTCAGGATAGATAGGATAGATGGGTGAGTCTCGCTTGGGCGACATGCCTTTGAGGGTTCCGCTCATGGCCACAGGGTCAACCAACTTGTTGTTCGGACCCCGGAGCTGAATGGCTTTCCTCTCTGTCGACCCTTGGCTCGGCCCAGAAGTACAGGAAAAGTGGAAGCTGGTTCTAGGCAAACCAACGCTCCCAACTCCAAAGAGTCAGGGGATGTTAGAGAGCCCCTTCCCAGAAAGCCTGACACCCGTGTCTTTAGTCTGGTTGCCGCGCTAGTAGCTTTTAACTGGCCGACAGGTGCCCGGTATTTAGCCCCTGAATTCTAAGGAGAAACAGGACAGAATAGCAAGCAAAAGGGGTCCAGTGGTACTCACCGCTCGGCGATAGGTGATAGTCTTACTGCTTGGCAATAGGCGATAGTCTTACTGCTTGGCGATAGGTGATAGTCCCTTCGTGGTTGCAAAAATGTGTCTGGAATTGGTGGGTTCTTGGTCTCGCAGACTTCAAGAATGAAGCCGCAGACCCTCACGGTGAGTGTTACGGTTCTTAAAGATGGTGTGTCCAGAGTTTGGTCCTTCAGATGTTCAGATGTGTCCAGAGTTTCTTCCTTCTGGTGGGTTTTTGGTCTTGCTGACTTCAGGAGTGAAGTTGCAGACCTTCGCGGTGAGTGTTACAGCTCTTAAAGGCAGTGCGTCTGGAGTTGTTCATTCCTTCCGGTGGGTTCATGGTTTCGCTGGCCTCAGGAGTGAAGCTGAAGACCTTCGCGGTGGGTGTTACAGTTCATAAAGATGGCACATCCGGAGTTGTTTGTTCCTCCCGTCTGGAGTTGTTCATCCCTCCCAGTGGGTTCGTGGTCTCGCTGGCTTCAGGAGTGAAGCTGAAGACCTTCGCAGTGAGTGTTAGAGCTCGTAAAGGTGGTGCAGACCCAAAGAATGAGCATCAGCAAGATTTATTGTGAAGAGCAAAAGAACAAAGCTTCCACAGCATGGAAGGGGACCCGGAGCGGGTTGCTGGCTGCTGGCTGGGGTGGCCTGCTTTTATTCCCTTATCTGGCCCCACCCACATCCTACTGATTGGTCCATTTTACAGAGAGCTGATTGGTCCGTTTTGACAGAGCACTGATTGGTGCATTTACAAACTTTTAGCTAGACACAGAGCGCTGATTGGTGCATTTACAAACCTTTAGCTAGACAGAAAAGTTCTCCAGGTCACCACCCAACCCAGAAGCCCAGATGGCTTCACCAATGGTACTCGCCGCAGGACTTTGCAGCACCTAGCCCCGGCACTCTGGCAGCCCAGAGGGAGTTCGTCCCCTGATCAAGCCCAGCAGGCACTGGCTGGTTGCGCCCAGTGCGGGGCCTGTGGAGCCGTGCCCACCCAGAACCTGTGCCAGCCTGTGAGTGAGGCACGCAGCCCTGGCTCCCACCCATGCCTCTCCCTTCACACCTCCCTGCGAGCAGAGGGAGCCAGCTCCGGCCTCGGCCAGCCCCAGAGAGGGGCCCCCACAGCACAGTGGCGGGCTGAAGCGCTCCTCGAGTGCAGCCAGAGAGGATGCCGAGGCCAAGGGGGCACCAAGAGTGAGTGAGGGCTGGTAGCATGTTGTCACCTCTCACCAGTGTTACCAAAACATCAGGGGTTTGGTCTGGGTCCTGTGGCTCTCTGCACAGAAAACCAGTCACTGAGAGAATGAGTATTGCCAGGGAAGAAGGCTTTAATCACGTGCAGCAGCTGAGACAATGGGAGATCAGTCTCAAATCCATCTCCTTGACCAACTAAAATTGGGGGTTTATTATAGCAGGGAAGAAATGTAATTATGTGTGGGAAAACAGGAACTAGGGAGGGGTAAGGAAGAGGAACTGGTTAACGAGAAGCAGGTGACCACTTAGGAACATAGGAATTAGGGAGGGGTAAGGGAGCAACCTGATGGATGAAGGGTCTGCCATCTCATTGTCTGGATGTGGTGATCTGGTGAGTTTCAGTTCTTTGATACTTTTTGAGAAGGCTGAGGATCATTTCCTGAGAAAGGAACTTAAATAAGACAAACGTTAGTTTTAAGCTTTAAGACCAGAAGGGTCAATTTCTATATTTATTTTAAAAAACTACTGGGTTGGTTTCACTAGCCTTTTTAGTTTCTTCCCTTTCTCAACTTGAGTGCCCTTGAACTCCACTCTCATGGCACACCAGGAATTTTATCCCCTTGAAGTATTCATCTTAATTACCTTACCATAGTTTTTCGTCTTTGAGTTCTTTTATTAAGGCCATTATATGTCAGATTCCTTGACTGTTTCACTCTTTCTGTACCTTTCATTTTTTTCCTAACATGTTTATATATGGCACATTATGTCACTGGCTTGCTGATAATTTCAGCTCCTTCGTATCTTTCCCTTTCAGTTGTGCCACAAACCCATTGGTACATTCCTTTTACTCTAAACCCATAAACTCCAGTTTAGAATGGATTCAGCATTCGACTTTCTCTATTCTTACGCTTGGGCTGCTGGGTGCTGCTAGAGATGTCCTTTTAAGTGGCATGTGGATGGCACTATGAATTAATGATTTCTAGCCTTGCTCAACAACCCGTAGGAAATTTTTCTTCTATTTTTTTTCTCTCTTGCTTAGAAACCTGTTATTCTAGGCAGCCCTCTCTTTTATTCTCCGTAGGAACTATTTAAAATCTGCTTTGTTATTCTGAAGACCTCTGTCCTTCTACCTCTCCCTTTACTTTTAATGCATGATTCCATTTTCTGTTTCACAAAGAAAATTAAATTTATATGGTGCAAACTTTCTCAATTACCAGCCAGCCTCCTTAAAAATGTATCTGTATCTGAATTCATTCTTGCCCTCTTCCCTTCTGTATCTGGTTCTTAGTCTTTACTAACTCTTTTCCATCAGCATTTAAACATGCATGTGGAAGACAGTACTGATTGGCTATGTAGAAACTATTCCCAGCCCCTGTCTCTTTACTGCTTAAAAGTAGGTCTAGAAAGTCAAAAGATAATCTAGTTGCTCTTAGAGCTGAGTGTGGCCATGTGAACCAGTTCTAACCAATGAGACACAAGGAACAGTCTGTGGAGATAGCCTCTATGTAAGATGTTTTGCTTCCTAATAGAAAGGCAGGTTTTGTTCTTCCTCTTTCTTTGTAGGGAATATAAAGACATGATCAACTTGGCAGTGGTAGCCATTTTGTGGCAGAACAAGAAGATAGAAAGACCAAAGCCTTGGCCTTTGATGATATCTCTGAGACTTTGAAAAAAAAACAACAACTTAGTCTTTTTGCATCTCTGTGAAGGAATACCTGAAACTGGGTAATTTCTTAAGCAAAGAGGTTTAACTGGCTGATGGTTCTGCAGGGCATACAAAGAAGCATGGTGCCAGCATCTGCTTCTGGTGAGGGCCTCAGGAAGCTTACAATCGTGGTGGAAGGCAAAGGTGGGGAGCAGGCGCAGCACATGGTGACAGCAGAAGGAAGAGAGACAGGCGGGAGACCCCAGATTCTTCTAAACAACCAGATCTTGCGTGAACTAACCGAGCGAGAACTCACTTATCACCAAGAGGATGGTGCTGAGCCATTCATGAGGGAACTGCTGGCGTGATCCACTCACTTCCCATCAGGCCTCACTTCCAACATTGGGAATCACATTTCAGCATGAGATTTGGAGGGGAGAAACATCCACACCATACCACAAATAAAAAGTCCCAGAGTTGTCTACTTTCAGACTTTTTAAAAAAGTAAATAATAAATGCCCTAATAGTTTAAGCATTGTTAGGTTTTCTGTTACTTGCAGCTGCAGTCATCTTAAGTTATGATGTATAAGTTTTTCCCAGTTTTAAAAAACAACAAACGAGAAATAAGTAACACTGCCTTGACTCTATGACTTCCACTAAACACCAGCCTAAACTTTCTTCTCACTTAAGCCAAACTCTTCGAAAGAATTTACTAAATCAGTCTCTCACTCCCTCATCTACCATATACTTCTGTTTATATTCAGCTCTACCATGCTTTAGTCAGGGTTGGGTCACCAGAGATGCCTTTAAAAATTCCTGTATATACTTTTCAATTCTTATTTTAAATGATCTCTTTATACTATTTGATCTACTGATCGTAAAGTTTCCCTAATACTACATTCTCTTGTGGCGTCTACCTTTTATCCTCTCTTTCTCATTCTGCTTTATAGTTTCCCTTTTCTCTGCTCATTTCTTAAATATCAGTCCTTAACATGGGTATAATTATTCCACTTTTATAGGCTTAGAAACTAAATAAGCTAAGGTCATGTACAGTCATGTTTTGCTTAACAACATGGATATTTTCTGAGAAATTTGTCCATAGGCAATTTTGTCATTGTGCGAACATCATAGAGTGTACTTCCACAAACCTAGATAGTATAGCCTACCACACACCTAGGCTCTATATGGCATAGCCTATTGCTCCTAGGCTACAAAATTGAACAGCATGTTATTGTACTGAATACTATAGGGAATTGTAACACAATGGTAAATATTTGTGTATCTGAACATACCTAAACATAGGAAAGGTACAATAAAAATACAGTGTAAAATATGAAAAATGGTGCCCCTGTGTAGGGCACTTACCATGCATGGAGCTTGCAGGACTGAAAGTTGCTGTGGGTGAGTCAGTAAGTGAGTGGTGAGTGAATGTGATTGCCTAGAACATTGCTGTACACTACTGTAGACTTTATAAACATTGTACACTTAGGCTACACTAAATTTATTTAAAAAATTTTCTTTCTCTCAATTATAAATCTGCCTTAGCTTACTGTAACTTTATTACTTCATAAACTTTTTAAGTTGCAAAAAACGTTTTGACTCATAATATTTATACCACAAACACATTATACATCTGTACGGAAATATTTTCTTTCTTTACATCCTTTTTTCTGTAAGCTTTTTTTTTCTGTTAAAATTTTTTTTTCTTTTACTTAAAAAATTTTTTTTGGTCAAAAACTTAGACACAGACACTCATATTAGGCTAGGCCTACATGGGTCAGGATTAGCAGTATCATTGTCTTCCACCTCCACATCTTGTCCCACTGAAAGGTCTTCAGGGACAGTAACATGCATGAAGCTGTCATTTCCTATGATAACAATGCCTTCTTCTGGAATACCTTTTGAAGGACCTGCCTGAGTCTGTTTGACAGGTAACTTTGTTTTCTTAATAAGGGAAGGAATACACTCTATAGTAATGATAAAAAGTATACTGTAGTAAATAAACCAGTGACATGGTCCTTTATTATCATCATCACCATCACCCAGTATTATGTACTGTACCTAATTGTATATGTTACACTTTTATGTGACTGGCAGTGCAGTAGATTTGTTTATACCAGCATAACCACACTTATGAGTAATTTGTTGTGCTATGATGTTAAGACAGTTATGACTTTACAACAGCTATGATGTCACTAGGCAATAGGAATTTTTCAGCAGCTCCATTATAATCTTAAGGGACCATTGCCTATGTGGCCCATTATTGACCAAAATATCCTTCTCTGCACATAACTGTAATTAGTAAATGGTGCAGCCAACATTTGAACAGAGTCTAAAACCTCTGCAATTCATCTCTAGGAACCTTTTCTGATTTTGTGCTCATTCTGGGCAATGCCTAATGGAAAGCTCTGCTTGACTGTCCTATGGATATCTCAAAGTCCCAAAGTCCAGATTAGAATTCATCACTCATCTACCTGAAAGTCTTCCTTCTTTTCTTGTGACAGAGACTTAATGATTGACACTACCAACCACCTAGCTGCTCAGGCTAAAATCCTGAGTGTCACCCTTGACTCATCCTTCTTTCTTTCCCACTGTTTGTACTTATGGTGTTCATTTCTCCCATCTCTGCTGCTATCCTTCCCTACAATGTCCACCCTTTTCTGTTTTTTGGGAAAGCTGTAACAGACTCTTTACCTATATTCCTATATAATCTGAGATATTCTGACTAATCTTACTAAAATTCAGATCTCATCAAGTTACTTTCCTGATTTATACCCTTTTGTGGCACCTTGTTTTTTGGACAAAAGTTCAAAATCTAACCTAGGAAAAAGGTCCTTCTTTATCTAATCAGGGCACATTTTCCCACTTCTACTCTCTGTTCCAGCTGTCTTAAGCAGTTTGATATTCCTGAATTCACTTTGCTGTCTCTTGCTTCTGGGCCTTCCCTCCTGCTTTCCTGTCTTGCTGGAATACCCTGTTCTTAACTAACTCCATCTTATCCTTCATGTCTTAGCTTAGATGTTACTCCTTTGGGAAAGCCTTGTGTGGTAACCTCTCACTTCATATTAAGTGCTCTTGTGTTCTGCAGCATGTTGAAAGGGCCACACATTCTCTTGTCTCAGGGCCTTTATACATGCTGCTTCCTGTGCCTTCTTTTCCCTACCTCTACCTGGTTGCTATTCATTCCAGACAGTGCTCTGTGGTAGACCCACATTTTCCCCTATCATAGCAAGAAATTCTTCTCTTCACTTTGTGACATTTCAGACAGTTTTTATTGCATTCCTGTGTTTTAGAAATTTAGAATTTTGAAGCTTGCTTTTAATTTGTGGCTCCTTCACTCTTAATCTAAGCCTTAAAAAGAAACACCACTACCAAAACAACCCCAAGCCTGTTCCTTAGCTTTATGCTTCTCCAGGCAAGCTGACATTGCCTAACTCAAGAATCGATTTTGTGTCAGAAGTCAGCTGATGGTGTTTGTTTAAAAAAAAAAAATGGTATTTTCAGCTTTCGGCCCCGACTACTGAACCTGACAAGTTCTGACATCTCTTCTCTTGGCTGCCTCTCACTTTTTTTTCTGTTTCCATGGAAATGGACATCAGATCACAGAAACATAGTAAGATACTAGTGGCTAATTGCTGTTGCAGAATTCAAAATTCTTTTTGTTTGTGGAGTGATTATTTTGGTGACTCTTACCCACTGTGTAGTATGTGGTAGTTAGCCAAAACATCTAAGGCAATTTATGGGTTTGAGAGCTAGAAGATGCTTTCCAAGAGTCACTAACTGGTATCCTAAAATATATTCTCTTTTTTTATCTTTCACGGAAAACATATTTTAAGAACTATAATCTTGTCAGAGAAGAACATTAGATTTCAAGCCAGGAGATCCAGCCCTAGTCCCAGATCTGCTGCTATCTCACTGTTTGACCTCTGTCAATTTTGTTATATTTATTGAATGAACAATTGCTGCTACTTAGACTTGGGGCTGTTTACAAGTGTCCCAGGGAAAAGACTGTCTTTCTGCCAGTGTGCTTTAATAGCAAAGATAGAAATAAAATATATAACTAATCTTAGTTAAGAAAATCAAACCCAAGTTTCTAAACATCTAAATGGAAAAATGCTTTTAATCTCAGGCCTTTATTTTTTGCCTTCTGGAAAATGATCAGAATAAGATTCTGTCATATGGCCAGAAATGTTGGTGTAAGATTATATTTTTAATATACATGTGGTTTCTTAAGACAAGTACAGCCTATCTTACAGCAAAGTGATTAAAATTGTAGTAAAAAAATTCTATTAATTTTCCATTTAGTGAGGGGAGTTATTACATTACTTATATAATTTGTATTTTATTCAGATCCAGGATGTATGAGGAGTTGCCACAGTCATATACCTTTGTGTCAGGCTTATCTTTACTAGGTCAGGATTTCTTCATAAATCTAAATTTAGAACTTGGAAAGCCAGGTTTTGTTAAGTGCAAAAAGGGACTGGCATGTACATATAAAAAAGATTAGTGTTTGCTGAGCTGCTTCTTCAGCACGTAGTGTCTGCTCTATATCAAATGAACCTGAGTAATTGAAATTGAGTATGAACAGAATAAATCTCTTTTTTGCATGACTACACAGAATAAAATAGAGATGCATCTCAATTTATGATGAAGTTATGTCTCGATTAACCCATCGTTAAGTTGAAAATATCGTAAGTCAAAAATGCATTTAATACACCTAACCTACCAAAAATCACAGCTTAGCCTGGCCCACATTAAACGTGGTCTGAACACATACATTAGCCTACATTTGGGCAAAATGATATCCAAAAAGTGCTGGCAACACAGCACACTAAAGAATATGTGTTGTTTACCCTCATGACTGAATAGCTGGGAACTGATTTGTTGCTGCCGCCCTGCATCGCCAGAGAGTGTCATACTGCCTGTATGTCACCAGTCCAGGAAAAGATAAAGATTCAAAATTTGAAGTATAATTTCTACTGAATATGTATTGCTTTCATACCATCGTAAAGCCAAAAAATCATAAGTTGAGCCATTGTATGTGTGGGACAATCTGTATAGGTTTATACTGAACTCTCACTTATAATTGCAAGTATATAGACATAAGTCATACAGGTTAAGACATTATAAATAAATTAAATGGGAAATAATCCATTTTATACTTTATAATTCAGTCAGACATTCCTAAAGGAAAAAAAAAAAACTACCTTATTTAATTTGCTGTGAATTTAGTCTCCCATAAAGAACTGCACTAGACTTGGAGTCTGGTCCTGTCACTTCCCACAGTTTGTGAGACAGTTGCAGGCATCAGTAGATTCACCATAGGCCCCAGTGCTTTTAGGTGCATAGCATTAAAGCAAAAGTTTATTTTTGTAAATAAAAAAGTCTTATACTTGTGGTATAATTAGACAATAAGAAAAAAATATTCAAGAAAGAAATTATAATGGCCCATTACCCCATGATCAAAGTAAGCCACTATTAATTTTTTGGCATATTCTTTCAATTAAAAATATCTACCAGTGCATACAATGAGATCATGATAATGCTATACATGCTGCTTTTTAGCCAACTTACTTCATTATGCCATGTCATGAACATTTTACCCTGCTATTAATATTCTTTTAAAAATGATTTAAATAATGATATAGTATGCCATCTTGACTGATTTTATAATTTATTTAACTCTTAAGAGCTTATTGGATATTTAGATTGTTTACTTACATACAACATTGAGCAGGAGCCTATAAACTTTCTTTAATCCCTTTAGCCAATGTGGAAAGTGCCTAGATTATATGATTTTCCAGGCTAGTACCTTATTACTTTTACTTTGATTTATTCTCATCGCCCACTTCTCATAATTCTGTAAGTCCCACTAATTTTATCTTTGAAATCACTCTTAAATTTGTTCATCTCCATTCTCGCTATAATTGCAGTAGTTCAAGTCTTCGTCATCTAACTTGGAGTACTGCAATAATAACGTGCATAGCTGGTCTTCCTACCTCTGGACTCTTCTTTCAATGTATTACTCATCTTATGGTTAAAAATTATCTTTCTAAAACATGGATATAGTAATATATCCTCTGGTTTTAAAGTCTTTGATATTTTTTCATTGTCTGTGGCATAAGGCATTTGCCTGGTTTTCAAGGACATTCGTATTTTGGTCCTGTCTGTCCCTTTTAGCCTCATTATTCTCCTCTTTCCACATTCCACATAGGTAGCCTTCCCTGAAAACACTGAGGTGTTCTCAGAGTCCTTTGTGTACTTTGTTTCTTTTCCATTGCTTAGAACGTACTACCTCTCACCTCATTGGCTTCTTACTTTCTTCTTCAATGCTTCAGCTCAAATATTACCTATCCTTTAAAGCTGTGCTGTCCAATACAGTAACTACTAGCTATATGTGGCTTTTAAATTAAAGTAAAATAAAGTAAAAAAAATTCAGTTCATCAGTCGTAAGTATATTTCACATGCTCAGTAGTCACATGTGGCTAGTGGCTATTGTGTTGGACAGTACAGATTAAAGAAAATTTTTATCACTGCAGAAACTTCTATTGGACAGCACTGCTATAAAGTCTTTTATCAAATAATTAGTTTCCTCCTTAAAGTTTCCATAACCCTTACAATGAACCATTTAAAGAGCCCTTGAATTCCTTCATAGTAAGTGAGGGACACCAAGCCTTTTTCTTTTTATCACTAGCACCTAGAATAGTATGTGGCATGTAGTTCTATTTCAAGATGCGTTTGTTGGCTGATGAACAAATAAGTAAAAAATGACTCAAATTTTGGGGAGTCGTATGGGTTAATGGCAATGTTCGGAGGCTTTCAATTCTAAAGTAATGCTAATCCCCTTTTGTAAAGTGTGTAACTATTAGTTTTACTTCATTAGTACAAAGTCTTAGGCAAATTGCCCTGTTTCTCTGATGATTTTACTATCTAAATATTGGATATCTAAATATCTAAATACTGGGGAATTAAGTATGTTTGCCTTATAGAATTTAACATAAGGCCAACATTTACTGAGTGTGTGCCAGATATTTTAGACATTTCACAAAAGTATAAAGCATTTCCAGTAGATTCCATGCTATTGCCAGAGTTTATATTCCATGAATGGAGAGAACAAACGTTGAGCTGGCTTAGTATATGGCTGAAATTTTCACTGCTTTTATTTCATTTTCATAATAATTTTATTATGTAGGGTAATTTTTTTTTCTGTTTTTCAGATGAGGAAACAGAAGCATAGAAAAGCTAAGTAGCTTTCATAAGGTCACATATAGCTGGGAAGGGACTCTATTACACCTCAGGTGCATCTCTAGTAACGTTTTTTTTTTTAAACTTTTATTTTAGGTTCTGTGGTACATGTGCAGGTTTGTTATATAGGTGAACTCATGTCCCGGGGGTTTGTTGTACAGATTATTTTGTCACACAGGTACTAAGCCCAGTACCCAACAGTTTTTTTCTCTCCCTCCCCCCATTCTCCACCTTTAAGTAGACCCCAGTGTCTGTTGTTCCCCTCTTTGTATTCATGTGTTCTCATCTCTTAGCTCCCTCACTTATAAGTGAGAAAATGTGGTATTTGGTTTTCTGTTCTTGTGTTAGTTTGCTAAGGATAATGGCCTCTAGCTCCATCCACGTTCCTGCAAAATACATGACCTCATTCTTTTTTATGGATGCATAGTATTCCATGGTGTATATGTACCACATTTTCTTTTTTTTCTTTTGAGACAGAGTCTCGTTCTGTCGCCCAGGCTGGAGTGCAGTGGCACAGTCTTGGCTCACTGCAAGCTCCACCTCCTGGGTTCACGCCATTCTTCTGCCTCAGCCTCCCGAGTAGCTGGGACTACAGGTGCCTGCCACCATGCCCAGCTAATATTTTTGGTTTTTGTTTTTTGTTTTTTAGTAGAGACGGGTTTTCACTGTGTTTGCCAGGATGGTCTCAATCTCCTGACCTTGTGATACACCCACCTTGGCCTCCCAAAGTGCTGGGATTACAGGCATAAGCCACCACGCCCGGCCATGTACCACATTTTATTTATTCAACCTGTCATTGAAGCGCATTTAGGTTGATTCCATGTCTTTGCTATTGTGAATAGTATTGTAATGAACACATGTGTGCATGTGTCTTTATGGTAGAAAGATTGATATTACTTTGGGTATATACCCAGTAATGGGATTGCTGGGTCAAATGGTGCTTCTGTGTTTAGTTCTTTGAGGAATGGCCACACTTCTTTCCACAATGGTTGAGCAAATTTACACTCCCATCAACAATGTGTAAGTGTTCCCTTTTCTCCGCTACTTCGCCAGTATCTGTTATTTTTTGACATTTTAATGCCATTCTGATTGGTGTGAGATGGTATCTCATTGTGGTTTTGATTTGCATTTCTCTAACGATCAGTGATGCTGAGCTTGTTTTCATATGTTTGTTGGCTGCACATATGTCTTCTTTTGAAAAGTGTCTGTTCATGTCCTTTGCCCACCTTTTAATGGGGTTGGTTTTTTTTCTTATAAATTTGTTTAAGTTCCTTATAGATGCTGGAATTAGATCTTTGTCACATGCAGAGTTTGTGAATATTTTCTCTCATTCTGTAGGTTGACTGTTTACTCTGAAGATAGTTTTTTTTTGTTTTTTTCTGTGCAGAAGCTTTTAAGTTTAATTGCATCCATTTGTCAATTTTTGCTTTTGTTGCAATTGCTGTTGGTGTCTTTGTCATGAAATCTTTGCTTGTTCCTGTATCCAGAATGGTATTGCCTAGGTTGTCTTCCAGGATTTTTATAGCTTTTGATATTGCATTTAATTCTTTAATCCATCTTGAACTGATTTTTGTATATGGTGTAAGGAAGGGGTCCAGTGTGAATCTTCTGCATATGGCCAGCCAGTTATCCCAGCACTGTTTATTGAATAGGGAGTCTTTTCCTCATTGCTTGTTTTTGTCAGCTTGTCAAAGACCAGATGGTTGTTGGTGTGTGGCCTTATTTCTGGGTTATTTATTCTGTTCCATTGGTCTATGCACCTGTTTTTGTACCAGTACCATGTTGTTTTGGTTACTGTAGCCCTATAGAATAGTATGAAGTCAGGTAGCATGAAGCCTCTGGATTTGTTCTTTTTGCTTAGGATTGCCTTGGCTATTCAGGTTCTTGTTTGGTTCCACATGAATTTTAAAATAGTTTTTTCTAGTTCTGTGAAGAATGTAATTGGTAGTTTGATAAGACTGCCATTGAATCTGTAAATTGCTTTGAGCAGTATGACCATTTAAATGATATTGATTCTTCCTATCCATCCATAAGCATGGAATGTATTTCCATTTGTTTGTGTCATCTCTGATTTCTTTGAGCAGTGTTTTGTAGTTTTCATTGTAGAGATCTTTCACCTCCCTGGTTTGCTATACTTGTAGGCTTTATTCTTTTTGTGTCAGTTATGAATGAGATTGTGTTCCTGATTTGGCTCTCGGTTTGACTGTTGTTGCTGTATAGGAATGCTAGCAATTTCTGTACATTGGTTTTGTATCCTGAAATGTTGCTGAAGTTGTTTATCAGCGTAAGAACTTTTAGACCGAGACTATAGGGTTTTCTAGATGTAGAATCATGTGGTCTGCAAACAGGGATAGTTTGACTACCTCTTGTTCCATTGGGATGCCCTTTGTTTCTTTCTCATTCCTGATTGCTCTGGTCAGGACTTCCAATACTAAGTTGAATAGGAGTGGTGAGAGAGGGCATCGTTGTGCCAGTTTTCAAGGGGAATGCTTCCAGCTTTTGCCCATTCAATATGAGGTTGTCTAGGGGTTTCTCACAAATGGCTTTTATTATTTTGAGCTCTATATAACCTTATTTGAATTGTTTAATACATTTAATGCCACTTGGTATCTTTAGTGATATTCTTCAATTGTTCATGGCTAGTGTATGTCTTGGCTTTTGGATTTAAGAGAAACCAACAGCCTGAAAAAAATTTGAAGAAGGAAATTATAATGCCTCACTGTTAACATTTTGTGATCAACTGCTAAGGCCTGGTACTGTGCTTGGTTGGGCTAATGAGATCTAATAAAATCACTTTAAAGGAAAAACCGTAAGTTCTATGAGGAGTGGAATTCTCAAAGCCTTTTGAAGGCATTTTATTGATTATAATTATAATCTCATGCCACTGGCTCTTTAGCAGGTTTTTAAAAATGTCCTAAACCTAGCATCAGTATTATAAAGTTCCACTGTACAGTGCCCAGCATGGAGGTAGTATTCAGTAATGGTTTGTTTAATGAATTTTTGAAAAATAAGAGACACTGCTATTGGTAGTTATAATAGCTAGCATTGTTTGAATGTGTTCTGTTTGCCAAGAATTTTGCTCTGCTTTTTACTTGAATTATTTCATTTTGCTCACTAATTGACAATTTATTGAACACCTATAATGTGTTAGTTACTATGCTAGGGCTGGAGATACAGTGATGAAACAAAGACCTTTGTCTTGTGGATCGTACATTTTGGTGGTAGAGACAGAAACAAACAGATAAATGAAAACCGTATAGTATAACATTGATTAATGATCCATGCTTTGGAAAAAAAGGCAAGATAAGACAATTGAGAATGATCAGGGAAGGCTTATCTGAGAAGGTGACATTTAAGCAGAGACTTGAATGGAAGGAAAGGGAGTGAGCCATCCAGGTATTTGGAGGAAGAACATACAAAATGAAGGGAACAAGTGCACAAGTGTCAAGTGAGCAAGGAAGCCAGGGGTTATGTCATCTAGTATCTTATAGTAAAGATTTTGAACTTTATTCCAAATATGATAAAAGCAATTGGAAGTTTAGGGTAGTAAAAGGGACATGATTTGGTTGTTTTAAAAGGATTACTTTGGTGGCTTGTGTAGAGAATTGAACTGAGTGGGATTGAAAGGTAGAGGTTAGGAGAAGAATGAAAGTAGGTAGACCAATTAAGAGTACTCAAACAACCCTGTGAGATAGGTTGTATTATTGTCTCCATTTTTTGGTTAAAACACAGAGACAGAGAGGTCAACAGGCTTGTTCAGTGCTACAAATCCAGTTTGTTTTGTTAATTGCTATCCATTACTTCATGGGATTGTTGTGATAACTAAATGAGATACAGGCTGAGTATCTTTTATCCAAAATGCTGCGTACCAGAAGTGTTTTGGATATCAGATTTTTTTTGGATTTTGGAATACTTTCATATACATAATGAGATACCTTGAGGATGGGATCCAAGTCTAAACATGAAATTTACTTATGTTTCATATACACTTTATACACATAGCCTGAAGGCAATTTTATACATTTGAAATAATTTGGTGCATGAAACAAATCTTTGACTGCATTGACTGCACCCCATCACATGAAGTCAGATGTGGAATTTTCCACTTGTCGGGTCATGTCACTGCTCAAAAAATTTCAGATTTTGGAACATTTTAGATTTCAGCTTTTTTTTTTTTTTTTTTTGACTTGAGTCTCACTCTGTTGCCCAGGCTGGAGTGGAGTGGTGCAATCTTGGCTCACTACAATCTCCACCTCCCGGGTTTAAACGATTTTCCTGCCTCAGCCTCCCAAGTAGCTGGGATTACAGGCGCCCACCACCACGCCCAGATAATTTTTGTATTTTTAGTAGTGACGGGGTTTCATCATGTTGGCCAGGATGGTCTCGAACTCCTGACCTCAAATGATCTGTCTGCCTCAGCCTCCCAAAGTCCTGGGATTACAGGTGTGAGCCACCGTGCCTGGTCCGATTTCAGATTTTTGAATTAAAGATGTATTTTATCTAGAAGTGTCAAACATTGCTTTGTACATAGGAGTTGGTAAATGTTATGGCCTTTCTCATAAAAATAAATATTGCAAGTTTGAGAAGGACAGTTCAAGAAAATTTATGTAGCAATTACTAATTAATGGCCTAAAGTCATATAGAACCTGGTATTTGTACTCCTTTCCTTCCAGTCTTAAGGATTATGTCTTATAAAGATCTGTCCAAAGCACCGATAGAATTATTTTAGCCTTTAGGAGACAAAGTTCAGAGATATTTGATATAGCTGTCTTAAAGTATAAAGGGCTGTCATGTGAAACAGGGATTTGTTTTTTATGACCCAAGAGAGCAGAAATCTGATCCAAGGGTGAAAACTACTGGGAAGGTTATTTTGGCTCATAAAAATAAATATATTTCAAAAATAGAATGAATGCTCTATCAGTGGAACTGTTTGCATGTTGCTATATCATTTTTCTGGAATGTGTCAGGCATTCAGGGTTTTTTGTTTAGTTTGCAGATTTCTTCAACCTGAGATTCACTAAAATATAAGCTATATGAAAGCAGAGATCTTGTCTGTCTGGGGGACCACAGTATCCTCAATGTCTAGAGAGCACCATGCTTGATACACTTGTTGACTAAATGAATAATGAGTTAATTATTCTCACAGGTCATCTGGATACTTCATTCCTTCTCTTTGCCTAAAGTTCAGTTCTGATTTTTGATTGATGACTTGAGTGTTTATACTGGGTTAAAAATAAGGGAAACTATTGTGAATTGCTTTCTAGGAAGTCAAAGGCATCACTGCAGGGCTTCTCAACAGTGGCACTATCAATGTTTTGAGCTGATGATGCTTTGTCTTGAAGGGGCTGTCCTGTACATTGTAGGATTTTAGCAGCATCTCTGGCTGCTAAATACTCAACAGATATCAGTAGCAACCCCCACCCCCACTTAACAGTCATAGCAATAAAAAATATCTTCAGGCGTCACCAAACGTTCCTTTAGGGGCAAATCAGCTCTTGTTGAGTTAGCGAATAACCCACCAGAACACACCCATGCTAATAGATGAATCCAATATTTTCATTAGATAAAATTAAAGAAAATAGTGTCATTTAAGGAAAGCTCATTGTAAATTATTTATTTTAAGATGAACTGTGCACTAGTATGAGCTGTGTGTTGAGGCATGCCTGTAGCTTTATAATGAAGAAATTGTAGAATGCTCTTACGTATTTCTAATTTGTTTTGAAATATGATGAATTCAAGTTGATTATTTAGCTTTAGGTCCTCAGTAATGAAGGCTTACCATATTTCTCTTATATTGTTTTTTCAGCCCCAAATTACCTTGACAACCATTATATGTTGAAATACAGATGTGGAGAGTTCAAAAGGAGGGGTTGGTGGAATTAGTGGTTTGTAACTGTCAAAGACAAAGACATCATAAGGTATAACAGCAGAAAAGGACAGCAGCAGCAGAAAGCTGAGCAGGTGATCAAAGATTCTAGAAGCAGGAGACCCAAGGATTTTTTTAAAGTTATGTATATTTTAAAATTTATATTTTGGTCTTAGTGTAGAAGTATGATCATCTCATGATGGATATGGTTTCATAAGCAGTTATGGTATATGCTAGGCACATTAGAAATAAATTATTTTTGGGCCACACTTAGTTTGTACGTCTTGACTCCCCTTCCTAGTATTTACATTGATATTTCCTTTTGTTTAAATCCAAATAGCAAGTTCTAATAAATCCAAATAGCAAGTTCTAATAAATCCCTGCTTGTATTATATTTTAATTCAGTATGTTTTCTTGTCACATCACACTTTGTTTGTAACATATTTTACTAAACTATTCATGGTCCTGATTTAAGTATAAGCTGGGAACTGTTGCATTTTAATATACAACATTTGCATATATATTATGATGTAGTCATTTATAAAATATAATAGTCTTACTGGGCATTATTATAAAAGAAGCATCTGTCAGCATTTCTATTATAAAATCAAAAAATTTTAAGGAGTTTCTGACTTGTCTGTTTCTAAATTGCTTTGGCATAAAACCTGTATAGAAGCTGTCAACTGAAATCTAAATTTTGTTATTTATAGAAGGCAGAATTGAAGCTAGTTTTTTTTACTACTTTTTATCACTACATTAAAAACATTCATATTTTTTCATAGATTCAGGTGCTTTTTACTTGATATTTATTTATTTCCCATAAACCCAAGTGAGGAAATGGAAACTGAGAGCCACTCAAATGTACTTATTTATTTTCTTGTGTTGTATTATAAATTTATTTATTATTATTATTATTGTTAAAATAGAGACAAGATCTCGCTACATTTCCCAAGATGGTCTCCATCCTCCTACCTCAGCTTCCCAAAGTGCTGGGATTACAGGCGTGAGCTACTGCACCTGGCCATGTAAAATTTTTGATAGATTTATTTGAAAAGTATTTACCAAGTAGACGCATTAAGTATTTTGTTAGAACCACCTTGTAACATGATGGTGTCTGTATAAAGCCTGTAGGTAGCTAGATCCAGACTTAGTGTGAGTAGAGAAACTCAGTTAATGACTGCAAAGTAATATCAATTTAGAAGGGTCAAAGAGAAATAAGAACCCCTACTATTGATCACTAGACAACTATTCACTTTCTCAACCATAAGACCTGTCTCTGCAATCTCATTATAGCTGATACTTTTACAAGTGACTAACTTGGTTGATTGCTATCCCTTCCAGCTTTTTGTGAGATGTCATTGCTGTTACTGTAGTAGGTGATTCTTTCAAATTGCTTTTAAAAACTCTTGAAAGCCAAAGTTATTATCTAATTTTGAACCTGAGATTGGGGATCTTCTTATGAAACTGATTATTTATATAGAAGGTTAACATTAGTTACTATAGAACTTCAAACAAAATTGAAATAATTAAGGAGTTTAAGCACCTGAAATTGAAAGAGTTTACTCATTTATAATTATTCAACAAGTACGGCTGGGCACGGTGGCTCACGCCTGTAATCCCAGTGCTTTGGGAGGCTGAGGTGGGCGGATCACTTGAGTTCAGGAGTTTGAGACCAGCCTGGCCAACATGGAGAAACCCCTTCTCTACTAAAAATACAAAAATTAGCTGGGCGTGTGGCAGGCGCCTGTAATTCCAATACTTGGGAGGCTGAGGCAAGAGAATCACTTGAACCTGGGAGGCAGAGGTTGCAATGAGCCAAGATTGCACCACTGCACTCCAGCCTGGGTGACAGAGAGATGCTCCATCCCCCCCCCCCCCAAAAAAAAAGTCATTCAACAAATATGTATATCTTACCCCAGACACCATATGCAGAATATATGATGAACAAAATGGGTGTGGCCCTTAGCATTATAGGTGACATATAAGTAAACAAACATAGAATAAATAGTTCTTATTTATTTTGGTCAAGTTTAATAGTATTCCAAAGGCTTACCCTTTTATAAATAATCCACAATGCAGAAACCTACATTTGAATGTACAAATTTTTAATGTTTATTGGAATGTCAAGATTAAAACATATTACTTTAGTCATATGTAAACTCTTATTTCCACATTAATAGAATCTTTTTGCCTTTATATGTATTTTGTTATTGCTTTTGCCTAGGAACTTGATTTTTATGTATTTTTCTTGTATTCAGCCATCTTAACACTGTTATTTATTCTAATATTAAGTTGGTGTAAAAGTAATTGAAGTTTTTGCCATTTTTTTAAAATGGCAAAACTACAGTTACTTTTGCACCAGCCTAGTAACTTTTAAACAGAATTCCTAAGTAGGTGATGTTCTCTTTGACAGTGTTTATATCTCTTAATTGTTTTCCTTTTCTTATTGCATTATCTAGCATCATCAGTTGAATTTTGAATAATAACAGTGATAGTGGTCATCCTTGTCTCATATATGATATTGATGGCAGTGTTTCTCCTCTTTCACTATTAAGAGTGATGTATGCTGTAGGTTTCTAGTAGATCCTTTTTATTAAGTTAAGGGTGTTTCCTTTATTCCCAGTTTACAGAGATTTAATGATTAGAAAAAGTAAGGTTCTGTTGATATCATGGCAGTACGGCAATTTGGACCAATATTCATGCTAAGGACAATTTAAAAATTGGATAAAATATGAAAAATAGATTTTTACAATTATTTGGGAGAAGATGAGAACCCATAGGAATAAGCATATTCTCTCAAAATCACTTTTGTTTTAAGGATGTTTGTTGATCATAGCTTACCAGTTTTGAAGCTAAGTTCTGCCTTCATATGCTTCACAAGACTGAGGGGTGTAAGTCAAAATCTGGAGTTGGCCAAGGTTGAGAATTCTGCACTGTAGTTTGCTTGAACCACAAAAGGCTGAGCTTTCAGGGTAGCAGTGAATTAATGCTAATTTGGCTCTCCCAGAAACTTGCAAGACAACTTTCATCATCATCTGCTGGATCAAGTAATCTTTTTTTTTTTTTTTTTTGAGATGGAGTCTTGCACCGTCGCCCAGGCTGTAGTGCGGTGGCACAATCTCAGCTCACTGCAAGCTCCGCCTCCTGGGTTCACGCCATTCTCCTGCCTCAGTCTCCCGAGTAGCTGGGATTACAGGTGCCCACCACTATGCCTGACTAATTTTTTTTTGTATTTTTACTAGAGACTGGGTTTCACCGTGTTAGCCAGGATGGTCTCGATCTCCTGACCTCATGATCCATCCACCTTGGCCTCCCAAAGTGCTGGGATTACAGGCACCTGGCCTGGATCAGGTAATCTTAAATCTAGAATTTAGATTAAGATGGTCCTGGATTGTAGTTTTTCCAAGCTGTAGCAGAGACAAAAGAAAGTTCTCTTTGGAAGAGGACGTTGTCAGCCAATGTGTCAGTTTATTTTTTTTTTAAACACATTATTCAGTGCACAGGCAAAGATAATCAGGCATGGAAGGATAAAAGACACTTTGAGTAAAACCTAGTAGATACAACAGACGATAGAAATAGACTCAGTGAAAATGATACACTGGAATTGTTAGACATAGACTATAAAGCAACTAAATTTGCTATGTTCAAAGAAATAAGGCCAAAAATAAAAATCTAGCAACAAACTGGAAACTAAAAATTATCCAGCAGATATGAAAGCAGTAAGATAATAGTAAAACTGAAAAACACACTATTTAAAACTTAATCATTAGGTTGTACATGAGATTAGATATAGGTGTAAAGAGAATTAGTGAACTGGGAGATAGGTCAGAATAAACAGTTCACAATGCAATGTGGAACGATAAAAAGGGGAGCTCCAAAGAAGATGGTAAGAGATACAGATATTCAGCGCAAAGAACCAGAAATCCAGAGAGCCAGCTTGAATTCCAAATTCCATCATTACCTTATATAATACATTTGACACACATAATTTTTTATGCCTCTGGGTTTCAGCATCACTTCTTAGTGGGCACTGCTGTTAATGCAGTTTTTACTTATGTAGCATAGTCCAAAGATTGCTTAAGTTTTCTGCTGTAACTTCTCATTTTTTCCATTTAACCATTTAATGAAAACATTTACTAAGTATGTAATATTTGCCAGATCCTAAGATAGATGCCAGGAATGGATACAAAGAACAGTTTGTTCATTATAAACTCAAATACTGCTGTCATGTGTCAGCTTATATAGCTGGACAGCTGAGGCTGAATTCCTGGAAATGCCCCCTGTATTCTGAAAGCCTAGACTCAAATAGCATTTTGAGAACTATCCATTTTTATGACTTACATTTAGGAATAACACAGCCTCCTTTTCTAGCCTTCCTCAGAAGAGTATCACCAGAAGATACTCTGAAACTCTCAACTTGGTCAAATGTATAACATAAAGGAAGGATGGAATTTGGAATTCTAGCTAGCTCTCTAGATTTCTAGTTCCTTGCTTTGAAAAGGGAACTGGAGGCCGGACGCGGTGGCTCATATCTGTAATCCCAGGACTTTGAGAGGCCGAGGCGGGCGGATCACGAGGTCAGGAGAGCTAGACTATCCTGGCTAAAACGGTGAAATCCCGTCTCTACTAAAAATACAAAAAAGCCGGGCATGGTGTGCCTGTAATCGCAGCTACTTGGGAGGCTGAGGCAGGAGAATGGCGTGAACCCAGGAGGCAGAGCTTGCAGTGAGCCGAGATCGCGCCACTGCACTCCAGCCTGGGTGACAGAGCAAGACTCTGTCTCAAAAAAAAAATGAAAGAAAGAAAAGGAAACTGGAAGACCCAGGTTCTAGATCTGCTACTACTTATGCTGACCTCACTGTCCACTCCTTTAACTTTGGCAATTTCAAAAGTAATTAGTTAGATCAGACTCTGGGCAAATCATTTAGCTAGCCTATATTTCAGAATCTTTTTTAAAAACACTTTTTTAATACACTGTCAAAGATTTATTGTGCTTAAAAATGTGAATTAAAATATATTCTGAATTTTAAAAAATCAGAAATGAGTTTTAAAAATGGTTGATTTGTGGGAGTTCTTTATATTCTGTGTATGAGAGAGAGATTTTCTCAGTTTCTGGCTTGCTTATTTATCTTTAAAATTGTGTCATTTCATGGGTAGATTGTTTTTAACTTTGTAAGTCCAGCTTATCAATTTGTTCTCTTTTTTTTTTTTTTTTTTTTGAGATGGAGTCTCACTCAGTAGCCCAGGCTGGAGTGCAGTGGCATGATCTCAGCTCACTGCAACCTCCATCTCCCGGGTTTAAGCAATTCTTCTGCCTCAGCCTCCCAAGTAGCTGGGACTACAGGTGTGCGCCACCATGCCCAGCTAATTTTTGTATTTTTAGTAGAGACAGAGTTTCACCATGTTGGCCAGGCTGGTCTCGAACTCCTGACCTCAAATGATCTGCCCACCTCGGCCTCCCAAAGTGCTGGGGATTACAGGTGTGCATCACCGCGCCCGGCCTATTCTTTTATGG